>NC_000003.12:140675270-140978301 GCF_000001405.40 Homo sapiens
CTTAATGCAATAGCTATCAAAATTCTAGTGGACTTTTGCACAAAAAGTAGTAGTGCTGATCCTAAAATTTATATGAAAATACAAGATAATGTTAAAACAGAAACAAAAGTGGAGTACTCACACTTTCCAATTTCAAAACATACTACACAGCTGCAGTAATCAAGATGGTGTGGCTAGCACAAGGATAGACATATAGATCAAAGAAATAGCATTCAGAGTCCAGTAATAAATCATATATCTATGGTGAGTTGATTTTCAACAAGGGTTTCAAGACTACTCAATGGGAAACAATAGTCTTTTCAACAAATGTTGCTATGGCAATTGGATATTCACATGCAACAGAATGAAATTGGGCCCCTAACTCCCACCAAATACAAAAACAATTCAAAATAATTCAAATACCTCAGTGTAAGAGCTCAAACTATAAAGCTATTTATTATAGGATTACATAGGTGTAAATCTTCATGGCCTTGGATTGGGCAGTGGTTTCTTAAATGACACCAAATGGGCAAGCTACAAAAAAAATAGAGATAAATTTGACTTCATCAAAATTAAAACCTTTTGTGCTTCAAAGGACACCATTTAAAAATGTAAAGACAACCATAGAATGGAGAAAATAGATGCAAATCATATCTGGTTAGGGTCTAGTATCTAGCTAATACAAAGAGCTCTGACAACTCAACAATAAAAAGATATTAACTCCATTTTTAAATGGGCAAAAGATTTAAATAGACATTTCTCTAAAGAAGGCATACAAATGTCCTATAAGGACATGAAAAGATTCTCAACATCACTAGCCATCAGGGAAATCCAAATGTAAATCACAAAGAGATCCTACTTTATACCTACTATAATAGCTATAATCAGAAGAAAAAAAAGACAAGAAGTTTGGAAAACGATGTGGAGAAATGGTAATTCTCATACATTGCTGGTGGGAATGTAAAATTGTGCAGTCACTTTGAAAAACAGCTTGGCATTTCCTCAAAAAGTTAAACATAGGGTTACCATATGATCCCACACCTAGGAACCTACCCAAAAGAACTGGAAACATATTTCTACAAAAATGCTCACACAAAAAAAATGTATACACAAATGCTCACAGAAACATTTAAACATTTAACAGCTAAAACGTGAAAACAATCTAAATGTCCATTAACTGACAATGAATACAATGTGGTATATCCATGTGAAATTATTCAGCCATAAAAAAATACTGATACATGCTATAACACAGATAAACCTTGAAAACATTATACTAAATTAAAGCCAGACACAAAAGCCACACATTATATGATAGCATTTATATGAAATCTCCAGAATAGACAAATCCATAAATACAGAAAAGTAGAGTAACTGCTAAGGGCTGAGGGAAAGGAGGAACAGGGAGAGACTGCTAATGAGTGTTTTACGGGGGTGATGAAAATATTTTGGAATTAGATAATGGTGAGAGTTGCACAATTTTATGAATATACTGAAAACCATTTAATTGTTTACTCTAAAATGGTGACTTTAATGGTAAGTGAATTACATATTAATAAGTTTTTAATAAGACCTTATAGAAACCAATAGTGAAAATGTATCATAAATCTGGGAATGAAACTCTAACCTATGTGCCTGGAGGATGGAGAGAGAGATTGATAAAACTGAGTTTTGGCAAACGTGAGGAAAAGGAGTTTCACTTTTTTGAATGTTGTATGTTCCTTGCTGGTATTAACTGGCACATTTATTTGAGTAAGAAATTTAGCAGTTTGCCTTAAAAAAAGATAAAGGACATACCCTAAGAGCCGGGATTTTCACTTGTAGAAATCTAATATCAATGTGTGGCTGGCATAGTTGGCACTCAGTGATTTTCTCTATTATAAAGGTGATAACCATAGGGGGAGATACTAAATTATGCAGTAAATTCCTGCAGCTAAACTCAGCTCTCACTTCTGCTTCTTTTTCTAAAAACAAGACAGTATTCATACTATAATGTACTATGACCATGAAATTTCTGTTCTTTTAATCTTTGCAAGCTGCTTAAATGGGAAGGTGAAATTCTTCCCTAAAATATAGGGTCTTTTTTCTAGGAATACTGAGCATATACTAGCAGAACAGTTAAAGATTTAATGTAGAGTTCCAGCCTCTTTTTGGAGTGGGGGTAGGATGGGGAAAAGACAGAAAGCTTGAACCTCACCCAAACACCATGCAGCTACAAAAAACCCAAGAAATATTCAGAGTGACTTAAGTATAAAGCTTCATGAAAATGAGCAGCGACTATGCATTGATTGATAAAATCAATTACTACTGAAAGAAGTTCCTAAGTGAACCTATATATTTTTTTCTTTAACTCTTTCTCTGAATGGTGATATCTCTTTAAATATGGCATTGCTATTATTTGTAAACACTGTCCTTTGTTCAAATAGAATTCTATCAATTCCTCTAACATGTGGAAAACCATGTGAATCTACTTTTCTAATTAACCATACCCAAGCCTTTCAGTCTACGAAGACATAATCTGAAGTCCACTTGTCCAAATTGCAGGCAGAACACCAAACAAGGAGAAATAGCTTCAGAAATCTACTCCATTATCCAAAAGGTGACAAATGACAACTAAACTTCCAGGATGCTCATTGCATCACCACTCCTCTACAGCTGGTTCCATGGAAGCATGGAGTTTCCACCAACATACCAGCTACCACCCACAAGGCCGCATCCTGCTATCTACCTAGCATGGTAGAGAGACAGGGATTGTGACATAAGCAAATACCCTCAGACTGATATATGTAAATGCCAGCCTATGAGCTTCCTGGTAGGGACACCAGCTGTGAAGTCCTCATAACAGCCAACTTCTTGCAACTTTCAAGCTGACGGCCTCAGGAATGGGAGGAAGGACTCCTCCACTGGAGAACTGATAGCAGTATTCTGGTAGAGGAGGCATCAAGAGTCCTGGGAGGCCGGTGGTAATCATGTAGGCACCATGGAAACTGCTATGTGCGTTTGCTGTCCATGTTGTACATGGCAGAGATGTTGTCCTCAGTTATGCTCCTGTCTGTGCTGCAAGTTCATCTTCACCTCAGAGCGGAACTGCACCTGCTTCCCCTGCCCTTACAAAGATGAGCGGAACTGCCAGTTCTGCCACTGCACCTGTTCTGAGAGCCCCAACTGCCATTGGTGTTGCTGCTCTTGGGCCAATGATCCCAACTGTAAGTGCTGCTGCACAGCCAGCAGCAATCTCAACTGCTACTACTATGAGAGCCGCTGCTGCCGCAATACCATCATCACTTTCCACAAGGGCCGCCTCAGGAGCATCCATACCTCGTAAGTGCCAGGCACCAGATGTGGGGCCGCATTGGGTCATGAAAACTAGGGACCACTTGCCAGCTGTGAAGTCTACAGGGCAGGCCAGTGAGCCTCTGAGTTCATTTCTTTATCTAAAAGGAGGAGCCAAGAATTTTGTAGCAATTAATTGTATCCTAAATGGTCACTATGTATGTAGACCATGAGCTCCAAATCTAAGCGCCATTAACTATGTAAATGAGCACTTCACTCTTCTGAACCCCAACTCTCTCATCTGTACAAAACAGTAATAGCTAATACTTAGTGCTTAAGGAACTTGCCAGGCACTTCATGCATGACCCCAGCTAACCCCTCACCCTAAGTCCACTGTTTCCATGAGGAAACTGATCCTTTGAGAAGTTAAGTAGCCCCAGGATCACACAGCTGGAAAGATACAGAGTCAGGATTGGAACCTAAAATTTGGGATCTTAACTTTAAAATGCTGTATTGCAAAACGGAGACAATACCCCCCCCATGATATTGTAGATATAAGGATTAATGTATGTGCTTTGTAATCTGTATGTGATATAAAAATATAAATTGCTCTTTCTCTTCCTATGAACTCTTAATACCTGTAACTTTTAATGGAAAAGAAAGAACTTCTATGGGGCACTTTTGACCCTGCGGACCATATAAATACCCCATACATCCATGAACTCCTACTACCTTCTTTTTCCCATCCAGAAGTCATAGTACTTAGGGTCTCAATTATTCATTTGGAGTGCTAACCCTTCATATCAGGTCCTACATTATCCTCACCTGCTCTACCAAACCAGTCTTTTTATGTCACACATGAGGGGAGTCTGAAGTAGTAAGAGCACACTTCTTAGAAGCGGAAAGATGACAGCACCATAAGATGACAGGATTAGAAGAGGCAGAAAAATGGAAGGCCAGTTTGAAGGCTTTCAAGCCTGGAAAAGCAATTCTGTGAGCAAAGGTTTGGTGAATTCAGGGGAAAGATATTATCCATCTTGCAATTAAACATTTAGTAGATGCTTAACAAACATAGCTCTCCACCCATGACCCTCTCATAGTGTTTGCATAAATAGGAAATCCAGGGATTCTCGATGCAAGTCTAGAAATCCTAAAACATGGAAAATTGTGTCCACACTCCTCTCTCAACTACCTGTTGTTCAGTTGTGCAACAGCAACTGAACCTCTGAGCCCATTTCAACAGGAAAGGGATAAAATTGGTGCTTTAGGAAAATGCCTTAGGCTCAGTAGCTCCCCAACGTTACTGTGCATTGAAGTCACCTGAGGATCTTTTAAAATTACTGATGCCTGATCCCCACCCCCCCAAACATTGATTTTATTGGTCTGGGGTACCATCTGAGCATCTGAATTAATTAGAATCAACCCCCCCACCCCGCTTCAGGTGATTCTAATGTGCAGAATGGCCTGCAGGAGGCTAGGAGGGAAGCCAGGAGATTTGATAGGTGGTACAGTAAGAATCCAGGTGCAAGAACAGGCCTGATTTTGGGAGACAGAGGGGGCTGTGCAGAGGAGCAGAGACAGGATATCTCAGCAAGAAGATAAAAGCGCTGGGCTTGATGACTGTTTTGAAATGGAACCATGGCCACTGAATGCCCCGTCCAAGCCTGAGGCTTTTGGAGGATGGGCAGGGATGCTACCACAAGTGTTAGGAGGTCGGCTCTGGGTGCTTTTCTTCAATCTGGCCTCTCTCCTGGCTTCTGACCCTCTGCCTCCCCTGCTTCTCATCACCACCTTCTGCTCAGCACCTTACTTGTCCTGCCTCACTCTGGTCTCATTCATCCCTCTCCATCTTAATCTTTTTGTCACTTCCTTTTTCACCCCTAACACAGCTCCCTAGGCCATTAATACCTGTCTCTTAGCCCTGAGACCTCTTTCTCATCCTCCAACACCTCCCTCCCCCACTTCTTCTTTCTTTTTTGTGAAAATGCTAGTTCATGAGCTTCCTAGTAGAGATACCTCCTGTGAAGGCCTCATAACAGCCTCTCTTTATATTATACCTTGATTCTCCAGGCCTTACTTTTTTAAGCAAACTAAAGTCCATCCAGGCACTACATGGACAATTAACCTGTACCACCAGGTGATCCCTTCAGGACCCATGCAGGAATCTGGGAAAGCAGAGAGGAAATAGAGGTGAGAACATCGAGGCCAGCATGCCTAGAGCTCCCAGATCCCTAAGGGACAAATTTTCCAGGTGCCTTAATATACACAGGGAGCATTCTCTGTCACCACAGGGCCACTCCATTCCAATATACTTGGGAAGCACCTGTGACTGTCAGGACTCAGACATAGGCTCCTGGCCAAGGGAGCAGGGAAGACAGGGACACATAAGGAATGCAAGAAGACAAAAGCAAAAAGGAACACAGCCGCAATGTCGAGATTAGTATCCAAATATTATTATGCAAACAGAGGAGATAGCAATAGCAGCAAATTGTGTGCCTTTTACACCTCCATTCCCACAGCTATTTCATTTATTTTTATACACTGCATTTGCTGATTTTAAGTTCTTAGAACAGGTACTTGAATTTTACAAGTATGCTTTTACGCCATAGCTCTTACGATTAAATATATGAAATCAGCCTCAGGCATTAGACAAATGGAGAGCCTTAACACACATAAATGAAACAGTGGAAGCACATACTTTTCACAGACTTGGCCACTATTTTCCTATACTATGATTTCTCTCTACTGCAGACATTAGCTGGCTAGTAGCAAAGGGGTGTAATTATAGTGGCCACATTTATTGAATGCTTACTATGTACCAGCAGTTAAGCACTTACATGGATTACCTTTTAGACTTTATAAAAACCTCACAAAGCAAGTAGTACTGTGAGCTTTGACTTATAGTTGAGAAAACTGAACATGAGAGAGGTTTAAAAAAACATCTCAGAAGGTACAACTGTAAAGTGGTGCATTTTTTATCACATGCATTCTGCCTCTAAAGCCCAGATCCATTACCATTACCTATTGCTCTGGTTGGCAGATCACACAGGTTCTAGGCTTGGCTCAGGTACAGACTTGCTCTGTGTTCCATCTATTTACAATAAATAATGTCAATGTCCTCCAGGAAAAAAAAAACACTGAGAACACACCTGTAGTTGGACAAGATTGAATTTATTGACTCATTGCAACAAGTGAGAACATAAAGCATGGGAAAGTGTAAGGTACCTTGAAAAGTTATTACAGGATTTGGGCTCATGTTAGGTAAGGACACGGGAGTAAATCTATTGAATATCTTAATAAATCTTATCTAGAAGGTAGGAAGAACAGAGTGACCCAAAAGTTGTTAAAAAAAAAAAAATCAACTAGGTTTTTTGGTTAAAAAAAAAAAATCAACCAGGGTCAGGGGCCGTTGGATCATTTTTGTGATTTAGACAACGTTCTTGTCGGAGTCCAAACATTATTAAGTGGTCTTGTTTCTGCTTTGATCCATCAAAGTCACAGAGTGGCCTTGTCTCATATTGTGTTTTGATATTACCGATGTTCAACCGAACACCAAGGCCTAGCTGACAACGCCAGTCTCTGCTGCTTTTCCTTTGCTTAATAACAACAAGCAGTCTCAGCACACTGGCTGTGTACCACGGACTGCTCTTAGACTGTACAAGTATTAAACTCAATTTTAATCTTCTCAAGAAACTCTATGACATAGGTACTAATTTTATAACAAGGAAACAGGCCGAGAGGTTAACTGGCTTACCTGAGGTCACCCCGCTGAAAAACGGTGGAGACAGATTGAGAACGCAGGCACCTTAGCGCCCAGCTCAGGCTCCTCACCACCACACTAGACTGCCCCTCAGGAACCAAGAGTTCTTTCAGAGGTAGAGAAGCAGAGCAAGCTCTTGAGCCTGCCTCCTGAAACCCTGCCTTTGCTTCTCCTTTCAGCTCCAAGACTGCCCTGCGCACTGGGAGCAGCGATACCCAGGTGGATGAAGTAAAGTCAATACCAGCCAACAGTCACCTGGTGAACCACCTCAATTGCCCCATGTGCAGCCGGCTGCGCCTGCACTCATTCATGCTGCCCTGCAACCACAGCCTGTGCGAGAAGTGCCTGCGGCAGCTGCAGAAGCACGCCGAGGTCACCGAGAACTTCTTCATCCTCATCTGCCCAGTGTGCGACCGCTCGCACTGCATGCCCTACAGCAACAAGATGCAGCTGCCCGAGAACTACCTGCACGGGCGTCTCACCAAGCGCTACATGCAGGAGCACGGCTACCTCAAGTGGCGCTTTGACCGCTCCTCCGGGCCCATCCTCTGCCAGGTCTGCCGCAACAAGCGCATCGCTTACAAGCGCTGCATCACCTGCCGCCTCAACCTGTGCAACGACTGCCTCAAGGCCTTCCACTCGGATGTGGCCATGCAAGACCACGTCTTTGTGGACACCAGCGCCGAGGAACAGGACGAGAAGATCTGCATCCACCACCCATCCAGCCGCATCATCGAGTACTGCCGCAATGACAACAAATTGCTCTGCACCTTCTGCAAGTTCTCTTTCCACAATGGCCACGACACCATTAGCCTCATCGACGCCTGCTCCGAGAGGGCCGCCTCACTCTTCAGCGCCATCGCCAAGTTCAAAGCAGGTCCTCCCCTTTTCCACTCCTTCAGCCTAACTTCTAGTTCAGGAACACATGGGGAAGATGGCGTGGGGTAATCTGTTAAGTGAGTGCCTTAACAGATTCCACCTAGTGGAGCAATCAAGGCACCAGGAAACACTGTGCTACCCTGCAAGTCACTATCCTGGTGTCCGCTCCTGGCAACCACCACCAGCCACTTAACTTCCCCGTGCCTTGCTTTTCTCACCTATGAAACGGGAATAGTAGTGACCCCCTCACTGGGTTGCCATGAGGATTAAGTGAGTTCCTCTATGTAAAGCATGCAAAAAGTCATATGACAAGTGCATAAAGATTCTATAATCTTGATTATAATCTTCATGTCCTCAGGTCTCATTTTCTCCTTTGGAAAATGAAGACTTTGATCCTATAGTATACTGACGTTCTGTGACGTTCTAAGATGTTCTGTCACTGTTGGATCTCTTTGGTTTTCCTAAATATGCAGGGGGAGATAATTAAGTCAGTGCTGAGAATTATCTCAATGTTAAATTTCCCTCCATGAATTTTTTCCAAAACTTGCAGATGCCAAAGTAAATAAACTGGCAGCAAACATATAACAACAGGGACAACTCTTAACTAGCCAATAGCATTCTAGTCAACAGCTTATTTTTCCTCTGCATGCTTGTTCATGGTGATTTGGTTGTTTTATATTGTTACATATAATATTGCTTTAAGTGAAATAATATTTCAATGATGGTTTCAGTGATGGAAACAAGCATAAGAGTATTTCACAGGATTCAGCAAAGAGCCCATAATTTCTGGTTTCAGGGACAAAACCAAGTATAATAATATTTCACAGGATTCAACAAAGAGCCCCATAATTTCTGGGTATGTCTCTACCTGGTCAGACATGAGAATCCAAAAGATCCCTTTAGTGCCCTTTACCCCCAGGAATAGTTCTTTGTATAAAGGTCCACTTTACTCAGGCCTGTGGAGCACATTTTGTCTAATCTCAATAATGCTACAGTACAGGCATTAAAATGTCCTCCATGGATAAGACAACTGTGGTTCAAAAAAAAAATTAGGACAGGGAGCTAATAAGTGGCAGATGCAGTCTATTTGACTCCAGTGCCTATCATTAATTCCACAATATTCATTTGACAATCTACTTTGTGCTAAGCAGTGACCAGAATCTGAAGATGAAGAGATTGAAGGGGAGGGAAGGGGAACCACCACTACCATCCATGGTCTGTTTCCTTAAGGAGTGGCCTACAGTCAGTTACCAAAGTGCACCAGATCAACCCAGGCCTTTCTCTTTGTCAGATCTGTTAGTCTCCATCATTCAGATAGGCCTACACATTTGGGAGGGAGGCAGCTTTTCCTTGACCTGCACAGAAAGGTCCCATTGGATGTAAAGGTGGGTCAGAAACAGGCTTTGCTAATGACCACATCACCCCGGACCTCTCAGTAGCTTCAGGAATACCTTAATTTTTCTCAATGGCCACATACCTGGAAACCTTGCTTGTCAATTGACATTTATTTAATTTTGGAACCACCACCAGGGAAGACTTCATATTAAAGGAACCCTGCAGGAACCACATTACCAAGAAAATGGTAGAACTGTTGGTTCCAAAAGGGTTTTCTGAAGGTGGGACTCACTGCCTCCCTAGGCCAGGGCTTGGCTGGATTCTTTGGGTCCTCAGCATGGTGAAGGCACTGCCGCCTACAACCTACTGTGCCTTCCATCCCTCTGTAGAGAACCTCGTCCTTAATACAGGAGAAACTTAGGATAGTTTTCTGAGTCCAGGGCACCTAAAATTTGAGCAGACAACAAAGCTCAATTCAAGGTGGGGGGAAAATGCCTGTCCAAATTCCAGGAAACCCAGCAGTTGGAAAGGGAAAAAGGGATAATTGGTAAATTAGATATTAGCTGTAAGTAAAGAATTTAACCTTTCATCCTTGCTGAAGAAACAGACACACAAAAATTTTTTAACCAGGGTTCAAACTTGTTCGTGAGCATTTGATTCACTTTTCTGGGAGGTACCATAAATTGGCATTCTAAACAGATCTCCAGGTTATTCAAAAGCAAGTGATCTGGGAATACACATTGAGAAACTGGGGGACCTAGGGAGAAGATCCATTCTAGAAGCTTTACTAAAAACTGATGCCCCTGTCCCATCCACATAGAGGTGCAGGCTCAGCAAGATGGAATTTTAAAAAACTCCTCATGTGATTCTATGGTGCAGCCAAGGTCGAGAACCACTGAAATAAAGGGAGCTCAAAAGTTTAGGTCCCTGCCACTCAAAGTATGGTTCAAGGACCAGTAGCATTGGCATCACCTGAGAGCTTGTTAGAAATGCAGAATCTCAGGACCCACCCCAGGCCTAGTGCATCAGAATCTGCATCTTTATCATGATCCCAGGAGATTCTCTGGGTTCGATTCTAAACCTCACTGAAAACTGCCTCACCTGGCTTCCTGAGCCCCAACACAGGCCCATTGATTCAGAATCTTAGCAGATGAGTCCAAGAGAAGAGTTTTTTTTTAACACTCTCTCAGGTTATTCTGGTACTCAGAGAGGGCTGAGAGCCACAGCTGAAGCAATTAAGAACCTAGTTTGGAGCTAGACAAATAGAATTAGGGACAGAGCCTAGTTTCTCCCATTTACCTGATGTGTAACACTATACAGTCACTTAACTTCCCAGGGCCTCAAGCTTTTTCATCTATAAGTGGAAACAATATCTTCATTGTAAGAAGATATATGTGATAGATAAAAACATATGGATCTGGTCCATAAAAAGTGTTTAATAAATAACAACTAGTTTTAAGTGTATTGCCTAAAAGAGACCTTGATTTGACTTTGCTTTAAAATCAGCTCTTGCAGAGGTTTCATATTTGCAGAGGTTTGGGGTGGGACATTTGTGGCTTCCTCTGTCTTTTTTCTCCTCCTGGAGATGCCTTTTTCCTCTCATCTAAGAAATTTTTATCCTGCTTCTCAGGACTTTGCTCTACATAAGCCTAATCAATCCCTAATACAGCAAGAAATTTCCTATCCAAGTATCTTTAACAGTAGGTAACTATTGAATAGTCAAAGAAAATAATGCGCAAAGTAGAATTCTGGCTGCCACAGTCACAGTGCATTGGGGAAGGCAAGAAGCACTTCTCAGCACTGAAATCGGACCCTGGTAGTTTCCCTTTCAGTCTCACCTGCATCACCTCATCTTTTCTGAGCCAGTGTGAGGAAGGAGGTGGCAAGAAAACACTGGGGCTTCAGGGAGTTAGCCAGAGAGTGACACTGCTGGCATTCACCAATGAGTTGTTAGAAGACAGGAAAGAATGGCTTTTACTCAACAAATACATTTGCTCACCTCTACACACCATAGTCATAGTGGTAATGTGGTCCCTGTTCTCATGATCTGACAGAACACTAGGGTTTCCCATATTCAAGTGCACACCCTTGTTACAACGACCACCACTCACAGAAGTCCAGCTTCCTATGAACCCAGGATAATGTTATGAACCAAGTGCAAAAATAGCTAGTCATCCCCACTCCTGAGTAAAATTTGGTAAGGATTATTGCCCATCAATTCACTGAAGAGTTTACCTTTCATGAGAAGAACCTTACCCGTAGCATAGACCACAGAAGGGTGACATTCTTCAAATTGCTCCTTAATGCCTCAAATCCTTTAAAGCTAACAAAGGTATTCATTTCACCTTTCATATAAAGCTCATTTCACAGATAGAGATGTGCCACGTGCTTACCCTGCCATAGCATCCTTAAACTGTAGTATCTTTGGATTTATTCATACCTTGAGCACAGATGCCCTCTCATAATCATATCCATATTCTTAGTGCCTAAAAGATACATGGCATGTAACAGGGCTCCAGTAAATGTTTGTTGAATGACTGAGTGAACTTAAAATCCAAATGCCATATGAGGGGACACAGGGTAAACTGGTTTTCCTTGAAGTGTGACAGCAGACTCTTTTTTGAAAGGAGTGGGGGAAAGGCAAGGAGAAGTGACATAGCTGAACCACAAGAGGGACAAAGGGGGGAAAAGGGCATCTAAGAGAGCCACCTCAATGAAGGGAAGCTTTGCTGATTTCCCACTGTTGTATAGGGCTGGAGGCTTAGCGAATGATGCAAGACAACCTTTAGAAGTAGTCGGCAGAAACTTAGTTCTTCCTCTTACCACTGCAAAAGCTTAGGTTTCCTACAGGGAAAAGCAGGCACCAGTCATTTTGTGACTTCACCTCTTCTCAAGTCCAACTTGCAGACAACTGAAATCTGGTAAAAACCAATATCAAGGGTGGGCTTGAACTTCCAGTCTCAGACTCAAGGCCATAGGGATTACTGTTACAAGATAGAAATATCCCAGAGAAGGATCAGAGGGGGAAGAAGGGGAAGGGTGTACTAAGGAGGACCAAATTCATTTCATAAACCTATTCCAGCCTGTTTCAGCCCAACTACAAGTGCCTTCCCTCCCTCTTCATTCACCTCCTTGGAGCCTAGGGTAATTTGTTCTAGTTTGCTACTGACTTTGACACCTGGGGAGATGAAAATTTTAAAAGTAACTAACTTGGCATTTTTGCAGTCCGATATGAAATTGATAATGACCTAATGGAATTCAACATCTTAAAAAACAGCTTTAAAGCTGACAAGGAGGCAAAGCGAAAAGAGATCAGAAATGGCTTTCTCAAGTTGCGCAGCATTCTTCAGGAGAAAGAGAAGATCATCATGGAGCAGATAGAGAATCTAGAAGTGTCCAGGCAGAAGGAAATTGAAAAATATGTGTATGTTACAACCATGAAAGTGAACGAGATGGATGGTCTGATCGCCTACTCCAAGGAAGCCCTGAAGGAGACTGGCCAGGTGGCATTCCTGCAGTCAGCCAAGATCCTGGTGGACCAGATCGAGGACGGCATCCAGACCACCTACAGGCCTGACCCACAGCTCCGGCTGCACTCAATAAACTACGTGCCCTTGGACTTTGTTGAGCTTTCCAGTGCCATCCATGAGCTCTTCCCCACAGGGCCCAAGAAGGTACGCTCCTCAGGGGACTCCCTGCCCTCCCCCTACCCCGTGCACTCAGAAACAATGATTGCCAGGAAGGTCACTTTCAGCACCCACAGCCTCGGCAACCAGCACATATACCAGCGAAGCTCCTCCATGTTGTCCTTCAGCAACACTGACAAGAAGGCCAAGGTGGGTCTGGAGGCCTGTGGGAGAGCCCAGTCAGCCACCCCCGCCAAACCCACAGACGGCCTCTACACCTACTGGAGTGCTGGAGCAGACAGCCAGTCTGTACAGAACAGCAGCAGCTTCCACAACTGGTACTCATTCAACGATGGCTCTGTGAAGACCCCAGGCCCAATTGTTATCTACCAGACTCTGGTGTACCCAAGAGCTGCCAAGGTAAGAAAGGTTCTGGGCCCAGTGGGGAAGTGGGAGGGTGTGGGGCACAGAGTAGAAGTGAGTAGTCAGGAAAGGTTGCACTTACCTCTTTGACCTCTAGGATCTGGTCACTCATATCTGCTCCTCTAGACTCTTTGTGGTCATCCCATTCAAAAGGGATAAGCTCCTGGAATCTTAAGTAACCCAAAATTAGCTTAAACCAAACAGTCAATATATTTAACTCATAATCGTAAATATATCTGAAAGCCCTACCTCCACTGCAAAGGCAGCTTCTCAACTGAAAGAGAACCCAATTTGGGAACCAAAGTAATTTGAAGACACTACTTGGCAGTGTAATGTTTCCCAAAGGAAAGCCTGTAATAGAGACAGCACAGAAATTGTACTTAGAAATGCAGGCTCCATTACCTATCAGCTGTTTCCGTTAAATTGCTGCCTTTCCTAAAGCAAATATCCAGAATCTCTATGATTTGGAAAAATTGGGAGGATCATCCCCAATGAAATTTCAACTCTTCTGAGATTCAACCCGCCTTGAAGGGAGAGAGTGAAGAGTGGGGTCTGTCACAGACCTCTGTAAGTGCCATTGCCTGGCCTCAAGGGACATGACTTCCCTTTGACCCTCTTGACCTAACATGGACAACATGAACAAATGGGCTTTTCTTTAACATACCTTTCAAATCTAGCTGAACCCACACGGAATTGTTTGTAGAACACTTTATTAAGGTTTATGGAGGAAAAAAATTAACATGCAACTAAATATTCTATTAGAGTGCCTCTTTCCTCCTCTTGGATTTTTCCTACAGTCAACCCATGGCCTGCTCCCATGTGGCAGAGCTCATATTTTGTCTCCCATAATCTGAGAACACTCCCAAAGACTTTCAGATCCTTGAGTTCTCAAACATTGATGTGCACCTGGGGATCTTGTTAAAATGCAGATTCTATTTTAGTAGGTTTCAAAGGGGCCTGAGATTCTGGTTCTCACAAACTTCCAGGTACTGCCAATGCTGCTGTCTACAGACTACACTTTAGTATTAAGGATCTAACAAATGAAGGCCAGATACAGACCAAGATTTACTTTTCCATTCTCCTGACGCATCACAATCTATGTTTTATTGTCTATAATTAACACAAAGAACAACCCATACTTTGCAAGTTAGAACACTCCATGAGCTATCGACATGATGAAGTGTTTCTGCCCTTCACATAAGCAATGCCCATAACTGAGCAGCTGAACTACATTTCCAATTGATACTAGATCAGCAAGGCCTATCGTGTATGCTTATTACCTCAAGTATAGCACTGGGTCTCATCTCCTTGACCAACTGAGACCTCTTGAGAAGTTGGCAGGATCTTGCTCTGGAGTCAGAGGATTGCTAGTATCTGCTCTATACCTGGGCATGGAAAATAGTCACCCCATGCCACCTATTAGTCATCCCTGATGAGCTCAAAAAAGAGACCTACGCAAAACAACTCAGTCAAGTCATTTGCTGTCGAAAGAGGACACCTAAACCTACTGCCAGACAGTGATATTTGATTTTAAAATATCATCGATTCATATTTTAGGATAATGGAATGGACTTCATACAGGAATCATAGTGCTTAGCAATGCAGAAGATTAAGTTTATGTTAACATCACTCTCAAATCTTTAGGATTTTAGCATAGAAAATATTCTGAAACTTAGTGTTGTACCTTTTCAATATGTATTGTTAATATCATAGAGATTTTTTAAACTCAGTTTTAGTTCTAGGAATCTCTTCCAAGAAAATTATTAAAAATTCAGACAAATATTTATGCCCAACAGTATTTATTACAGCATTTATTTATTAGAGTATAAAATTAGAAACAACATAAATGTTCAACAATAGAAGGATTAAATTATTTTGGGAGAAATTTCAAAGATGGTAGTTTACTGAATTTTTAATGATTTAGGAAAACATACAACATAAGTAAAAGAAAATAGAAATCAAAGCTACTTAATCCAAGTTTTTATGTATATATATATATATATATATATATATATATATATATATATATATATATATATATGTTTGTATGTGTGTGTGTGTTCTGAAATTGCAAAGAAATAATAATGAATTAACTGAATTGTGATATTATGAGTGATGTTTATTTTCTTCCCCTCTATTTTTCGGTATTTTTCAAGCAGGAGGACAATTGTCACCTCCATGTCGACTGACAGTAACAGAACGGAAACCTTCTGTTTGTGAAACTCATTACAACCATCATGCCAGGCCTCATCACACAGTCTTCCAAGACTTGTGCATGGTCTAATTAAAAGTCTTCGGTAGCTACAGGGGATGGGGTCAGCTTAAACTCACCCCACAGATAGTCAACATCACAAATCTTTAAGGGAAAGAAAGCTGAATGATGTATACTAGTACCACACCAGTATGTTCATTTCTTCCATAGGTTTACTGGACATGTCCAGCAGAAGACGTGGACTCTTTTGAGATGGAATTCTATGAAGTCATTACTTCTCCTCCTAACAACGTACAAATGGAGCTCTGTGGACAAATTCGGGACATAATGCAGCAAAATCTGGAGCTGCACAACCTGACCCCCAACACAGAATACGTGTTTAAAGTTAGAGCCATCAATGATAATGGTCCTGGGCAATGGAGTGATATCTGCAAGGTATTGTGTGCGTTATTTCTCAGACAGATTTTTTTTTCTATGGTAGGTTCTGGATGAGGCCCTGTTAAGATGATCGTGAGATTATAGAACTCACTATGGGACTCTTCCTCTAAGCACAGAACATTTGTTAACTTGAGGCCAAAGAGAGGGCTGCTGGCCTCAACCAGACTTTGCAGATGTCGCCTGAGAATTGTTCTATTTGATTCAAAAACATTTGTTCTAGGCATTGTGTACAGATGTAGAGATTCAGAGGAAAATAAACATAATCCCTGCCTTCAAGGTGCTCAGGGTCTAGTAAACAAATAATTGTTGTGTGAGAAGGACATGAAATAATTGTGGTACGAGAAAGATAAAAATGAGGTGCTATTCCCAGGCAAGGATGGGGTGCCAGATTTAACTAATGAAAATACAGGATGCCCAGTTAAATTTGAATTTCTGGCACACAATAATTTTTATAAAATATGTCCAGTGCAATATTTAGAACCTATTTATACTAAAAACAATTGTTCATCTGAAAGTCGAGAAACTGCCACTAAGCAGGTCAGTGTGCCTTCCAAAAAAGAAAGGACAAAGTTATTCCTATCTTCTTTGTGATCCAAGACTTACTCTTCTTTATATCTCCAGGGAATACACATTCATGAGTATAATTTTATTGATATTAAAAGGAGAAAGAGAATAAAAATACCAAGACTGCCTAGAGCTGCTATCTTACCATATAACCATAAGGGTGTTCTTTGGAATCAGGGTCGATTACATCTTAATCAGGAATTCTTTAGAAGAAGAAGAAAAAAAAAAAGTCCATTCATTTCAGCTTTTGAAAAGAGAAATTTATGACAAAGATACAGGAAGTCTCATGAGACCACTTCTAGGATATGCATCTGATCTGATACCCAAGGGAACTGGAGAGTCATCAGTTTCTCTCCCTCTCCCTCTTTCTCTTCTCTTCCTCTCTCCCTGCTTCCTTCTCTCTCTCACTCTCTCATTCTCTTTGCTTCTCTCTGGATCTGCACCATTTTTGGCTAGCCCTTAGTTTCTGCTCCCTTAAATTCAGCTTGTATATGGTTTTGAATTGTCATGGCCCAACCCCTGTGTGACCTTAAAGCTCCAATGCCCAACAGCATCTGACCAACCATACTCTGTTTCCTTAGTAAAATGTTCGAGGAAAAGAATCCGAGTGGTTGCTACCTCTAGTAATAAAGGCAAAGCAGGAGTAAGGGTGGTCAGTATACCAATAGCAAATCTCCTAGGGTGGGACCACTCATCCTGGTTGCCAGCCCCAGGGGGACATGCTTTACCTCATAGAGTCCAGCACCCATGGACACACACACACATACACATACACACACACACACACACACACACACACACACAGAGAGAGATAGAGAGAGAGAGAGAGAGAGGTCAAACCTGGCACAGGAAGGATGTGAGATGGGGAAGCCTGCTAGCCACTCCTCCTGCCAGCCTCCAGCCAATTACACTGCTGCTCAGTTGCCCCAAAGCCCTTCTCATTCTTGATACCCTTCTCTTCAGAGCATGGAATGCCCGTGGCTGCCCCACATCCGCATGTCTCTTGACTATGGATTTTTCCTTCCATCTAATCTCATCTGCCTTCTCAGTTTTTAGGAATTCCTCAAAACTGTCTTGCCCATGAAGGGCACTCAGTACTGTTGCTAAAATATATGTAATCTATTATTTTCAGATGCCAGGGAAAGAACGGGTGGAGATACCAAAGTATGTCATCAGTCTACCATCTCAGTCCCTCTTGGCTTTTCTTAGGTAGAGGCTTTTGTTGCCCTTCTGAAATTATGGACTCCTTGAGAATAAAATTCACATCTAATTCATGGTTCTTTCTCCCACAGTGCTTACCACAGCACTTTGCATATAGCTGGTTCTTAATAGTTATTGAATGAGTATATGAGTGAAAATGTGACCAAATAAATGAACAAATAAGGAATGTCTAAATTAAAGAGTGAAGAAATAAATTGATAAAATTAATAATTACAAAGTACCGTAAGATGCCTGAAAGCTGTTAAGTGTTTTATACAGTCAAAAAATAGCATTTCCCTTGAAATTGTGTTTATGTGATTAATTTGCCCTCCCTGTAAGAGAAGGAAATGCATTCCAGTCCCTTTCTTTTTAACACAATATCTAAATGAGCAGAGCCCTAATTAATGAGGTTTTCTGAAAGCTTCATTTTTATCTGACTTGAGGAGCTGCAATATAGATTTTTCCTTCAGAAGTAATTCTTCCTCCCTTCTTTGTGGTTATATTAGCATTCCAGAGGAAACACTGGTTTCCTTAACATTTGTCATGATTTGCATAAGTAAAGCCTTCAATACCAAATGAAAATAAGATGTGTGTTTGAATGACATTTATAAAGTTTCATAAAAGTAATGACTTCATTTCTTACCTATAAAATCAAAATTTTTTCCTTGGCATCAGTTCTATGCAGGTATTCCTGAAAGGTTTCACTTAAAATGTTGCAATGAGGCAGCAGGATCATTTCTTATCCAAAATGCAATATTTCTATCACACGTATTTTTGTTTTAAAAAGTGAAATAACACCTTTTATATTTTATTTGCATAGTCTAGGACTTGATTTTTAAGAGATTTATTTGGTGTGTAATACATGCAGCAAGAAAATTAACTTTAATGATTTTGAAAGGTCCCATTTGAAGGTCATTTTTATGTCAGATGGGGTATATTCATTATCACTAATCATCCCAACCACTGGGAAAGGAGGAAGTGATTGCTTCCATTTTACAGATAAGAAAAATGAGGCTGTAAGAAGCAAAGTGTCTTCCATTTTACAGATAAGAAAAATGAGGCCTCATAGAAGGATGAGTTGAGTGGACACCTTGGTCTGTATCCAAGCCCACAGTCCTTTGTTCCCCTGCACCATGCTCAAATGGAACTAAGTCTGGAACAGGGTAGGCTCAGCCCTGGGGACATAGTACTTTACTCTGGGAGAATGATGTCAAAGCCAACAGCAGGGAGAGCTGAACTTTTATTTTTTGAAAGTCAAGATTACGCATTGAAAAGAGCATTGTATTTGGTCTTGTGTACCTGGATTCAAGTCCCAACTCCACTAGGCTCAGGTCCATGAGGATAGGTGTTGGTCTTACACACCCTTCTGTGCCCATGGTCCCTAGCTGAAAGCTTCTAACATCAAAGAGCCTAATTAATATTTTTGAAGGGTAGAGAAATGTGTTTTTAGGTAAGTCATGTACGTGTTGACCTCAGTTTCTTCCCCTGCTCTTCCTCTGGTCCTCAATATATCTGTTGACCATCATACCCATTTCTGAAAACAGTCTCCTTACTTTGACTCACTGTCTCCCTCTGACTTTATATCTCAGCTGACTTCCATGAAAGCTTCCCATGACAAATCTAACTGCCTATCTGTGTATTAGTTTCCTATTGTTGTTGTAACAAATTAGTAGTTTAAATAATACAAATTATTTATTTCCTTACAATTCTGAAGAAGTCCAAATGGGTCTCACTGGGTAAAATCTGTGTCAGCCATATTGCATTCCTTCTGAAGGGCCTGAGGGAGAATACATTTCCTTGCTTTTTCCAGCTTCTAGAAGCCACCCGCATTCCTTGCCTCATGCCCCTTCCTGAATCTTCAAAGCCAGCAACATTGGGCTGAGTTTTCACACTAGCATCTCTCTGGTTCTGTTCCACCTCCATCTTCCACCTTGAAGGTCCCTTGTGACTGCTTTGAGCCCACCTGATAATTCAGGCTAGTCTCCCTACCTGAAGACCAGCTGGGCCAGGTGCAGTGGCTCACACCTGTAATCCCACCACTTTGGGAGGCTGAGGGAGGAGAATCTCTTGAAGCCAGGAGTTTGAGACCAGACTGGGCAACATGGCAAAATCCTGTCTCTACTAAAAATTAAAAAAAAGTCAGCTGGGTGTGGTGGTGTGCGCTTGTCATCCCAGCTACTTGGGAGGCTGAGGCACGAGACTCGCTTAAGTCTGGGAGGCAGAGGTTGCAGTGGGCCAAGATCAAGCCACTGCACTCCAGCCTGGGTGACAGAGTGAGACTCCATGTCAAAAAAATAAAAAAAGACCAGCTGACTAGCAACCTTAATTCCCCTTTGCTATGTGTGTAACCTAACATATTCAAAGGTTCTGGGATTGGGACATGGACATCTCTGGGGTCCATTATTCTGTCTACCACAATCTGTAAAGTGGATGTCCTAGGTTACATCAGACTTGGAGGTAAAAATTCAAGCCCAACAATAGTTACAAATTGGTAATTTTCTGGGTCTTTCCCTGTTAGCTCTTCAGGAAATGCAGCAACCCCTGTCCCCAACCATCCTCTCAAAGCCCTTCTCAGTCTGCACTGAGAGTCATCCTCGGTGTCTGATGGGGCTGAGGAAGTAGTCCTGCCAGCTGCCCTGAGTCTCTGCAGTGCTGCTGTCTTCCTATTCGGCCTGTGCTCCTGCTGAAACCCCAGCCACACAGCAGGACTGCCTGGCCATCATGAAATTCCCTTCCTGATTTTTCCTCTTCCTGCTGCAGACTCTCAGGCTGAGCCACACACCTTCAAAGATTAGGGTTGGAGCCACACACTTTCAAAGGTTAGGGTTGGAGGTCATTCAATCTGAATGACCACCACTATTTCACACTCAAAATAACTACCCCAAGCCTACCCCACAGCCACCCACACACTCACAGTGACTCCGTGCCCTAAAATGAAACCAAGATGGTTTGCATTCTTTATCTCCTTAGGATTTATTCTTTTCTAAAGAGCTCGTGACCTTTCATGTAAGCAGAACCCTGTTGGTCCTTCCTTTGCTTGCCCTGTAGATAGGCTTGAATCCTGGAACAAGTATAATTTCGGATCATGCTGGACCTGATTTCTTTTTAACCTCATGTACAGAGGTCTGAATTAATTATACACCTCAGTCATGGTCCATCATTAGCACTGATCTATACAAAGCCCTATTCTTATTTATATATTCCCTTTTGTGACATCCATTCTAATATGTTTTATGTGTATCTTTTTGTTTTTATGTGTTCTTCCATGATTTGCATTGTTGTTTTCAATGTGTTATTAATTTACACAATTAGCATTGTGTTACATATCTTACTTTGTTTCTTACCTTTTTTTCTTAAATGCTGTGTTTTTATGATCCATCTATGTTGTTATGGGCATTTTGTCTTTTACTCCTGATAACACCTGATCTTTCAGAATGTGCATTTGTTCACCACATGTTACCTGTCTATTTCAGGCAGGATGGACACCCAGGTGACCTCCAATAATACTGCAGTGAACAGCCTTATATATGTCACCTTATGGACACCATAGGTGTGTAAGCGTTCTCTGGGTTATTGATTAGTTTGCTAAGGCTTCCATAAGAAAATGCCACAGACTGGGTGGCTTAAACAGAAATTAGTTTTTGCACAGTTCTTGAGGCTGGAAGTCTGCAATCAAAATGTTGGCAGGGTTGGTTTCTCCTGAGACCTCTCTCCTTGGTTTACAGATGGTCACCTTCTCACTGTCTCCTCACATAGTCCTTCCTTTGTGCACATGCATTGTGATACCTCTCTGTGTTTAAATTTCCTCTTCTTATAAAGACACCGGTTAGGTTGGATTAGGGTCCTCATTTTAATTAAATCACCTCTTCAAAGGCCCTATCTCCAAATATAATCACACTCTAAGTACTGGGGGTTAGGGCTTTGACATATAAATTTGGGGTCAGGTGCAATTCGCCCCATATTAGATACATATGAGTGAAATTTCTAGGCCATTGACATGTGGGTACTTAATTTGACCACATCCATGTACACTTCCATAAGGAATAGATTAGAGCCACTATACCCTAAGCCCCACCTACATTTAGCAAGATCCAGTTTTCTATTATTTTGCTAGCCCAATAGGCATAAAATGATATGTCCTTATTATTTTAAATTTCATTTTATATTTTTGTTAGTTTTCAGGATTTCTTCTTCTGTAAAGAACCTGTTGATATCCTTCGCCCATTTTTCTATTGCATTTTTCTTTTTCTAGGTGATTTGCAGGATGTCCTTATATATTCTAGGTAATGGTTTTAGACATTGGTATTATCTTCTCTTCTGACATTTGCCTATCAGCTTTGTTCATAGTGTACTTCATAAAATAGCAGAAATACTTAATTTTGATATAATCAAAATCATCAATTATTTTTTCTTTATAGCTTAACCTTTTGAAGTTTTATTTAAAAAGTCTTTTCTTAGGATTAGATCACAAAGATAACCTTCTATATATTCTTTTATTAAATTTACAGTTTCACCTTTCAAATTTAGCTCTTTAATCCATCCAGACTCTGCCTTTGTATGTATCAAATGTATGTATGTACTCTGCCTATGTAGTCCTAGGTAGGGATGTTCTTTTTCACCATGTAGTGAACCAGTTTTCCCAATACCATCTACCAAGAAATATCTATTATTCATATTTATACAATGGAAATGCCACTTTTGGTTTTTTTGTTTATTTGTTTGTTTATTTTTTGTTTTGTTTTGAGACGGAGTCTCGCTCTGTCGCCCAGGCTGGAGTGCAGTGGCGCGATCTCGGCTCACTGCAAGCTCCGCCTCCTGGGTTCACGCCATTCTCCTGCCTCAGCCTCCCTAGTAGCTGGGACTACAGGCGCCCGCCACCACGCCCGGCTAAATTTTTGTATTTTTAGTAGACACGGGATTTCACCGTGTTAGCCAGTATGGTCTCTATCTCCTGACCTCGTGATCTGCCGGCCTCAGCCTCCCAAAGTGCTGGGATTACAGGCATGAGCCACCGCGCCTGGCCAGAAATGCCACTTTTATATTCAGTTTCCATATATTTAGGGGTATGTCTCTGAGGACTCTATTACATGCCATGGGTCTATATTTCTGCTCTTATATCAATACCATACTTGTTTTATTATTTTTGAACCTCAGCTTTCTGCCATGTCTTTATGAACTGCTACGGTAAGTATGCCCATTATCCTTCTTTCTTTTTCAGAAATTATTTAGCTAATCATAGAAATTTATTTCTTCATATACATTTTGGAGTAACTTGAATTCTTAGAAAACATTCAGATAGAATTTATTCAGAAGGCATTGTGTTTCTAAATTAATTTGGAAACAAATGGTATTTTTGTAATATGTTTGAACATTTACTCAAACCATAGTCTATGTTCTTTACTGGGGTGTTTAAGTTTTCCTACATAGGTGCACATATTCCTGGTTAAACTAGATCATTTAGAGATCTAACGTACAGCATGAGGGCTACAGTTAATAATATTGTATTGATAGAAAATTTGTTAAGATTTTAGGTGTTCTTTTCACACACACAAAAAAAGATAACTGTGAGATGGTGGGTATGCTAATTTGCCTGCCTGTAGTAATTATTTTACTTTGTATACATATGTCAAAACATCATGTTGCATACCATAAATAAATAAACCAAATAGTTTACAGACTGTTGATATTATGAAAGTTATTTTATTATATTTTCTAATAGATTACTGGTTTAGAATAAAGACTATTTCTGTTTGTAGGGTAATCTTGATTCCAGCAATGTCAGAAACTCTCCTTACTATTCTGAGACCCAATCTGCTATTTCTGCTTGTTTTCCCAGGCATATGATCCTATCTCCTATAAAGAATGATGGTTTTATCTGTTTACTTACAATTCTCACAATTCTATTTCTTTTTTCTTTCCTTATGGCTTTGGCCAGAACCTTGAGTCATACATAAAATTGTGGCAGTGTTAGTAGATATCCTTGTCTTATTCCTGATATTAACGTTTCTCCATTGAGTTATTTTTTATTTAGTTTTTATGGTATATAATCCTTATTAAGTTAAGGAAAATTACTTCTAGGTTTCTGAGAAATAGGTACTTATTAAATTTTTTGCATTATTTGAGGTAATTACATGATTTTTCTCCTTCAGGCCATTATTAATGAAGTGAATTACATTGACTGATTTTTCTGATACTAAATTCCACTTCCATTCATGGAATAAATCCTGTGTGTTCATGATGTATTACTTTTTAATACAGTTTACTTCAGTTAGCTCGTATTTTATTTTGGTTTATTGCATCTATAATTATAAGGGAATTGGGCTCAATTTTTTGCTTATATTGTTTTTATCTGGTTCTGGAATCAATATTTCACAACCTTCATAAAAAGAGCTGGGAAACTTTTTGCTCTTCTATTTTCTAGAATAACTCTTAAGAGTTTGGTAGAATTCATCTGGAAAGCAATATGAGCCTGGGGCATTTGGGGCAGGGAAGAGATGTCAACTATCATTTCAATTTCTTTAATATTCCAAGTTTTGTTTTTCTGTTTCTTCTGTCCTTCTTTCTACCTGATTCCCTTTTTTCATAGACACACCTCAATCCTCACTGCTCCATTCACATATCACATACAGTCTTTATCTTTGAAGATTCTGACTATATTTTAAAGCAAAAACTCAATCTCCTATTTATGAGTTAATTCCTAACACCTCGTAACACCGTTCCATCTTCCTCATGCCCTCTGATAACTCTGTGTGTATCTTGGACATTATTTATACTACTTTTATCAGGGTTATCTCTATGCATTATTTCCATTTCTACTCAGCAATGGATAATCTAATATCATGTATATAATATGACCTTTGCCTTGCATGCAGCCCTGTCTTCTCTAAAACCAAAAATTTTGTAAAAGTAGAGAGCATAATGCTAATAAGGGTCTGGCTTCTTTGTTTTTGCCCTTTCCCTTTATATACAAATATAGAAGGTTAAAAGCTTTGTACATAGAGACTTTGTGCCCTGTATAAACATTCCTCTTCACCATACAAACCCCACCCCCATTCTATCTCAAGTCCTCATTCACCTCAGCAGAGCCCATTGATCCAGTGGACTGTCTTTCATCCCTGGGTCTCGACCTCACTCCATAAATATTTATTTGGGGGGAAGGAATGGGAATGCTGCCAGACCACAGTAGTGAAGAAACCCAGTATCTTCAAGGTAAGGCATGGAGGGCAACATCTAAGCTAACTTGGTGAGATTTCTAGGAGGGTTCTTCTTACCCCTCGTGCCCAGTACAGTCTTTCTTTTTCAGGTAGCACTGGCCATTCACTGTAATTAAAGATAGTATGAAGTGTTTCTGCTAGCATCAAAGGAAAACAACTGGCAGATTTACAAATTATATTATATTATAGTTCTATTCACTGTTCATATACTTCTCTAAGAATCTTCTCTTTTCCATAACTAGTGTTGGGACCACAGAGATGAAAGACTATCATTTCCCCCACACCCCAATCAAGGTGCTCATGGTCTGGTAAGAAAGTCAAATGCATTAGCTGAAACTTAACAACTGATAAAAGCTGTGACAGAACCAAGTTCTAATGGCTGAGGAAGGATACAGAGGATCCTCTATGGTGAAGCTCACCTGCGGTCCAGCCCCATCACTGTCATCAGCACTTAGTCACATGAGCTACCCTAAAGGGAAGTAGGATCTGGCCTATGGAATCACAATCCCAGGACACTATAGCTGTGGGGCTTTGGGAAACCTTCCTGGTCCTTCTGAGCCTCAGCTTCTTCATCTATAAAGTGGCACCAACAGCCACTGTGGTGGTCGTGAGGAGTTAATGAAATGATGTGTGTAGTGTCTGACATGCAGAAGGGCCCAGGCTACTGGGAGCTGTTGTCTATTGGGTGTCATGACTCTTCGCTTCTGATTGCAGGTGGTAACACCAGATGGACATGGGAAGAACCGAGCTAAGTGGGGCCTGCTGAAGAATATCCAGTCTGCCCTCCAGAAGCACTTCTGAGCCCCTTCAGAGCAGGAAACAACCTCAGACTCATCACAAAGTAGACATATACACACACATATATGTATGTATATTTTTCTCACCACATTCTTCAAGGAGGTTGTAGACAAATGTTTCCATGACCTCTCAGCTTTCCAACAGGAATCTTGTAAGAGCTAATAAAAGGAAATACCTGACATGGCTTGCTGTTTGTTCAATGACAACTATTTGTTATGATGACAGTAATAAGCAAGGCACTCAGCAAGTCTGTATATTTCCAGCTGCTCAGGTCTAGTCCTAGGCTCAGAATTCTGTGGTGTTTTGTAGGAGCAACACCCAGCTTCTAGGTGGTAAAAAGAACACTGTATTTTGCAGTCGGGACCCCGTAGGTGTGCATTCTAATGCTGGCCTAACTAGCTTTGAATGCTTGGGCAAGTCGCTGATTGCCACGGAATTCATTACCTCACCATGTAGTCTATTTTAAGGAGCCAACATTAAAATGTTTTTCCTAATTATTGAACTTGAATTTGCCTTTTCACAACTTTCAGCCCATGGTCTGAGGTCTACCTCTAAGCCATAAAGAATGAGAGCCCTCCCTCTTCTCCTTCTGGACATAGCAAAGGAAGAACGGTAGAATGCCTGGTTAGAGGATCCTCTATGGTCATTTGAAGCAAGGCATGGAAGAATGACAAAATCATGTATCAGCTCCAACCTCACTGAACTTAGCTTGGCCTTTCAGACAATATGAAGTCCCTAGAATTTCTTGTCATACAAGGCCCTATCTGCCAGAAATGACCCTCTACTGAACCCCACGCCATTTCTTCCCAGAAAGCACCACCTGTCTTTCAAGACTCAGCTCAACCACTTTCCCCAGTGATCCTCCAAATTATGATGACAACATCTTTCTCCCCTGCATCCCCACTAAGCACAGGGACCACCTGTCCCACCCCTATTTCCCATAAAGACACCCATTCCAGCCCTGTGATACTTAGGACTCATTTGTCCTGAGTCTTAGAGCAGAGATGGTGTCTCATTCATCTTCTATCCTCAGTGCTTGGGACAGTGAGGCACACATTACATGTTAGTACCAGGAGGGACACACCACAGCTGAAAGGCAGACACATAGAATGACTCTCCTCTGAACATCCCCAGGTGCCAGTTTGCACAATGAAGGTTTACACACATAACTGGGACTGTCCATGAAAAGGACCAGGCAGTAACTGGTCTCCATTTCCTCTAATCCCAACCTTTTCATGAGCTGTGCAACTGGCAGATGTGGCCAGCCCATCTAGCTTCACCAGTAGGACTTCAGCTCTGCAACCCTTTATTTTTCATCACTGCCAGAAAAGGGCCATTCCACAAAGAGATCCATAGTGAGGATCTTCTGATAATGTGAGAAAATGAAGCTAAGCAGATTCCTGCTCCACCCCCAAGCAGTATTACAAGAAGGCATACCCCAGGGAGCTTCATTATGATCCTATTACTGTAAATGATGGCTGGAATCCACCATCAGATTTGGTATTACCATATAATCATTTCTATAAAAGTCTTCGAAATCATTATTAGCACAGAGAACGAATTAAATGACACGCCAGCAGGGATTTTACTACTAACGAACTAAAATGAAATTAAACTAAAAAAAATAGAACTCTATGAATATTACATTGCAATGATCACACCAACTCATGGTGCCAACAAGGACTAGGCTAGAATTAAATAAACCACAGCACCCTGATCTTGTCTCTCTAGAAAACATCTAAACTTGCATTCAGTGACCAAGACAGCTAGCTAGATTCTTTGAGAAGCCCACTTAACCAGTAGCTGACCCATTCTACCAAATGCAATGTGGATTTCTTAATGGCACAGAAACTGCACATTATTTGGTCCCTGAGGTTATGATTTACATAGCTTCCCTCCTCCCAGGCCCATGTCTGAGGTGCAATATATAATGTGTGCGTGTGTGTGTGTGTGTGTGTGTCAAATATAATCAAGAGATTTGTAAGTATATGTTTATTAAAAATTCCACTATGTTAAGCATATTCTCTCTGTATACAGCTACATATTTCAACATCCCTAACAGCCTTTCTTTAGAGAAGTGTCTATGGCCCTAATTAGAGATAATTAGTGGCAGTGTCTACTTGAGAACATCTTGCAGCCTGTTAGAACAGTTGCTAGCTAAATTTGTATTAGTTTTTCTTGCCCCCCTTTTCTTTTTTTTTTTTTTTGATAACCATTCTAGATTCATTCTTTCTGTTAACACATCTGTAATGAGACCAGGGGACTGTGGGGACACAGTGGAGAATTACAGAGAAAACAGTCCCCACACCATGGACGTTATAGTCTAATGAGTAAGATAAAATAAATGAAGATATAAGCATGTAGATGACTGGAAATGAGAAGTGCTAGGAAGGAAAGAGGCATGGAGCTAAGAGGTACCAACCCTAAAGAGGATGCCAGTGAAAGTCTTCTCAAAGAGATGAATTACAAGCTGCTTCCTCAAGAATGAGCAGGAGCCAGCCATGTACGAGTGGAGGAGAAAAGCATTCTGGACAGAGGGGCAATAGGTACCACAGCCCTGGGGCAGGAAAAGGCTTGGCATGTTCAGGTAACGAACACAGCTAGAGGCTGGAGTTCAGGGAATAAGGAGGGGAGAAAAACAGGTAAATGGCCTTGGCAGGACTTGTGGGCCATCACAGAGAGTAAGTGTCTCAGGAAGCTGGTGAAGGATGTGAAGCAAAATTACTTCACACTTGTATTTCCAGTTTAGTAGCATTACTTTCAGTTCCATGTGAAAATGAGTTGTGGAGGGCCAAAGGAAAAGGCAGGAAGACTGTTAATAAATTGATGGTCACCTGGGCTGGGAGGTGGGCTCCAGGAGTCAGTAGCCCTTTCTTACCAATGGGGTGCATGGGAGAGAGCAATGCCTATGAAGGATGAGGCCTGTGACTCTGGATTAAGCACTGGGTGATGGTGGATCCAGACAGTATAGAATGACAAGTTTCTGGAAAATATCAGAGTTCTGCCTTGGGTGAGTGACGTGTGAGCTGCCTGAGGAGCAGCCAAGCAGAATCAAACAGCAGCAGCTGGGTATTGTAACAGTTCAACTGAGTCAGGAAAACAGAGACCACACCAGTTATTTTAAACAGAGAGAACTGAAGATGGGGACTTGGTTAAACAGGTATTATAGGACTTTGAATAGAAAAGGGACACTGGGATAACACAGAGATGGGAACTGCAGGGAGCTGCTATCACCCCTTGGGCTGGGCTGGTGGAATGAAAGAAACAGTCTCTTAGCTGGGATCCACATCTCTGAGGAGGGATCACTGCCTGGTTGTTGCGAGTGTATCTAAGGGACTTTCATGAGGCTGGTTCTAGGGGTGTGGGAAAAAGTTGGAAACTGACAGCAACTGCCATACTGCCACTGCCCAGGAGAGACCATTGCAGTGATGGTGTCCAGAATAGTGAAAAAACAGAAAGAAGCTCTTTCCTTCTCCCCCTTCCAAGCTTGCAGTCTTCCTGTATTCCTCTTGTGTCCCCTCATTGCAGAGCCTAGTGGAGCTAACTGGCCAAGGAAAAAATGTCATCTGCAAGAGCCCAAGCCCCAGCATTGCAGACTAAGTCCAAAAATGTTTCAGAGTTAAGAGGAAACAGCTTCATAATTAGCACAATTATGCAAGGCTGGAGCCCAAAGGATAAGCCTGGGATGGGGACACAAACTCAGAAATTATCAATGGATGTACTCTGATTTTCTAGAGTACTCAAGACATTGAGTGTCCTGACCTTAGCTAGGGTCTGCAGGGTAAACCGAAAAGGCACAAAGCTAGTTCTTGTCTTCAGGTTGCTTTCCATATTAGTCCAGTTTGCCTTGCTGTAAAGAAGTACCTGAGGCTGGATAATTTATAAAGAGAAGAAGTTTATTTGGCTCACAGTTCTGTAGGTTGTACATGAAGTACAGTGCTGGCATCTGCACAGGTGAGGGCCTCAGGAATTTTACAGTCATGGCAGAAGGCCATGGCAAGAGAGGGAGCAAGAGAGAGAGAGAAAGAGAGAGAGAGGCAAAGGTGCCAGGTGCATTTAAACAACAGGAGCTCACATGAACTGTAGGGGGGCACCAAGCCATTCATGAGGGATCCACCCCCATAACTCAAACATCTACCAGGCCCCACTTTCAACAGAGGTGATTACATTTCAACATGAGATTTGGAGGGGACAAACATCCAAACTATATATCATTCTGCCTTTTGCCCCCTCCCCCTGCTGCAAATCTCATTTCCTTCTTACATTGCAAAATACAACCATCCCTTCATAATAGTCCCTCAAAGTCTTAACTCATTCCAGCATTAACTCAAAAATCCAAAGTCTCATTTGAGACTCTAGGTAAGCTCCTTCTACCAATGAGACTGTAAAATCAAAAACAAGTTTATTTACTTCCAAGATACAATGGTGGTATAGGCATTTGGTAAATATTCCTGTTCCAAAAAAGAGAAATAAGCCAAAAGAAAGGGGCTACAGGCTCCATACAAGTCCAAAACCCAGCAAGGCAGACATTATACCCTGAAGCTCTAAAATAATCCCCTTTGACACCATGTTTCACATCCAGGGCACAGTGGTGCAAGGAGTGGGTCTCCAAGGCCTGGGGCACCTCTGCCCTTGTGGCTTTGCAGGGTGCAAACCCCATGACTGCTCTCATGAGTTATAGTTGAGTGCCTGTGATTTTTTTCCAACTGAGGGTGCAAGCTGCCAGAGGCTCTACCATTCTCAGGTCTCAGGGGTGTTGGCCTCATTTATACAGCTCCACTAGGCAACACCCCAGTAGGGATTCTGTGTGAGGACTCCAACCCCACATTTCTCCTTTGCACTGACCTAGTAGAGTCTCTCTGTGAGGGCTCCACCCCTGTGGCTGGCTTCTGCCACCTCCTTCTTTTCAATACATCCTCTGAAATCCAGGTGGAAGCTGCCAAGCTTCCTTCACTCTTGCATTCTACATGCCTGCAGATTTAGCACCATGTGGAAGCCACCAAGGCTTACAGCATGTACTTTCCAAAGCAGCAGTCTGTACCTAGGGCCTTTTGAGCCATAGCTGGAGCTGGAGCAGCCAGAATGTGGGGAGCAGTGTCCTGAGTCTGAGTAGGCCAGCAGCACCCTGTGCCTGGCCCCTGCAACCATTCTTTCCTCCTAGGCCCTTGGGCCTGTGATGGGAGGGGAGGCCTGGAATATTTCTGAAATGCCTTTGAGGCCTTTTTTCCATTATCTTGGATATTAGCACTTGGCTCCCTTTTATTCATGCTAAGTGAGCTAGCAAGTGGTTGCTCCACAGCCTACTTATATTCCCCTCCTGAAAACACTCTTTCCTTCTCTATTACATGGCCAGGCTGCAAATTTTCCAAACTGTTATACTCTGCTTCCTTTTTTATTATAAGTTTCAATTTTAAGTCATTCCTTTACCCCCATATCTGATCATAGGTTGTTAGAGGCAGCCATGTCAACTCCAACTCTTGAATGCTTTGCTGCTTAGAAATTTCTTCTATGACATATCCTAGGTCATCATTCTTACATTCCAACTTCCACAAGTCCCTAGGGCATGGACACAATGCAGCCAAGTTCTTTGCTAAGGCATAACAAGAGTGGCCTTTGCTCTACTTCCCAATAAATTCTTCATTTCCATCTGAAACCTCATCAGACTGGCCTTCACTGTGCATATTTCTATCAGCATTTTGGTCACAACAACTTAACAAGTCTGTAAGAAATTCCAAACTTTCCCTTGTCCTCTTGCCTTCTTTTGAGCCCTTTAAACTCTTCCAACCTCTGTCCATTACCCAGATTCAAAGCCACTTTCACATCCTCAGTTATCTTTGTAGTAATGCCCCACTTCTCAGTACTAATGTTTTATATTAGTCTATTTTGCATTGCTATAAAGAAGTACCTGAAGCTGGGTAATTGATTAAAAAAAGAAGTTTATTTGGCTCATGGTTCTGCAAGTTGTACATGAAGTATAGTGCTGGTATCTGCACTGGTGAGGACTTCAGGAATCTTCCAATCATGGCAGAAAGTAAAGAGGAACCAGCATGTCACATGGCAAGAGAAGGAGCAAGAGAGGCAGAGGTTCCAGGCTTTTTTAAACAACCAAATCTCATATGAACTAATTACCATGGTGGCAGGGGTGGGGGCAATGTTGGGGGTGGGGGGTACCAAGCTATTCGTGAGAAGTCTGCTCCCGTGATCTAAACACCTCCCACCAGGCCTCATCTCCAACACTGGAGATTACATTTCAACATGCAATTCAGAGGGGACAAACATCCAAACTACATCACTTTCTAACCATAAGAAAACCCCGAGGACAACTAAAAAGCAATTAGGCAGTTCAATATGTGGTTTTGCCTCTGCAGCAATGTGTCTCAAACCCAGATGAGCATCAGAATCACCTATGAAGCTTTTAAAAATGTGGATTCCCGGGTCCCACACCAGACCCCATGATCAGATTCTGCAGGGTAGGGCACTGGACATCTGTATTTTCCAAAAGTCTCTGGGCAATTCTGGTTAACAGCCCTTTCCCAACCCAACAAGCATTGGGAAGCACTACCTGGTGGCCTGAATTGTTGGAAGATGGTTTTTAGCTGTAGGGCCAGAGTTAGGTTTTGAAGACTGGCAGAAATTGGATGAGGTGAGAGCCAGAAGAAAGACTGCAATGAAGAGAGGATATCATGCAAAAGAGCAGAGACGAAGCAATGAAGGGGGACATGAACACCCAGAAAATGCTCATTTATTTCCATTATTAAACTTTCAGAGTTTACTATGTGCCATATCTCCCTTTTCTTGTTTTGAGAATGCCATGGTTTGAATGTGTCCCCCAAATGGCATATGTTGGAAACTTAATCCTCAATGCAACAGTATTGAGAAGTGGGGATCTTTTGGAGGTGATTATCCATGAGGACTCTGCCCTTATGAGTGAATTGATGTTGTCATTATGGGAGTGGGTTCCTTACAAAAGGACAAGTTTAGGTGTCCCCCACCCCCTACCCCATGCTCTCTCTCACTCTCTCTCACCCTTTCTTTGCCCTTCTGCCATGTGATGCCTTCCGTCATGTTATGATGTAGCAAGAAAGCCCTCAACAGATGCCAGCCCCTGGATCTTGGACTTCCTAACTTCTAGAACTGTGAATCAATAAATTTCTGTTCATTATAAATTACCTAGTCTGTGGCATTCTGTTAAAGCAGCACAAAATGGACTAAGACAGAAAGGTAATGAGAAACATGGCTTGTGGGGAAACGTTGATGTCATTTAAACTGTAGATATCATTTCCACATTGCCCAACTCCAAAACAAATAAATAAATCCCAGATTCCACTCTATGTATGTCTAATTAATAATGTAATAAGTGCCTGAATTTAATATGGGAGCAGTAGGAGAAAAGCACGAAGAACTTCAGCGACAAGGCAGGGAATATACACAGGGAAAAAAAGATAACCTGAGTCCCAAGGTGGTGGGAGCACTGCTGCCTCTGAGCCTCCCCGCTTCTGTCCATAGCCATGTCTTCCTTGGAAAAGTATTACCAGCACACAACTCCCCTTCCCCAGTGGGGAACACACATTCAGGCTCACACAAGCACATATGCATGCATGCAGAAACATACACAGACACACACTCATATATACACAAACACACACACATACACACACATCTGCAGCCACTGCTTCTGAACCACATCATCCATTCTGAGGTCAGTGAGAACTTATGAAACAATGCAGACCTACCTTGAGACTTAAAGGACTAGAAGATCTAGGAGGTATGTTTCTAAGAGAACACTTTGATATCTGTAGCAAGAGAGAGGATGAGGAGGAAGGAAGGGCTGGCATAATGAAGAGAGTGAAGTGAGGCATTTTCCTGTTACCCTGGTTTTCAAATGATCTGTCAGGCCATTTTCATTTGAAATCAAGGAGTTTCTCTGCCAGAAAATGACCAGAAAAATCAGGTTGTGTAGAAGTTCCCAGAAAAGCTAGTACATTCCAAGGCAAATAATTGACTAAATCTAGGAAAACATGCAATTTGGAGAAAAGCCCAAGGGGCACATGTTGTTGCAAACCTGAACCGGGCCCAGAAGCTTGAATTGTTTATACCAAGTTGTAGAAGTTAGCAAAATAGGGTCAAAAACTAGTTCTTCAGATGCTGTGAATTTGTGCATGACTTCATTTCCAGTCCTTCAATTCCACGAGGAGCTATCTAATTTCTAAATTTTCTTTCAGGAAAAAATCATTTAGTTCAGAAATAATGCTTTCTATATAAAACAGTGGCTGTTTCAAGGTTTATTTCTTTTATATTTTTTCTTCCAAGAAAACCATAATAATAATAAAAAGTCTTTCATCTTAAAGCCAGACATGGGAAGTTTCTCTCTGAGCACCAAAGCAGATAGCAAATTCACTCAATACAAATTGACTGAATGCTACATCGGCCTGACCCTGGGCATGAGGGGCAAATAAAGTTCCATGGGCTAACACACATGAAATGGCAGGAAAAAAGTCCAGTCTCACCCCATGTTGGCTTCAGTATCCAGGCCAAGTTTATGGAAGAAGTGGAACATCCCAGACATCACGAAAATGTAAGGGAATTAGAGCAGCAGAGAAAGAAACGTAGGCATGCCAGGTAGGGGAACAGCATGAAGAAAGGTAGAGGGGCTGGACTAGTATGTTAGATGGATGAATGACAAGCCTGGAGAGGGATCTGTAGCCAGATTGTAGAGGCCATTGAAAAACAGAATGCAAGTTTATCCTGTGGCTAATGAGAAGCGTATACAGGTGGTTGAGTTGGAAATTAATAATAATAATAATAATAAGAGTAATAGCAAACACTTGTAATTATATTCTAGTAACTATACCAAGTGTTTTACATATATTGGCTCATTTAGTTCTCACAACAACCCTATTATTATTAATAACACTATTATTATCTCCATTTTGCTGACTTGGAAACTGAGGCACAGAGATGTTAAGTAACTTTCCCAAGGTCACACAGCTTGTAAGTGGCACAGAGAGATTGAGATGGATCCCATCCCTTGCTCTGGAGGCTGTGATGCATGAGGGCTCCACCCTGCTTTCACACTATGCCCTGTCTCACAGAGAACTGGTCTTGAAGAATGATGCTGAAAGGCAGGAGAAACTCAGGTGAGAGGTAGAAGGGACCTGGCTTTGTTCCTGGGTCTGTATCAGTATCCACCCTGGCCTCTCAAATCCTCCTTCATGACTTAAGCTGGCTAGAGTAGGGGTTCTGCCATATACAAAATGCTTTCCCTCCACCCTTTACTATTATCAGATTGGGACTTCTGAGCTGGAAAACTGTGCCTTCCTCAGCAGCACTTTAGCAAGTGCTTACTAAGTGCCAAGGCACTGTGCTAATGCTGGAGCCACTGAGATGAGGGAGACAAAACCCCACCCACCATCAGGAGGGAAACTAGAGCTGTCCTTCTCCCACCATGATCCTGCCTCACCCTGCAGGCTGTGGCCTTTTTGCACAATTTCTGGGTTTCCCAGACAGACCCTTCCCCTTCCCCTGCATTGTGGTATCACCTCAGTGGTGGCTTTTCCCCACACACACAAAAAAATAATAATAATAATAAAATAAACAGTAAAGGAATGACTACTGTTGTCCAAAAGTCAGGCATTCACTGTCCCTAACTAAAGTGTTTGTTTCCTAGTTTAAAGGAAAGTCACAGGTCTTGTGCAAGTAAAAGTGAACAGTTATGGTTTACAGAAATGGAAGAGATGAGTTCTTGGAACAAGCCCATTGCCTCTATGAGTTTAAAGATGAGAATCTTCCTACTGGGGTGGAGGAAACTCCACCTCAGACCTCTCCTGTGAGCAGCAGATTTTCTCAAAGGATTGGTTCCCAACTACAGAAACAAAGTCTTCCTTCTCAGCTCTCAGGAACAGTGGATGGGGAAGTGAAGTTCCTAACCCATCTGCAGGAATTTCCAGGGTAATGACTCATTTGAACAATTGTTGCCTTCCTGGGGTGGTGCTCGGAGAGCCCCAACATCAAGGTACTCAGACTGGGTCTATATGCCTATTTCTACCATTTTCTGTAGGACCCTGTCAAGGTGTTTACACTCTCTTGATCTCAGGGCTTTATTCTGTAAAAGGGGATAGTAACACCCGTTGGGAAGGATGGTCATGAAGACTATAGGGCTTTGGAATGAGAATACATCCCCACAGTCTCAAGCATGGTGCCTGGTCTGTTGTTGCAAGTGCTCAACATTGAGAGTCATTGCTACAATTCCAGTGACAAGCCATGTGACTGCCATCATTCCAGCTAGACAAGTCTTGATGTGGTCTGCATCTTTCAAGGCAGAGGCATTCTGAACAACTTCCAGGGATACTGGACTCTGAGATCTGGAAAAATGGCAGACCATAATGAAAAGCAGATACACACAAGATTTTGCAAAGGATTTCAGTGAAGTCAAGAAGCCCCTAATCTCAATGTTGTGCCTCCACAGGATTCCAGAGATGCCAGGTTCAAAGGCCCTGCATTCAAGATAACTCGACTATCTCTGAGTTTGTTTATTTTGCACTGAGATCAGAGTGAGGTGACCTCTTTGTACTTTTTCCCAGGGCAGCCTTGGGAAGGCTGTCATCATCTCCACCATGAACAGCTTAGAGAGATCTTCTGGCCCAGGGAGGCCCAACATTTGGGGCACAGAGCAACCCACGAGCTCTAGGAATCATCATGCACACCAAACACTGTGTGCAGACTGAGAAAAGAGCAGCACTTATCCCACACATCAGCTTGTATCTTTCAAATGCAGGAAGCTGCTGGGGCAATGAACAAATACAAAATACAAAGAGCTGCTAAAAGCACATGCGTCAGCCTGTGGAGGTACCAGGAATATTTTGACATTTAAGGAGATCCTCAAACTTGACAGGGTCAGAAATCCCTGCTGTGATCCAACCGCCTTCTCCCTGGCCCCTAGTCCAGTGCAGGCATTGGTGATGGAGGGTTGCCTAGGCAATGCCTGAGCAATATGCCACCAGGAACAACTAATATAATTAAAGTGGACACCTTTTAGAGCATGGTTTAAATAGAAGAGAATCATACCACATCCAAGGGTTCCTTTGTTTAAGCTCCTGCAAATAAACCCCATTTTCAGAGTCCCTGGGTTGCAATCTCTGCTTGTAGCCACTTTGCCAGCTCTCCATACCTAGACTCTCATACACTAAGAGAAAGGTTTTGGTGGAGTTTATTTCTTTGTTTCTTTTTCCAAAATCGTTCTATCTTAAAACCACAGAAACTAAAGTTAATGCTATGGTTTGGATGTGGTTTGTCCTTACCAAAACTCAGGTTAAAATTTAATTGCCAATATAACGATGTTGGGAGGTGGCTCCTATTGGGAGGTTTTTGGGTTATAGGGGCAGATTCCTCATGAATAGATTAATCCTATCTGGTAGGAATGAGTTCTTGCTCTCATGGGACCAGATTAGCCGCCATGAAAGCAAATTGTTACAAAGCTAGACTGCTCCTGGTGTTTGGTCTGTTTGCATATGACCACTTCTGCTCCCTGCCATGTTGTGACACAGCACAAGGCCCTCACCAGATACAACGGCCCATCTTGAACTTTCCAGCCTCCAGGATCATCAGTCAAATAAATCTCTTTTCTTTATAAATTACTCAGACTCAGGTATTCTGTTATAGCAGCAAAAAATGGACTAAAACAGTTAAATTTAACAAAAACAGTTTTGCCTAATTTTCAGATTTGGGGAATCTATGTTTTAGTTTTCTCCCAAACCATTATTCAATCAAAATGTTAGGCTTAAACTGTTTTTAATCTACTGTCAAAACATCAAGAAATTTAACAATAGTAATAAGCAGAAATCCTGTACAGCAAGAAATTTAACAATCGTAATAAGCAGAGATACCTTATAACAAGAGAATTGAATAAATGAACTGTTTTTTGAAGCACTCCCCTTCACTTCTATGCATTCCTCCTCTGGTCCCAAGCCTGTGCTCCTTCCAGACTCTCACTTCTCCCTACATAAACTTCTAGGGGCATTTGCCTTGAAATAAAGATGAACAAGCTTGCCACTTCCTTTTTTCCATTTCTTTCTTTGCAAATGACTGATCACCTTCATTACCTGCAATTCAGGAAATTTCCACCAAAGGTGGTACTTCATTACTGCAGACCCAGAAATAATATTTGTATGACTTCAGAACCAAACACCAACATGTTCTATATGCTTCTAGGTAGCAGGATTATAAGCAAATCTTTTTCTGCATCTTTATGTTTTTCTTCTACTTTCAAGATAACGTATCTATTTGATAATCAGAAAATAAATAAGTTGAAAATATTTTAAAGTTCTTAAATAACAAAGACAGCAAAATTGATGCCAGGATATAACCTTTTTTTACTATTAAATATAAGAGCTTATGTTCCATGGTGTGCATGATAAATTCATGAACTGTGGATGCAATCACAATCTATTGCTTGCCCATACCATTAACAGGCTGTTTGTTGGCTGAGCATGGTGGTTTACACCTGTAACCACAGCACTTCGGAAGGCCAAGGAGGGCAGATCACTTGAGGTCAGGAGTTTGAGACCAGCCTGGCCAACATGGCAAAACCCTGTCTCTACTAAAAATACAAAAATTAGCTGGGCATAGTGGCACATGCCTGTAGTCCTAGCTACTTGGGAGGCTGAGGCAGGAGAATCGCTTGAATCTGGGAGGCAGAGGTTGCAGTGAGCCAAGATGGTGTCACTGCCCTCCAGCCTGGGCAACAGAGTGAGATTCTGTCTCAGAAAAAAAAAAAAAAAAGAGGCTGTCTACTGCTTAGTCATTTTTGTTTCCCCTGTAGTCTGCATGTTAGCTGGGCTCAAGGAGGTAGGCACCAACTGCTGCTGCTGCTGCTGCTGCAAAGAATCTGAATCCCATGGATTCTGATGTCTCATCTCTCCTTCGGCTTTAAGACACATGTTTACCTATGTAACTAACCTTCACATGTACCCCCAAACCTAAAATAAAAGTTAAAAAAAAGACACCCTTTCAGTCTTTCACTGTCAGTCACTGTATGCATGACAAAAGAGGAAAGAAGGCAACTGTGGTTTTTTATGGGTTTTCTTTTTTTTTTTTTTTTGGCCTTTATCTTCTCAACTCTAAGTCAGATTTACCACTGAGGACTTCCATTTTTACATCAGAATTGCTAGTCTACAAAAATTAAAGAGAGTAATAATGCCTCCTGCAATAGAGGTTTTGAAGAAATGTTATATAAAAATATGTTGGGTTTGAATTTCTCCACAAAAATGTAAAAATTGGTACAATCTTTATTTATTAGAGTTTATTGCTAATTCAGCAATCCCACTTTTAGTAATAAATTCCATGGAAATAAAGTGTATAAAGATACATATCAGGAATGCTTATTGCAAAGGTATTCAAAGTAACAAAAATAAAATAAAAACAGCCTAGATCTCTCCCATTTAAGAGCTTTGTTATTTAAATAATGATATCTTCATACATTTAAAGGATTGAGGCCAGAAACAGTGGCTCACGCCTGTAATCCCAGCACTTTGGGAGGCCAAGGTGGGTAGATAGCTTGAGTCCAGGAGTTCAAGGCCAGCCTAGGCAACATGGCAAAATCCTATCTCTACAAAAAGTACAAAAATTAGCCGGGTGTGGTGGCATGTGCCTGTAGTCGCAGCTACTTAGGAGGATTAGGTCGGAGGATTGCTTAAGCCCAGGAAGCAGAGGTTGCAGTGAGCCAAAATTGCACCACTACACTCCAGCCTGGGTGACAGAGTGAGACCTTGTCTGAAAAAAAAAAAAAAAACCAGAAAGGAATGAAAGAATTGTGTATGTCTTGTATGTCTTGGCATGAAAAGATGTCTACCGATTCATATGAAGGGGGGAAAATGAAGTAGATAATATGAGAAGAATTATAGCATATCCTATTGATACAGGTGTTAAGAAGAAATTATTTAGGCAGATAGTGAGGGTACAGAAATCCTCTGTAAGGTTCTCCTTTCAATGAAAAGCAGCCCCAAATTATCACTCTCATGGGACGAGATTAGTTGTCATGAAAGCAAGTTGTTACAAACAGGTTGTTCCCTTTCAAATGAAAAGCAGCCTGTAAAATCGAGCTGCAGACATAGATACTGGCAGTTGTGCCAATCATGTTCAAGATGGCGTTTCCATCTTCCCTTCTCTTTGTCAACCACGTGTGCAATAAGGAGCAGACAAGTTGGCCACAGATCAACTGGGAAGCCCATCTGCATAATAAGATTAGGGTGGGGCGACCAGCCTTCCCGAGCTATGTAAACATCATACCTGATCGAACCAGTTTGTGAGCCCTACGTAAATCAAACACCGCCTCCTCAAACCTGACTATAAAATCCAGCACATCTGCCGTCCACCAGCCTTTTCCACATGGAGACCCGCTTCTCTATAGAGAGAGCTATTTCTCTTTCTCTTCTTTTCTGTCTATTAAACCTCTGCTCCTAAATTCCTCGTGTGTGTCTATGTCCTAAATTTCCCTGGCCCATGATGACAAACCCCAGGGTATATACCCCAGACAATGCAGCTGCTTCACTATGGAAAGAGACTTTTCCTTTGATTGGGACTTTTTCCTTTGATTGGCTGAAGCTCCAAAGCTGAGATCAAAAGGTGACACATATATATATATATATATATATATATATATATATATATATATATGAGTATATATATATATGAGTATATATATATGAGTATATATATATGAGTATATATATATGAGTATATATATATGAGTATATATATATGAGTATATATATGAGTATATATATATGAGTATATATATGAGTATATATATATGAGTATATATATGAGTATATATATATAAGTATATATATGAGTATATATATATGAGTATATATATGAGTATATATATATGAGTATATATATATGAGTATATATATGAGTATATATATGAGTATATAGAGTATATATATGAGTATATATATATGAGTATATATATATATGAGTATATATATGAGTATATATATGAGTATATATATGAGTATATATATATGAGTATATATATGAGTATATATATGAGTATATATATATGAGTATATATATGAGTATATATATATATATGAGTATATATATGAGTATATATATATGAGTATATATATATGAGTATATATATGAGTATATATATATGAGTATGTGTATATATATATATGAGTGTGTGTATATATATATATATATATATATATATATATATATATATATACCCATTCTAAAGAGAATCCCTAGACACAGCCATGCAGAACTTGCTAAAAGACAGCAAAACCAGCCCAGTGACCACTTCTTCATTCTGGTTATAAATGAAAAGATGAGTCATTCAGACAGAGTTCATTGACTGTAAAGTAGGATTAGAGAATCAGTCTCCTCCCTTCCTTTACAATGGAGAGGAAGGAGTGGCCCCCTTAAGACAGGAAGAAGAGAATTGCTTGAAGAAACTGGTAATGTTTGGAAGTTGAGTTGCAGAAATGGGATTCCATCTCAGTGATTGTGGTAAACTAGATTTCTGTTGAGTTAATATTCCCTTCAATCAGACATCTCCACATTCTTTCCCACCCCATTGGTGTTGGGCATAGCATGTGACTTGTTTTGGCCCTACTGTGAGCAGAGTATACCTACCTCCTGACCCCTGAATTTTGAACTCAGTCATGGGACTTGCTCTGGCCAATGAGAAATTAGCAGACCTGATGTAAGCAGAGGTTTGAAGTATGCATGTGTGGTTTGGTTTTTTCTCCTGCACTTCTATCATCTCCTGGGTATAGCTTCCTCTGGGTAGCTGCTTCCCCTTTAGCTTTGGCCAAGAAGGAACATACATGCAGCAAACCTGAGCCCAACCAGCAGCTAGGGCCCAAGACCAAGAAGAACCACCACTTCAAACCAACCTGCCCAGGCAAGGCCAACTTGCATCAATTGAACTACAGCCCATGATTGTGAGAATAAATGTTTCTAGTTACATGTCACTGACCTTGGGAGTGGTTTCTTAAATAACATTACAGAAATAGCTAGCCCATACAATGGTGAGAGTTCTTCATATACCTTAATAATGTCCTTTGAGAGTTTTTGATATAATGAGCCTAGAGACTATGTTTGATTCCTGCCTGGAAAACCATAAGGACACAGCCTGGCAGAAGATACCTATGATGTTGGTACAAGAGGAGATAAGACAAAGTTGGGCAGGCTGCACTGCTACTATTTGGTGGGGCAAGGATGTGTGGGATTCCCATGTGCCAAGCGGACACCACAGAAGTTAGTGGGTTTGAGTTATCCTAATGGAGTCTGGCTCAAAAGTAGTGTCTGCCAGATCAGCAAGAGGATGCAGGTATTCCTTTGGGGGAAAAAAGTAGAGGGTACAGGAGCCAGTAGCAGGGAGGTGGGGGGAATGGGAGAAAGAGCAAAAAGTCAAGGACCTTCTTTCTCACCGAAAGGCCCTAAGTTTGGGTCACCTACACTGGGAGGAGGAGAGAAGTCAGATGTGAGATTAAAGTTTTGACTTATATTTGACTAGACCTTTTAATACCTGAAAATGGGACTGTTATAACTGAGAAGTGACCAGAAAGCTATGAATCTTGTTATCTGGAGGTAACATTATGGGGAGAGAAAGATCTAACAGGACATATTGGAAGACAATGATGGGAATTTAAACCGGTCAACAAAATTATTACACCATTATATAAATTATATGTGTGTATATGTATATACACAGACATATTTTTATATATGTACATATATTACAATTGTTATATATGTACATATATATACAATTGTTATATATGTACATATATATACAATTGTTATGTATGTACATATATATACAATTATTATATATAAACATGCCAATAGAGATACTTCTATTTTGATTTCTATTTGCAGAAATTGAATGTCCAGGGGTAGGTTTGAGCCAGGGCTCTGGGTTCAGCAGGGGCTCCTGTGGTGGAGGCAGATGCCTTGACTTCTCCTTTCCTTAGGTCTCTTGGCACCAACAACGGGGCTCATTCCTCGGCAAATTTTCCTTCAAATGTTCAGCCTGTGGCAATGAGATATTTTTACAGCTTTTTATTGACTATCCCCCTGAGAATTATCATTTGCTTTTACAGGGTATTACCAAGAAACAGAGGCAACAAAAACACACTGTAATTGTTCAAGCAATTTGGCTCTTCCTCTTTCATATAATGGTGAAATCAAAACCCTGGAGGCCAGAGAACTAGACCCAGGAGTCAGAAGATGGAATTCTTATCTGGTCAGTGTCCCAGACTCACTGTGTGGCTTTAACAAGGCCCTCAACCTCTCCGGGCTTCATTTTCTTTCTCATATAGATCATCTGTGAGTTATACCCCAAGCATCCTATGTACCAGGATAGTTTTTGTTGTGGAAAGACCCTCAGCTAGGTTGATAATCTATGTTCCAGTCCTTCCTATTCCACCAAGGAGCAAGGAGCACTATGACCTCAAACAAATGATTTAATGTCTTTGAGCATCAGTTTCCTTATCTTTTTTTTTGAGAGAGAGTGTCGCTCTGTTGCCAGGCTGGAGTGCAATGGCGCAATTTCGGCTCACTGCAACCTCCACCTCTCGGGTTCAAGCGATTCTCCTACCTCAACCTCCTGAGTAGCTGGGACTACAGGTGTGCACCACCGCTCCCGGCTAGTTTTTGTATTTTTAGTAAAGACAGGGTTTCACCATGTTGGCCAGGATGGTCTCGATATCTTGACCTCATGATCCGCTTGCCTCGGCCTCCCAAAGCTGGGATTACAGGCATGAGCCACTGTGCCCAGCCTCCTCATCTTTAAAATAAGAAAATAAGTCATGCCTTTCTACCTCCCAGGTTTTGCTGTTTTTTATATTTTTGTTGTCTAGTGCTACATAACATACTATCACAAAACATAGTGCTAAAATAATCCTTTACTTTGTTCATGATTATGTGGTTCAAGAATTTGAGGAAGGACCCAGCTGGTTGTTTAATCTTAGCTGTATGTGGCATCAGCTGGGGCCGCTGGAGTTGGAGGATTCCATTCTATGGTGCTTCTTTACTCTCATATCTAGCACAATGGCCTAGCACAATGGCACTTGTTGATCAATTTCCATCTCTCTCTTCTCCCTCTCTTAATCTCTCCCTCGATATCTCTCTGTCGCTATCTCTATACCTCTCCCTCCCTTCTCTTCTCTTCTTCTCCCTCTGCACATTGTTTCATCCCAGGCTCTAAACACATCTCTTGCTTTCTCTCAACATGGAAATCTCAGTGCAGTCAGACTTCTTATATGGAGGCTGCCTCTTAATGGCAGGCAGGAATAAGAAGCTCCCAGCCAATGAAGGGCAACTCCTAGAGCTGGTACAGCATAACCTCTGCTGTATTTATCCTATAGGCCAAAGTAGTCACCATCCCCACCCAGGTTCAAGGATGGAGAACTCAACCCCACCTCTTGATGGAGGAGTGCCAAGGTCACATTGCAGAAGAGCATATATTGGATGGCAGATATTAAGCCATCTTTGGAAAACAGAATCTGTCACATATTGTTTTTGTTATTATTGGAGGCAAAAATGATGGTAGATGTAGAAGCTCTAAAAAGTCAAATCATACATCAATCAAGTGCCATTATGATCCTCATTTCAGTATTTCATTTTTTTAATCTACTTATCTACTTTTATCTACAATTTATCTATTGTGACTTTGAGGTAATCAGTGGGTCAAAATCCAGATACAATGGTCTCCAAAGCATTATCTGTCCTTTAGATCAACTCCAATCAGGGACTCAGGGTAATTCCTTCAACAGGGGAACATAGGGCTTTTTTGGTTGAACAGACATACTAGACAACAATCAAGCAACTAACAACCCCAAAATCAATAGCTTAAGATAAGAAAAGTGTAACACTCCCTTACTCAGTGTCTATCACAGGTGGGCTGGGACTCTGCAGCTTAAGAGCCAGGCCCACACAGCATGACTTGCTGGACACCACAGCAAAGAGAGGGAGCACAGCGAGTCGTACACTCACTCTTAAAGGATCCCACCCAGCAGTGAGACACCTCACCTTCACTCACATTCCACTGGCCAACACAAGTCACATGGCCACATCTGACCTCAAAGAAGCAGTTGCATGCCACTTGCCACTACCTAGAAAGAGGAGAACTGGAAATACTGGAGAATTGCATTCCTAACAACAACACTTGGATTGGACATTTTCAGAGTTTTCCTCAAGGATGTTTTCAGAGCCCTTTCTGAATGCAAAAGAAGCACCCGTATAAAGTTGCAGAAAGAAAATGCATGCAGTGATACTATATTTTCCTGCTGTAATATGCTGTAATTTTTTGCCAAGCTTTTCTTCGCTGTTTCTTGTAAGATATTTCCCAGAGGAGTAACAGTGCTTGAAATCCTGACCCTGCCTGGAGATTCACTGAGAACAAAATGTTCCCGGGGGGAGTTTTACAATAGTATCCATCTGCCAGCTCCAGAGAACACATGGAGATGGCCCATGTGACCCACATTAGAGAGTCTCCACCCAAGGTTCATGTTCTGCCTTACATTGTGGCATGTTAGCAAAAGTCAGCACAGGAGAGTCCATAGAGCAGTTCAGTAGGAATCACACTGCCTGGATTCAAAACCACTATGTTCTAGCATGTGACTTTCAACAACTTATTTAACTTCTTTAAGCCTCAGTTTTCTCAGTGTGAAATGAGAATAGTAATAGTACTTACTTTTTGGAGCTGTTAGGAAAATCAAATGAGATAATATGCATAGAACACTTAGAACAGTGCCTAGAACTTCTTAAATTGCCATTGCTGTTGCTGGTGGCATGGTGTTATTTGGCCCATCTCTGCAAGCCCATGACTGGTGCTGAACCCTGTGGGAGGATTGATGGTTGCGCTCAGACAACTCATTAGACAGCATACCCAGTAAGTGCTGTGAGGCTATGAGGATGAAATTTAAGAATATGTGAAAAGCAGAGGTATTTTATATTTAACTATCATAGAATGAGAAAGTTTTGAAAGTTTTATGCATGGAACAAGGAGGTTGTTATCCCTTCTACTCAAAAATATCTCCCCTATCAACCTGTCAAGATGCCTTCATATTTTATTATCAGAAATTCATTCCTTTGGCTTAGCCATTGCCCTAACTAAATGCCTCACAAATATTTATTGAGTAAATGAGAAACACAGGAAAAAGGCTTAACAGGAACAGCCAAAGCATTTTCTTTTTTCGAGGTGTTGTCTTGCTCTGTTGCCCAGGCTGGAGGGCAGTGGCGCAATCTCAGCTCACCACAACCTCCGCCTCCTGGGTTCAAGCAATTCCCCTGCCTCAGCCTCCCAAGTAGCTGGGACTGTAGGCATGTGCCACCATGCTCGGCTAATTTTTATATTTTTAGTAGAGACAGGGTTTCACTATGTTGACCAGGCTGGTCTGGAACTCCTGACCTCATGATCTGACCCCCTCGGCCTCCCAAATTGCTGGGATTACAGGCGTGAGCCACCATGCCTGGCCCCAGCCAAAGCATGTTTTAACATACAGCTTAATAAAAAGGGCCAGAATGTTGTCCTGCCTATAATATTCTAGTCACCCAACAGGAGTAACTAAAATTTCACCACATGTGATGACATTTAAAATTCTTCCAAAGTGACTTTTTCAACTATATCACCAAAATGCTTTCTGAACCAGCATTCTTGTCTTCAGTCAGCCTCCTCTAATTTAGCCTCTAAATTATTGTAGGGTAATCTTTCTGCAAATAGATATGATCATGGCATACGCTTGTTCTGATGCCATTTGCTTCAAGATGGATATTAGTTCTTCTGTGTGGCATGGGAGACCTTCCATCATCACACACTTGGCCCCTCTTTAGCCTTGGCCTTGTCTTCTCTCTCCAGCTCCCTCATCACCAACCAACATTCTAACCCACCCCCAACACACATACACATACACACACACACACAAAATGTAGCCAGGAAGCATCCCATTCTTTGCCTGTCACCTTTACAGGAGTTATCTCCTGCCTCTATCACATGCAATAGAAATAGTGGTCTGAGAAAAGCTTTTCCTCCTTCAGCATTGCCATGTGACTCCTGAGGGACCAATGATCACAATTCTTATTCTTTCCAGACATAAGAATGGGCATGTGATCCAGGATCAGCCAATCAGAGAGCTGCTTTCCCTTGGAAAACAAGATGGGCCATATGATCCAAATGAGGTGAACCAAAGCCTTTCCTTGTGATTTTCTTTTTTTTATTCTCTGGTTGCATTTTCCTTCTGATTTTATTAAATGAGGAGGGGTAGGTTTTATCTTTTAGGTCAGGGAGCTGGAATAATGTAAATCAGGATCTGCCAGATGCCATCCTCCCCTCTTGCTGCCAGTGGGGAAAGATCTTCCAGCTGTAGGAGCTAAAGCAGGAAAAGAAGCAAGAGTGAGCAAGAGAGAGAGATTCAGAGATAATGATGGACCTCATTTTTGACCCTGGATCCAGTGAAGTCTGAGGTTTGGTAAATGTAACATATGTCCATGAATTATTTGACACTCCACTCTTCAACTCTTCAACAGATGAAGCCTAACTCCCCTCCCCTTACATGTGGGCCAAACCTACTGACTTGCTTCTAATGAATAAAATGTGGTGGAAATGACTGAGCATGACTTTTGAGGGTAGGTCTTAAAGGCATTGTGGCTTCCATCTTGCTCTCTCTGGGGTCACTTGCTCTGGGAAAAGCCAGCTGCCATGTCAGAGAACATTCAATCAGCCCTATAGAAATGCCCACATGGGGAGGAACTGAGGCCCCCTGTCAACAGCTGTAGAGGAACTGAGACCCCTTGGCTACAGCCATGTGAGTGAATCATCTTGGAAGTGGATCCTTCAGCCACAGCCAAGCCCTCAGATGGCTCAAACCTTGTCTACAACCTCATGAGAGACCTTGAGCCAGAACCACCTCACTAAGCTGCTCCTTAAGTCCCAACCCTCAGAAATTGTGAGATAATGAATGTTTGTTATTTTAAGTCACCAAGTGTTAGGGTAATTTGTTCCTCAACATTAGGTAACTAACACATGTCAGGTACACCCTTGTACATCTCATCATTTTTCTGTAGTTAAGTTTCGATCTTTTAAACCTGAAATTTCCATAATTAGAATATCACCCTTCCCTTCCTCTCCCAACTTCTTCACCTGGCTAAGTCCCTCTTCTTTTTCACATTCTTATTGGGCATTACCTTCTCTGGAAAAGCTCTGCCTCACTCCCCATGTTCCACCCCTCCACACTGGGTGAGGGTTCCTTCTCTGAATTCCTAGGGCCACAAGTGCCTCTTTCCATGTAGTATAGCCATTGTCATTTTTGTGGGTCTCCTCAACCAGACTGTGGGCGCTTGAGGACAGGGACCATATCTTTCTACCACTAATCCCTGTATCTCCATGACCAAGAAGAGTTTTCTTGAGAAAACTTTTATCAAGACCCTCAGTCAATGTAGTAGACACTGTTGGTGCCCATGCATCCCAGGAATCCCTTGGTCCTGAGCAAATCAAGATGGTTGGTCATGCTTACAGTGTCAGGTTACACCCAGGCCTCAGCTTCTGCTGTGAGAGTTGGTGCTACAGGTTTACACATGTGGCCTTCTCCAGATAATCATCTTTCACTCACAGGAGCTGCTTCACCCAGAGACACTGGGAGGTATATCGCCACCCTCGGGGGACCACTGGCCAACTAATACAGGGGTATGACAGCACAGCCCCATTATCTCAAGGTGGGGCAGCTCTGTGGTGCCATTTATGCTCTGGAGCCCCTGTGAGTCATGGCAACGCCAGACTACACTCAAGACCTCATCCTTGCTCAGCTCCTTCCCCTGCCCATCCTGCTTCCTTCACTTCCTTAATAGAATTTTCTGAAAACACTCCCTCAGTACATCAGATGCACCCAAATACTTGTGTCAGGCTCTGCTTCAAGGGAACCCAAACTAAGATAGTAAATAGTTATTGAGTGAGTGAGTGAGTGAATGAATGAAGAAAATCTTAGTCACTTAATATCTCTGATCCTCGGTTTTCTAATCTGTAAACAGGGGTCATAATGCTCATCCTACACAGATGTCATGAGAAATAAAGGATGTGGTATTTGACAAGTGTCTGGTGACATGCCCGCCCCATGAGGGGTTGTTCTAGAGCAGCTGTCCAATTCCCCTCCTCACCTGAAAGCCCACAGCATGGGCAGTCCTCCACTCTGCCCTTGGGTGAGCCAGGCCCTTCCCTCTCCCACAGTGACCTGTGGCTTTCCTGAGTCTATCCCAGCCCAGAGTCCTGATTTTGGACAATGGGGTTGTTCCTGAATTTAAGACAGGTGCCATCTGTGTGGAAAGTTAGGCAGGTAGACAGAGAGTGACTGATAGGCCATCTGATAGCAGGTTTATGTCAAAAACCTGTTTTGGCTGCAGCACATCTTGTTAGTTTCTTTAAGATAAAGCCAGCATGTTGAGAGGCTGCTAACAGGAAAATGTGAGTTTCTGTCTTGAGGAGAGGAGATGCCCAGACTTTTTCCCACTTTAATCTCTCCAAGTTCATCTGTCCTGTTGGTGAAGAGGCCTGGAACGTGCATGGGATCCTGGAGACAGCAACAGGCTATGTGTGATGGGAGCGGATGGAGCCGCAGAGCAGTCAGACCGAAGTACTCAGACCCTCCTGGCGGCTACCCAACAGGCACCTGACCCAGCTATACATGGGCTTCTGACCTATCTCCCAAAAAATCAGGGCTTCAATGAGAATAGCAACTTATATTCAGAGATTGGAGGCTTACCAAAGGGAAGACCGTTGACCTTGCTCTGGAACCACAGGCCTCTGAGGGGATGGACAGCACACCCTGCTTATGGCCCTCTGGGGAAAACTGCCCCACCTCCACCATCTAAACATGTAGCAGGCCTCTGGTACAAAGCGTGGCTCTCAGGATAGGGAAAAGAACTACTGCCAGAAATACCCAAAAAGTCTCAACATAAAGAGACCCAGCTTCAGAATCAGGCAGAAATGGACATAGCCTGGCCCTGCTCTTATTGGCTCTGTGATTGTGAATGAGGGCACATCTCCACATCTCTGAGCCTCCATTTACTCATCTATAAAATGGGTGTAATCCTCTCTGCTTCACAGGGTTCTGGGTAAGATTAGTGAGCACAACAGCTGTAGAGCACTGGGTTCACCACAGGCAACTCAGGACCTGTGGCCTCCTCCTGTGAGCCTGAGAACTGAGCTGGGGCACTCAGGCCAGGTACTGGACCCATCACAGAGCTCAGCTTCAGAGTCCCCAAGCTGTCTTCTCCACCTGTCTTCTTTCTTCAGTCAATACTGAAACCCAGTCCCAGCAAAATCTAGGGTAAAAGGACCTTGCATTCTAAAAGGGGACTTCCAAGTAGGTTAATGTCTAACTCATAGAAATAAATCAGTAATGGTGGAATTTCCACACAAAAACAATTGTTGGCTATTGAAGGTTCCAGTTGTTACCGCTCAACAAACCAATTCAAAACATAGTGCTTAAAACAAAAATGTACATATATCTTGGTTCTATGGGCTAACTGAATGGTGGTCACTTGGGGTCTCTCATGTGGCAACAGTCAGATAGTGGCTGTGGCTGGAGCCATCTGAAGGCTTGACCGGACTGGATATGCAAGATGACTCACTCACATGACTGACAGTTGATGCTGGCAGGTGCCTAGGCACTCAGCTGGAGCTCTCAACCATAGTGCCTATACGTGTCCTCTTCATAAGATGATGGCAGCTGGCTTCTGAAAGGGGCATTCCAAGGGCAAGCCTTCCAAGAGGCTCAGGAGAAGCTGCAATGCTTCAGCTCCTAGTAACCAAGCCTTGAAATTACACAGTATCATTTGCACTGCATTCTGTTGGTGAGAGCTAGCCCAGGTTCCAGGGTATGAATGTTGGGAGGCCTGGCTCACTGAAGGCCATCTTTAGAGACCAGCTACCACAGAAATGATGTTCATTGAGGATGGAAAGAGGAAGATCAGCATTTACCAAGTGCCTGTCTTGTACATGGTACTTCAAAAATATCACCCTGAAGTCCTCACAATAACCCATAAAGAGGTGTTCTTACTCCCCACTTTAAAGAAAAGGCAACTGAATTCAGAGAGATTACATGGCCGCCCAAGGTCATAAAGCCACAAAATGGCCAGCCCAGAGTTTGAACTCAATTCTCTGGCCCACCTCAGATGAGCCTGAGCTGCAGGGGTTCCCCAGGCAACCATTTCCTGCCATTCTGCCTCAAGAAGCTGAAGGCTTCACATGCTAATAATTCTCTTCTTCTTTCCACTTGAACAGGTTGCCCTTTCTTTGGAAAGGAAATGAGTTCCTGCTCCATCCAGTAAATGCTACTTTCTCTGCCCATGGAGACAGTGTGGCTCACCCATCACTAAGGTCTGGCTCCCTGGGTCCCTCCTTGCTGCATTAGCTCAGACTCCTGGGTCTGCCAGAGCAGAGGCAGCTGTGTTCTGGGTCCTTTTCTCCTCCCCTCTGCAGCTCTGAGACCCCATTTCTCCATGGATTTCAACTGGCTTAGCTAAGGTTCCCTGAATTTTATAGACATGAGCCAGAACTGGGTCATTAAGCCTGAATATTTTGAAATCCCAGCGATTCATAGTCCAATCGAACACCTGTAGTGGTGGAGGGCTGAAGTACATGTGATCTGGCACCATAGGTTCAGAGCCTGTAACTGGGCATCTGAGGACCCTGAGGGACCTGGATTAACTCCACGGGACTCCAGAAGCTGAAGATCAGGAGGCATCATAACTCTTTGCTGCATACTCCCATGTAACCAGCTGTGAGTCAGGGCTTGTGGGAGAAAGAAGAGAAGAGTGAGGGACTCTGCCTCCGAGATCTTTAATGGTTCAGCAGAGTCTTGGCATATAAATATTTGTTGATAAATGCATTAAAGAATGAATGCGTGAGTGAAACTTATATTAACAGCACAACAGCACATTCTATAGGAGGATATGCAATACCCCCAGAAGGCAGTATGGTAGGAAAAACACTAATTCTATTCATCTCCACTGAGCACCTATTTTATGCCTTCACCATTAAAATGATCAAGTCCCAACAAATAGCCCTAAGTTCACTTACCCACTTAAACATCTGGGGTGGAGAAAAGACTGAAGTGGCCCAAAGCTGAGGAAGCAGGCTCTGCCCAGGTGAACTTGCAGAGAGAGGAAACCCACTGCCTGTGGACATAGGACATGACAAGGAGCATGCCTGCAGGTCCTCTAAGACAGAGTAACCATGCCCCCAGTAAATGTGGCCTCCTCCAACCAGGTGCTAATTAATCATTCACAGAGGAAAATAAAGCAGGGTGGACACCGTGTTTGAAATGTCCCCACTCAACTCCTCCCTAATAGACAAAGGCTAAAATATGAGGTGAGGGCCAGAAACTTTCCCCCATCCCCTCTGCACAGAAGTGACAGCCAAATCAGTAGGACCCACAATGCTGAGAACTGTGTTTCTGAAGGTGGCCTTCCTTGATGGAGACCAGAAAGCATCTGCCCCTGACTGAAGGTTTTGCCTGAAGATTTCAATTTGTCAGCATCCTCAAGTAGTGTCCCTCTCCTTGGGCTTCAATTCATGTCCCCAGAATTCATGGGGTCTTCCCCATGGAGAAGAAAGGATGCACATCCTCCTATGGGCTCCTGGCCCCAAGAATCACTGTTTTCCCCAGACAGATGTCCTTGCTTCTTTCCCTGAAGGGCGTGAGCCTGGGAGGGTGAAATCACCCTTTCCCAGTCTCTTTCTTCCACAAGCACAGAGCACCTTCCTAACTATTGCAGCAAGTACATGTCCTCATATAAGCCTTACTTTATGTCAAAATCAAACTGTACTAGCTCACTTTCCTTATCTGTTTGAGCTAAATAAAAGCTCCTCCCGGGTCTTAAATCCATGAATTTTATGTCAGAGCAGTTGGGGTGAAGTTAAAATGGATTCACCCATAGAGAATTACCTATAACTTTTTTATTAGCGTTATCTCTGCTACTTTCAATCCCAGGAGTCACTATCCTTTCATTGCAACCCCCAGTCTGCCACTGTGTCACCTTGGGCAAGTTACTTAACTCCTCTGAGGCCCTCTCTTCTCATATGAAAATGGAGCTGAAGTTAGCTGACTCACAATGTCATTACAAAGATCAAATGAGATAATGTCTGCAAAGCACCTAGCTCAGAATGTACTCAGGAAATGCTCAGCTAATGTTAATTCCCTTCGGGTTCCTCCGATGTTCCCTGCTCAAAAAGAAATCCCCCAAAGCCTCACCTGCTCCAGCCCCTTTGCTATAGGAATAAGGTTTCTCCCATCCAGCCCACGTCCTTCCTCAGCTGGCTCACACCAACTTATGAGAGCTGATTGTGCTCATCTCTGCCCAACTCTGCACTCAGCAACCTCATAGTGGAAGGATTTACACTACAGTAATCAGCAAATGCTACGAATCAAAGCTCCTATCCAGCAGAGCCAACTTACCAGCACACACCTGCTGGCAGGCTACACTTCACCATCCCCACCCATTCGGCCCACCCAGAGCCCACAGAGGCAGGAGGATGGACTCTGTAGGGGACTTTGGACCCAAAGCACAGCTTTCCTCTATAGTAAATAGTTTTTTCAACAAGTTCTTCAGGGCCACTCAAAGGCCCACTGACAGCCATCTGCCATTGATTTTTCCGAGAGGAAAACGCAGCATGTGCTCAGAGGCCACCCAACCTTCAGATGAATCCAATTGAAAAATAACTGCCAACTGGGAGCAGTGGCTCACGCCTGTAATCCCAGCACTTTGGGAGGCTGAGGCGGGCAGATCACGAGGTCAGGAGATCGAGACCATCCAGGCTAACACTGCGAAACCCCGTCTCGACTAAAAATACAAAAAATTAGCCGGCTGTGGTGGCGGACGCCTGTAGTCCCAGCTACTGGGAGGCTGAGGCAGGAGAATGGCATTAACCCAGGAGGTGGAGCTTGCAGTGAGCCGAGATCGCGCCACTGCGCTCCAGCCTAGGTGACAGAGCGAGACTCCGTCTCAACAAAAAAAAAAAAAAAAAAAAAAAAAAACCTGCCGAAAAGCTTTTGGCCAGGACAGGATAATAGGGACTGTTTTAAAATAAAACCACTGTGTTTTTTAAACGTACAAAGTTGACAGCTTTTCTCTCCACAAACTGAAAAAAAAATTTATAAGAAAAATTTTTAAAAATTAGATAACTCATATGTAAAGAAATGGTCAAAATAATTAAAGTCCACAGCTTTTTCACAATTATAATGCATACACTATATGGCCCATACCACTCACCAGGCCCCGTTTTAAGCACTTCAGGAATGTTAATTCATTTAATTCTCACAATAATCTTGTGAGGTATATGCTAGTATTCTTTCCATTTTATAGATGAAGAAACTGAGGCAAGGAGAGAAACCCTGTGAAGTCAGTATCCACAAACTTTGGCCAGGTGGCCCCCACTAGGCTTTCTCCATCGTTTGGAGCTGCTCATGCTTCACACCCTCCCCAGGTTGTTCTTCTCTCCAGCAGCCTCCACTGCAGGGACCACTCCTTCCTATGTTTTATCTGGCAAACTCCTGCTCATCTTTCATTTTACATTCTCATCAGCTGTGGAAGAAAGAGGTTTGCTTTTTCTCTCTCAGCTTTCTTTCCTTCCAGTCTACTCCCTTCCTGAAAAAGAAACTAATAGCATGATAGCCCATCAAATGATGCTAGGAAATGCCATTGAGGCTGTGAAGAGAAAGACTTGCTTGTCTTTTGGAGCAGCCTCTGGCAACTCTAACCTTCCCCTGGGATACACAAGACTCAAGGTTCTTAAGCAGGACCTTAGAGGAGATAGCGAAAAGGCAGAAAAAGACTAAGCGTGGAGGCAGCTCCTGACTCCCACCATCATGGATCTGTGAGACTAGCTGGTGACCCTGTGAGAACAGTTGGGGAACATCTTGAGTTGACACCCCCAAATTTTAAGTGTGGGCTCTATCAGCTAAGAAAAAGACTCGCAGATGTCACGGGTATAACTAAGAGGTCATGTAACACATCTAAACAGCATAGCAGGATGTAAAGTAAAATGTAAAAATCAAGAATGTATTCAAGTATAAATATATGGAAAAAGGAAAAACAATTATGGAGGATGAAGGAATAAAAAAAGAACATAAAACTTTGGTAAGTCATCCAAACACTGATTTTTACATGAATAGGGAAATTAACCTGAAAGTACTTTAAAAACTGGAAAAATCAATATTTAATGATCATGAGTAAAAGCTGTATTTTAAATACTGAGCCATAAGTCAAGAAAAATAGAAATGAATAACCCCATTTAGGTTTTTACTTGATGACTATGCTATTTTCATGAATTTAGGAGTGTCATTTAATATATCTGTTACTTTTTCACCTTTTTAAAACATTAACTAACACAATTTCCTTTCATTTGAAAAACAAAATCAAGCCTCCATTTAACCTCGCTCAATTTCCAGGAAAATTGGTGCCCATCCAGGCTCATATTTCTTCATTCACATACATACACTCATACTACATTTTCTACATAATTGGAATCATACTCTACCTATTATTCTGTGACTCAATGCCTTAGAAAATCTCCCTGTCAATACACATAGGCTGACAAAAGTCTTGCTTGCCATTACATTACATTTCTTTCCGTAATACAATACAATCGTTCCTTAAAGAACAGACAGGTTCCAACGTTCTACTAATACAGACTATTACAATGAGCCTTGGACAGGTTTATGCTCATTAAAGTATTGCTAAAGAATAGATTCCTAGAAATGAATTTGCTAGGTCAAAAGGTGTGATGCGACAGATACTGACAAATTTCTTTTTCAATAATGAGGTAGCAATCAGCCGGGCACGGTGGCAGGTGCCTGTAATCCCAGCTACTGGGGAGGCTGAGGCAGGAGAATCGCTTGAACCTGGGAGTCGGAGGTTGCAGTGAGCTGAGCTTCTGCCACTGCACTCCAGCCTGGGCAACAGAGTGAGACTCCGTCTCAAAAAAAAAAAAATGAGGTAGCAATGAATCTTACGCCAAAAATGGATGCATATTACTGAATTTATAAAATAATTTGAGAATTATCGTCTTTTAAATGTTGTCTCTTCCCATCTAGAAACATGGTATATCTGTTACCTTAAACTTTGTCTCATGTGGATCACGTCCCTCTTTTGTTAGGCTTACTCCTAAGCATTCAGACTTTTCAATTTGCTACTAGTTCTAATCGTTTCTCAAAAGTACCGATTTCATTTCATCTTTTGTTGTATTATTATTTCAACTATTTATCTTGAAGTAAGCTTCTTCAGAAAGCCTTCACTCACCCTTCACTCTGCTTCTCTTTAACATAGACCTTAACAGGATACACAGAAATCATCTATGTGCTGATATCGTCCCACTTGCTTCTTATTACCACCATTTTAAACACATATAATGTGCCAGGGACTGGGCTAAGCAGTTTACATTCATTGCATCATTCAATTATTATATTATATCTCTAAAGAAGTAATTATTTTTCTCATTTCACCAATGAGGAAACTGAGGCTCAGAGAAGTGGTGTTGTGATCCTAGGTCCATACAGCTAATAAGATGAGGAGCTGAAATTTTAACTTTCATTTGATTGTCACAAGTCAGCAACACCCCTACTCTGTTATGACACTTTCTTAAAGACAGCAACTCATGTTATATTCATCCCCTCACGCCTCCTTCTAGCGCAGTCTAGGATGCATCATAGATCCTTGGCCAATGTCACTCCTTTTATTTGCCCTCAGTTAGGAAAATTCTAAATAATTCCCTAAGCATAAACAAAATCCATCAGGTCTCTACTTGTGGTCTTCAACATGTGGAAGATACTTTGAATAATACCACAGGATTGAAGTTTCAACACAAAAGAGGAATCTTCTGGTAGGAGGATGTATCAGACACCTCTTGTGCCTCATCTCACATCCTCTTTACCTGCCCTGTTACCACATCCTTTACTGAAGACACCAACTGTAAGCAAATGTAACCAGAGAGTCCTGCGTCCCCGACTGCTAGAGCTCCCCCACTCTCTCTCTCCTTGCTGTCCCCAGGCTTCTTTACTCCTTGCCTGTGAAATGCCCATGGCAAAGTGGTCAGCCACTCTGAATCATGAGGAAGCCTAAAAGGGCGAAAGTTGTGAACGCCCCCAGATAACGACTGCCTCTCCCGTCTTCAAGTGGGCCATTCCCAGGCACATCCTGGACAGCGCCACAGAGGGTTCCAGTGGGGCTGAGCCCAGCCATCCATGGCAGTGACCAGCTCGATGACGCATCCTTGGATTGGCGGTCCCACCTTCTCTGTTTCCCAACTCTCAGTTCCCCACTCCTGTTCCCTGGATTCACTTCCCAAAACAAATCATTGGCACAAAACCCTTGTGTTGGGCTCTGCTTTCTGAGGCTTTCTAGTCTGAGCTAACAGAGGGCATGGTGCATATGCCAGCTCACATGGGCACAGGCATGCACACGCTCACCTCCTTAGTCATGTATGTACATACATGTAGAGTATGCACACCAGTTTAAATCCCACAGGATTTGAGTTTTGCTTTATATTTTCCTCCTTCTCCTCCTTCTCCTTCTCCTCCTCTTTCTTCTTCCTCTTCTTTTTGGTCTGCATAAAGGAACTCAGCTATGGTCAAGGAAAATGAAGCATTTGCTGTTTCAGCATCATCAGGACTGTTTCTAGACACCATCATCCCTTATGCCGCAGTGCATAACATTGCTAAAAAGCAGACTCCATTTACCTAATGTCAATAAAGTCCATGCCAAGTCCATTTAGAAAAAAATTGTTTTTTCATTTCTCTATCTGTGCCTAATCCCCAACTCAGTCTCCCCCAACCTGTGAGAAGGAGGAATGCCAAAAGCCAAAGAACTAATCATGGGTTGTGGTCACTGACAATCCAAGAAAAGCGTGTTAGATCATATCACAGTAACTCTCACTAACAGTAAGGAGCACTTGAGTGGCAGGACCAGAGCTACAGTCAGGCTCTGACTTGTAGTATGACCCTAAACAAATCATATAATTTCTCTAAATCTATTTCCCCATCTGTAAGATGGAGTTTTTTTTACCCAAAATTGCCTCAAATTTAGATTTTTTACTAACTCACAATTATGTCCCCAGTTACTGTGAACCATTGATACCTTGTATATCTATGGGGAGAAAGAGGAGAGATTTAATACTACTGTACTAGGCACTGAGCTAGTTGTGATTTTATTACAGCCCTTATATCATTATGTCCACAGTAGCCTACATTTTTAGCTCTATTTTATGATGTGGCCACTGAAACTCAAGAGCTCAAATAACACTCTCAAGGTCAATCAGTTGATAAGTCGTAGCAAGAGGTCTAGACTCAGGTCTCTCTGAGCATAAACCCATTTACTTCCCACTGCTTCACACCACTGCTAACTAAAGGTGAAAGGAAATAATATTGTGCACAGTTAGCACTCAAAGATTCCTGTTGGTCTTATCTCAGAAATTGACCCACAATTGTCAGAAATTGAAAGCTCCTTAAAGGTAGGATCCCATGGATAAAAATTTTCATCTTAGCCCATTGTCTTAGTCTTAGTCTGTTCTGGTTGCTACAACAAAATACCGGAGACCAGGTAATTTATAAACAATATAAATTTCTCACAATTCTGGAGGCTGGGAATTCCAAGATCAAGGTGCCTGCAGATTCAGGGGCTAGTGATGGCTTGTTCCGTCTGCTACAAGATGGCACCTTGTTGCTGCATATTCTGGAGAGGAAAACTGCTATATCTTCACATGGCAGAAGAAATGAACAGGACAAAAAATGGATCACACTCACAAATATTCAAGCCAAACCACCCATGTATTAGCTTCCTATGGCTGCTGTAACAAATTGCTACAAATGTGATGGCTTACAACAATGCACATGTATTCTCTTACAGTCCTAAAAGTCAGAAGTCCAAAATGGTAAACAGTCAAAACCAAGGTGTTAGCAGGGCTGTACTCCCTTCAGAGACTCTAGGGGAAAGTCTCTTTCCTTGACTTTTCCAGTCCCTGCAGCTGCATTTTTCGCATATCTCGGCTGGCTCATGGCCCCTTCCTCCAACTTCAAAGCCAGCAGCTTCTCTCTCTGCTTCTGACTCCAATTCCCTCTGCTTTCATCACATGGCCTTCTTCTCTTCTGTCTGTAGCCCAATTTCTCTTTCCCTTCCTCTTATCAGTAATTTTTCTTACTACATTTAGCAGCCACCTAGATAATCCAGAAAAATCTTCCCTTCTCAAGATCCTTAATTTAAGCACATCCACAAAGTCCCTTTTTCTATATAAGGTAACATTAACAAATTCCAGGGAGTAGGGCCTGGATATCTTTGAAGACTATTATTCAACCCACCACAGCCACTCTAGAAAAGTAACCCAGAAAACTATTAAATTCTCAAGCGTACAGCATTTTCAGTCACATGCACTTTAGACCAACTCATAACACATTTATGAAATCAGCAAACTCCGAAGGCATCCCTGATGCCCTGACCTATCTTGCCACACCTGCCCCCCCAGGTGCTCAATGCCCTCACATTTTAATCCTCTTCTTTTTCTCCACATCAATCAATTCCCAAGAGAGAGAAAAATTAGCAATTTATTCTTCCAAGGTGATATGGTTTAGTTCTCATCTCAAATTGTAATCCCCACATGTCGAGGAAGGGACCTGGTGGGAGGTGATTGGATCATGGGGGCAGTTTTCCCCATGCTGTTCTCATGATAGTGAGGGAGTTCTCATAAGAGCTGATGGTTTTAAAAGTTTTTGGCAGTTTCCCCTTTGCACTCTCTCTTTCTCTCTTGCTGCCATATAAGATGTGCCTTGCTCCCCCTTTGCCTTCCACCATGACTGTAAGTTTCCTGAGGCCTCCCTAGCCATGCAGAACTGTGAGCCAATTAAACTTCCTTCCTTTATAAATTACCCAGTCTCAGGTAGTATCTTTATAACAGTGTGAGAATGGACTAATATACAAGGGCTTTCACCCTTAGCTTAATTTTTAATAGTAGGATGAAAATCCTTGTCCTCTGAAGAAGGGATTGCCAGCATCAGAGATTGACTGGGAGCTTCCTACTGTTCATGTAGACAGCCAATTTGGCCCTTTTAGCTTTTTTCTCGCCAAGGAAATACTCAGTGTCAAGCCAGAAATTTCCATCCCTAAAAATGCATTTCTTTTGCAGGCATCTTCAGCTGAGTAAAGATTTTTCTGAAGACATGTCTTCTCTCCTCCATCTTTTATTTATTTATTTGAGACCGAGTCTCACTCTATTGCCCGGGCTGGAGTTCAGTGTTGCGATATCGGCTCACTGCAAGCTCCAACTCCTGTGTTCACCCCATTCTCCTGCCTCAGCCTCCCGAGTAGCTGGGACTACAGGCTCCCACCACCATGTCTGGCTAATTTTTTCATTTTTAGTAGAGATAGGATTTCACCATGTTAACCAGGATGGTCTTGATCTCCTGACGTCGTGATCCACCTGCTTTGGCCTCCCAAAGTGCTGGGATTACAGTTCTCTCCTCCATCTTTATTGCTAGCAATACCTGCTATGTTTGTTTAACAGATTTTTGGCCTGCATGCTGGCCTCATCACCAACCATGGCAGGAGAAGCCAACAGCCAAAGCAAGCCCAGTCCCCTGCCACTTCCAAGCACTCATCCTTCTCCAAATGGCTCTCAACTCATCTCTTACCAGGTTGGATAGGTCATGAAGAATGTTGAGAAATGTAAAAACACTTAAAACTCAAAGGAAATAAGAACTATTGGTGACATTCAGGGCATCATAACAGGCAAGAAAGGAAGGTATTTGGGGATAGGAAAGTCTCCCAGGTGGCCTCCAAATCATACCATATAAGCAATGATACACTTTCCTTGCACATGCTCTACTAGGCAAGTATATTGTACTTTGAGATTTGTCTGGTTCCTACTGAAGGACAATTTGAGGGATTCACTTCTGTAAAAGTTCCAAGATGCATTGTTTCTGGCCATCACCCTAGGCTGCTGCTCCTCCAGCCATAGTGTTCTCTGTGCCCGTGAGCTCTTTAAGAGTCGGATCTAATTAAGTGTAGCTTTGCATGACCCCAACACCCACTATGGGACCTGGTCCCTATGGACAAGGATTCTGAAAAGCAGCTTGGGTTTTCGAACCCCACAGTCAACTCCACAGAGCTCAGCCAGCATTAACTTAGAAACTTGAACAGTTTACTTAATCTTCCTGAGCCTTACTCTTCCCCCTGTGGAAAATGGAAATAATGCCTCCCAGGGTTGTTGAGAAAAAAATTAGGTACATATGTAAAATGCACAGCACAGTGACTACTATATATTAGGCACTCAATAAATGCACTTATTATTAATATTATTTCTAATAATAATATAATACAAAGTCATACTGCTAGTGTACAGATTATAATCTAAAATCATAATCTATAGCTATCTGAGAACAAGAGTAATGACCCACGGAACTCTCTCTTTTTATGTTTAGCTATTAAACATCTCTCAGCCCTTTGAATATGAAGCAGTATGTTTTACTTTGCTGTTCAACATCCATAAATATCTACTGAGTGCTTTTTGTGTGCAGGAACACAACAAACTCAAAAAATGAAGTTTGTCCTAAAGGGAATTACCACCTTAATCATGAGTCAAGAAACAACAGGTACAGAAAAATGTGGGTCACAGTGCTGCTTCTCAGAGCCCATTTGGTCAGAGTGCTTCCAGGATTCAGAGAAGGTTTTGGTTTTAGGAGCAGGGGGCACACAAAAGTCCTCTTTGGGAAATTAACGTTAAAGGAAAGGTAGGATATGAACATATGGAGAAGAGTAGAGACGCATCCTACACCAAGAGCTTGCGAGCAAAGAGTGCTGTGGAAGGAGTGATGGGAATTTAGGTTGAGGATCCTTCCTGTATTTGTCTCCAGCTGCCTTTATGATGGGTACCAAGATAGTGCACAGGGGCCGGAATGCTTAGTGAGTTCTGCAGTTCTGTGAATCAGCACAGTAGTGAGCTGTGTAGGAAGTTCAGCCTGCAAGCCGATTTGCCAGTTTGTGCAGAACCTTCCCCTATCAACAAGTTGGGCCCTTCTTGGCTGGCTGAGAGAAAGAATGGTCTTGGAATTTTGCTTTCTGAAATAGATTTTCTCAATTCAAATTAACTACAATTGTGTTGTTAATCCCCTTGTTATGGGATGAGAATATACTGCATTGAGATTAGAGCCTGAGAGATATGTTGAAGAACCTTGGATTCAACTCAAAGTTCCAAACAATGTGGTCTTCCCAGTAGGCTCTGTGGGCTTCGGCTGGAACAATGGCACCACCCGGTGGCCACAACAGTCTCTATTTGGAAGAATTTCCTTTGGGGCACATTTCACGAACTCCTAAAGCCCCATGTGTGCTGGGGCTGGAGATACAATGCTGAATAAAGCAGGCTAACTCCCTCAGGGGCTTGCAGGCTGATGGGCCTCACCAGTCCAGGTCCTGTGGGCTCAGTCAGCTCTGGTCCCCAGGGATTGCCCAGTGGGGAGCAGAGACAGCCCTTTTTTAACCCAGAGCTGACCTTAAGGTAGATGTCTACAGAGTGGGATTCCATGGATTACAAAATGGCCTCTTGGATCCACCTAACCCCTAATGCCTTAAATCTCTTTCACAGTTGACAAAACCTGTTCCTGTGCTTATTCATTTATTTAGCATGTATTTATCATTTGCCTCTATGACCCAGATACTATGCTTAGGGCTGAAGACAAAAATTTGCCTAAGAATTAGCCCTTACTTTCCATGCATGGCCCAAAGCTAAAGACAAGTCCTTCCATTATCCCCTGCATAGACCATGGAGCCCCTCCAGACTAGCCGGGCCCTGTGGCATCTACCATCTCACGTCCCTCAACACAACAGGTCCCTCAGCCCCAGTCCCCACTGTTCCTTGCACACCCCTCAGTCAGTTCTGCCACCACACTTTTTCTTGGCTGCTCCTCTTAAAAGAAATGCCTTCTCTCTCTCCTCAAGGATGGCTGTTCTGGAGGCCCCAAGCAGGGAGGGCCAAGCCAATGCTGTCAGAGAAAAATGATCTCCAACAGCAGATACTGATGTGAGTGGCTGCAAACTGCAGCAGCAACTACAGGTAGGCAAGCAAGTCTGGACCTGGGGAAAAGAGAGACAGCAGCTCACAGGGCAGAGATGAAGGAAGCTTTTCATGAACAGAAGCTCTTGTTCCACCCAGGAGTTCTAAGAGAGGCTGAAAATAGCAAGAAGATTTAGATCTAGCAGCTCTTAGGCATGAGAAAATATGTTTTACCCTGAAACTCAAGAAAAAGTAGGAAATAGAGGTGAATTCTGGGGATGGTGAGCAGGAACAGGACTCTGTGGAGTAGAGTGAGTGGAAATGTCGCTGAATGTGGTGACCAAAAGATAAAGTGTGGGACTAATTCAAACGTAGACTGTCTGCATCATCAGAAGGAAACTTCTAAATCCTCAGGAAGGCTGCTACACTCACATTGACAAAACCTGAGGGTCAGAGAATTACCTAATAAAAGGAAGGTGTCTGCATGTCTGGGTCAATGCTATGCCATATGGAAAAAGCACCCACAGGCCCAAGAACCTGACCCATGACAGAACAGTGGGCACATAAGCCCCTGAGAAATTAACAATATCTGCTGGAGGTCTGTGAGCTTCCACGAGGCATAGAATGGGATTCTAAGCCAGCGTGAGGTCCTAGCAGCTGGAAATCCCAGCAGATACCTGGTCCATCCATGCACGTCTACATCCTTTCTCACAATAGGACTATTTTCTATCCATTGTCCCTGGGAACAGTGTGGTATTATGGAATAAACATAGGCCTTAGATATAAGAATATGCGAATGCCAATCCCAGTCCCTTCTTCCTCTCTGTGGGACCTTAGCAAATTGCCTTTCTCAGTCCCAATACCGCATCTAGAAGATGTATAGAAGCCATGTTTTTGAGGGTCAGCAACTTTATCAGTGAGGCTGGAGGCTCCTGGTCTGTGGCAAATATCCCCTAGTGAGGGTCCAGTCTGAGGGAGAGAAAGGAAACGGCTTGGGAGGAGTGGCGACATCTCCCCCTGCCCCTCTGCCAAGACAAATCAACTGCACAAGCCCTAAGAATGTGATGGCAAGCATCTGGGATTTACATGTGGTCACAGCTCCACATAGAATCAGAAATACATGTTCTCTGTCCTGTGTAACCCCTTGTCCACCAGTAGGTCTTTATGGGCTTCATTGTCAGAATGTGAATTCCAGCATGGTAGGCTTCACTAAGCTTGTTCTCTGTTGTAGAGTGGATCTGGGTCCTTGTTAGCAATGTAATGGGTGCAGCCTGGATTACATTCTTCCTACTGCTTTCCTAGGAAATGACCCTCCCTCATCCAATCTCAGGGTTGTAGCAGAAGCTCCATTGGATAATGTGACCCATGTGTGGCTATTAGAGACTGGTTCAAGGAAGGGCACTGCATTTAAGACTGAGAAGGGGGTCAGACTCTCTCTGAGTGGCTGGTTTGGTGCAGGCAAATTTGGGAGTGGTAGCAATGACCCTGTTCCACTGTGAGAACTGTGCAGCAAAGATGGTTGGACTACTGTAAGTCAGAGGGGCAGAGAAAACATGGATAAGTGAAAGAAAGTAAAGGCTCACTGGCTTGGGGTGGCACTCCACGCCACCTCTGGTCCTGCTGCCTGGCTTTTTCTCTGGGATTGGATTCAGAAACTCACTCTGAGATTTTTCCCACCAAGTCCTTCTTCACTTGAAGTAGACGGAATGGAGTTGCCAGAGCTGACATCCAGAAAAGGCCCAGCTAATGTGCAAACAAGGTTTCACTTGAAGGAGAGGAAGGACAAGGATGCTGAGTGCATGTGTTCTCAGATGAACAAATTGCCTCCAAGCTCAGCAAGTTGGGAAAACATACTCTAGCATTGTACACCTACAATCCGATGCCTCCCCTGGATGGTAATTTCACTCAGACACAGCAGTAACATTTTAGTATTTAATGGGATGCTTGTAGAGATTTCATTCCACGATGAGAACATTTCCTATTAAAGGAACAAAATGAAAAAAGAGTCATTCATTTCACATGAAAAACAGAGACTTTTTAAAATGGAAACACTGTCAATCAGGCTGAATCACAAGCTGTGATTAAAGCCTCCAGACTTTTTCCCATTTGTGCGAGCACATTTGAATTTTAGCCCAACACTGAGCCTGTATTATAAGAACGTCTAATGTATTCTGCTTTGAACATAATGCCAAACATGTCGTAAAAGTAAAACACTTATCACCTAAGTTCAAGCAAATTTTGGTCTTTTATTCAAGAAGCAGTCACAGCACCTCATTTACAACCTTAACTCAAAAGTAGATCTTCCTAATCAGAGAAATGAAGATAAAGCTGGAGTCTATTATCATCTGTGCTGCTGGTACATGAAGCATGGTTTATGGAAGAGAAGCCAGACATCTCTGGAAAAGTCAAGTTGTTCTCCCCCAGCCCACTACTGCTGTACCCAACAATGGGATTCTTTTTGCTGTTTCCATCCAAACAATGATTGAGCCCCCTGGGCTGTGGGCTGGATAAGTTAGACATGGTTCCTGCCCTCTGGAAATCCACCAGCTCATGCAGGAGGACTCTTCAGTTAAGGGACAATTATTACATGTACCAAGAGGCTGTGGATACAAGGAGGAGAGGCCTGGAGTGGGAGCAGCTGTCAGAAAGGGCTGCTGCATGATGTTGGAGTCAGTCTTCAGAGGAGGGGAAAGGCCTTCCAGGCACAGAGTGCAGCATGATGGGGCAGAGGTATGAAGAGCCTAACACATTAGGGGAACAGTGTGTCCTATGGGCAGCTCTCCCAAGGGCATGCAGTGACCTCTGCCCAGAACCTGAGAGGCCCAGGAACTGAGCAGCATCCCCTCTCAGGGAAGCAGAGGCGTACGTAGGTCTTAAGACAAGATAAGAGAAGCAGAAGATAGCCCCACGTTTCCTTGGTGATCTAAAGTGTTTCCAGAGACAGCTCTGGTCCAGGTAATGGGATAACTAAGGAAGAGACTAGAAACTGTTAACTCGATGCTCAGATGAACTAAAGAAAGTGGCATGACAGGCCTCAGCTCAAAACCTATTGGCCTTGCCCTCTCTGTGGCCAGTGCCCTTGCCAATTCCAATCTGGGGCCTCTGCTGACCTCAGAGACAGCCAGATCACCGCTTCCTAGATTAGGGCTTCTTCCTCAAGTCCATTCTCCTTTTTCCTTTCCCCAATATTCATCAGCAATTCTAATCAATTTTACCTCCAAAATATATCCCAAGCCTGCCCATGCCTGTCCCTCTTTTTTTGTCTCCACCTAGTCCTGGTCACCATCACCTCTTGTCTAGACAACTGCAACAGAGGGACATTTTATTTCATTATAAATCAGATCACAATATTCTACTCCAAACTCTCCAGACTTTCCTTCACACTTGGAATAAAATCCAAGCTCTTTTCCATGGTCAGGGGCCCAGCCCAGCTCTCTGGTCTCACCTTAGACCATCCTGCCCATGCTCAGCAGGTCCAGCTCCATCATCCTCCTTTCTGTATTCATCTTTACCCTGGCTCTTCTCACTGCCTGGAATGTGATTCTCACCTAACTCAAGAAGTCAACACAATGCCTAACTGATTGTCTTCATGGAACTTATTACTATTTTCTTATTGACTAGTCTCCCATCTCTGCTATACCATAGGTCTCATAGGAGGAGGGGCTTCTGAATCTGCATTCCTCAAGACTGTATTCCTAGAACAGGATCCATCCCACAAAGGGTATTCAAGGCACATTTACTGAGTGCACAAGTCCATGCATCTGCCAATATCTTTGAAAGCTTTAGACATTATGGAAGCCATGGCCCCTGGAATTTACCAGGCCAGAGAAGTGTGGCCCTTATGGAGGCTGCTGATGCAAGGAAGGAGTTCCATGTGCCCTGAGGTCTCCCAGACTGGGATCAAAGGCCCACTTTTCTGTGTTGGTAGAGCCTTCGTGACAGAGCATTGATGCCTCCACCACTAGCTGGCCACTCTGCTTCATAACTGTGCTGTATTAGTCAGGGTTCTCAAGAGAAACAGAAGCAATAGGGTATGTGTGTGTGTGTGTGTGTGTGTGTGTGTGTGTGTGTGTGTGTGTGTGTAAGAAAGGGGCGGATGGGAGAAAGAGAGAGATTTATTACAAGGAATTAGTTCACATGATTATGGAGGCTGACAAGTCACAAGGTCTGCAGTCAGCAGGCTTGAGACCCAGGAAAGCCATTGTTTCTGCCCTAAGTAAAGAAGGAACCAATGTCCCAGCTCAGCAGTCAAGCAAGAGGACTTTCCTCTTAATCAGCCTTTTTGTTCTATTCAGGCCTTCAACTGATTGGATGGGGCCCACCACATTCATGAGAGCAATCTGCTTTAATCATTCTGTAAATTTAAATGTTAATCTCACCCAAAAACACCCTCACAGGCACACCGAGAATAATGTTTGACCCAATGTCTGGGCACCACAACCCAGTAAAACTGACACACAAAATTAACAATACACACGCATTTTGTGTCTGTCTCCCCCACTAGGTGTGAGCAACTTGGGAAGAATTGGGTCTTATTTATACTGGATAATCTGCTTTAATACCTAAAACTTGGTAGGTGCTCAACAAATATCTGTAGAATGAATGAATGAATGAATCTCTGATTCCAAGAACTAGCCTCAGGTCTGGTCTAAGTTAAGACTCACAAACTTGGGTCACATTGAAGTGCCTATTGGCAAGGGATGGGAAGAGATCAGGATAATGTCTAAAGGTAGACCACCAGGCTGTCCAGAGGGTACAGAATATGTCATTCAGACCGTGAGAACTCACCCAGGAATCTCTGCACTGGCCAAGGCAGACAGGAGCAGTTTCACAGCACAGACTAGGCACCTAGCTACCGGCTGTAATGGCTTTGTCAGTTACTACCTGTGACCTGGTCAAAGACAATGACTCCTTGTGGCCTTAGTCTCTTCTTCCCTAAAGTGAAGGTGATAGTAATAACTTATTCACAGATTGCTATGAAGATGAAATTAGATAATCCATGAACAGAAAGTATGAGTTCATTTCATGACCCTTGGGGAAATAAAGACTTCTTTATTTCCCAAATCAGGTAAGTTTGGCTTGGATTGCAAGAAAATCAGATAAATAAAATGAAGTTATGTATAAAGAACTCATACAACTAAACAACAACAAAAAACCTGATTTTAAGAAGGGACAAAGGACATGACCAGATGTTTCTCCAAAGAAGATATACAAATAGCCAACAAGCATATAAAATGCTTGTTGCTCAACGTAACTAATCACCCAGGAAACATAAATCAAATCCACAATGTGATATCACCTCACACCCATTAGAATGGCTACTATTAAAAAAAAAGTAATAAGTGTGGGTAAGGATGTAAAGAAACTGGAAACCTTGTGTATTGCTGATGGGAATATAAAATGATGCAGCCATTGTGGAAAACAGTATGGCAGTTCCTCAAAAGCTTGAAAACATAACTACCACATAATCCAGTGATTTCAGTTCTGGGTATATACCCAAGAGAATTGAAAGCAGGGTCTTGAAGAGCAATTTGTATACCCATAGTCATAGAAGTATTATTCATAATCATCACAATGTGGAAGAAGCCCAAGTGTCCATTGACAGAAGAACACATAAATAAAATGTGGTTTTGTATTTAATAGAATGTTATTCATCTTCAAAAAGAAGGGAAATGTTGCTACATGTTACAGCATGGGTGAACTTTGAGGAGCTTATGCTAAGTGAAATAAGCCAATTACAAAAAGACAAATGCTATATGATTCCACTTATGTGAGATATCTAGAGCCATAGAGACTGAAGGTAAAGGGTGTTTGCCAGGGGCTGGGGAGAAGGGGAAATGGGGAGTTGCTGTTTAAACGAGTATAGAGTTTCAGTATTGCAAGATGAAAGAAGCTCTGGAGATTGATTGCACCACTATTTGAATGTAACTGCTGAACTGTACACTTAAAATGGTGAAGATGGTAAATTTTATGTTATGTGTATTCACAGATAAATCCACCTACACAACCAGTGAATCACGTTTATATCGCTCTTTGGGACTTTCCTATCCATCGCCATGTTCATCAACTCAGTTGATTTTCACAGCAACCCCCAGCAATCAGCAGAGTGGGTGGAATCCAGAGGGGCTCAGAAAGATCATGGATCTAGGACTAAGTTCCAGGTCTCCCAACTCCCTTCCTACTGGTCTCCTTCTACTGATCATCTTTCCTCTTGGGGACTATAAACTAGTGTTTACAGGGACTAGCCTGTCAGTGAGCCTTTAACCAGCATGACTAAGTGCTGACCCTACCTTAAAAATCATAAAGGCTCCAAAGAGAAGCCCTGCCCACTGTCCCTGAAGAATTAATACTTAATGAAGCCATGATTGTCCCCCAACAAAGAAAAAGATTGTCACTTTACTGTATACTCATGGCTGGAAATGTACCTTTCATCTGATGGCTCAGGGCAGAGAGCTTCAGAGAGTCCTCCTTGGTCCTTGCATCCAAAGTGGCACATCACATCAAGCCAGGGACATTCAACAACTATAATCCTAACTCAGCCCCATCTCCCCAAGGAGCCCCTGTAGCTGTTAAATCCACTCCAAGAAGCTACAGATCCTACCATGCCAGGGCCATGGGATGAGATCTGCATCTTAGAGGACGAAAGTCACATCTGTTAATATATAGAGAGCACTTAATACATGTAAGGTTCTACTTCTCTGTATTTTACATGTGTCCTGGGGTAAATTGTTAAGAAAGGAGTTATTGATGTCTTCTGGTTATTTTATACAGTTGGGTTGGTTGGTTGTTTTGTTAACTGTTATTGGTTTACTTTTTATTATGGGTTTCATTTGTTCATTTGTTTTTGTTTTAGTATTAGAGAACAGAGCCTAATCGAATGTGGTTTTTCTATGACTACCTGAAGAAAATGTCCAGGACACTCTTAAAATAAAATAATTAAGCATAAATAGGTTGGTTGCCTTTGTTTCTCTGGAAAATGTAATCTTCCCCTCACTGATTCTTTTTGTGATCTGAAAAGTTGCCTCATTTCTTGTGATCATTGGATCCCACCATCAACCACAGCAGAAGGCTTTGGGTAAGAGGGAGAACTTTGCATGTCAGCTATTGTTGATGCAACTCCAAGGAGAAAATTAATTGCTTCCTCTAGGTTTTACCCCACCAATACAACCCAATGCCCATCACTCAACTTTTCATTCACTCACATATCCATTCAATGTGTATTTATTGGGCATCTACTGTGTATGAGGCACTGTGAGGGGCAAAATGGACACAACCTCTGACTTCATACAGCTTACAGTTTAGTGGGAATATTGACATTAAACAGATAAATACGTAGAGCTTTCACTGCAGTTGTGGTATCTGCTAGGAAGTGAGACATGTAGTGTGCTTCTTCATTCATCCACTAGGTATTTACTGAGCACTAAGACAGGCAAAACTCTATTTCAAGTGCTTACTGGAACACGTAACTGGACAAAGCTGGGATGTAAGAGAAGATCCCCTAAGCAACTGTCATTCAAGCTGAGACCTGAGGGATAGAGAGAAGCTGGCCTGGCAAGGAGAAGACTGGAAGTGCATGCCAGTCCAAGGAATGGCGTGACAGGGTCCTAGAGCAGGATATGCCTGTGAGAATGAGAAGGGAGGCCAGTGGGCCTGGAGCACTGGGGCTTGGGCAGGGCAAAGAGAGGTTGAAGCAAGAGGAAGGGCCAGGGCTCTCCAGTTTCCGCAGGCTCCATGCTCCTCTAAGAGTTGTCACTTGATCCTAATGGCAGGGGGAAACTTCTGAGGGGTTTTCAGCTGAGAGATAATGTTCTCATCATTAAACTATAGTATATTTTACTCTCTATTTTGTCAAGATCCTAAAACAGGTCAAATTTCAGTATGTTGTCCATCAAAAATGTCATGCAAGTTCACATTTGAGGCATGACACACCCCTTCCCTTGGTACCTTTCAACATGCTGTTCTCCTGTTTTCTTTTTTGCTCTTTTCTTCCTGATGAACTCCTATTCATACTTCAAAATTCAATCTGGCCTTGGCCTCATCTGTAAAGCAATTTGACTTCCCCAGGCCTTGACTGCAACTTATACTCACCTCCAGATAATAGTAGACTCAGAGTATGGGCCAGGGCCAGGGACAACCACCAAACTATTTGTTACCCACGCATAGAAAATGAGGTAAGCACAGAAAGTGAACGTGTTTAAAAACATTTAGAGCAATTACACAGAACAATTTTATGACTATTGAATCTAATAATTTTGAAATGCAGGGCTTGAATTTTGTTAGCTATTTTAATTTTTTCTAATAATTCATCTTTATTATATTTTATAAAAGTATTGATCCACAAAGAATTGAAATTTATTTTTAAATGAAGGAAGGGGGCCTTCAGCACAGACGGTCTGAGAAGCCCTGTCCAGAGTACCTCATCCTGAAGGCCTTTCTCTGCTTCCTCCTCCCTCTTCGCTATCTGCTGACCACTGCAAGTTCACTACCTCATTTCATCTACTCAACTCCTTACAAGGAAATCAATCCCTAACTTACCTCCTCTCCTCTTATTAGAAGTGAGCTAACTGAAGCTAAAACGTAAAGCAGCTGCCTATATTGGTTTCCTATTGCTGCTATAACAAAGTACCACAGACTTAGTGGCTTAAAAGTATACAGATTCCTTATCTTATAGTTTTGGAGGTCAGAGAGCATAAATGGGTTCACTGGGCTAACATCAAAGTGTCAGTGCAGGGCCACATTCCTTTGAAAGGCTCTAGGAAATAATGCATTTATTGCCTTTTCCAGTTTCTAGAGGCCTCCTGCATCCCTTGGCTTGTGTCCCCTCCCTCCTTCTTCAAAGCCAGTAGTGTAGCATCTTCCAAATCTCTCTCTCTCTCTCCCTCCCTCTCTCTCTCTCAGCCCTGCTTCCACCACCACATCTCTCCTCTTCAACTCTATTCCCTCTTATAAGGATCTTTGTGATTACATTCAGCCTACCTGCAATATACAGGATAATCTCATTTCAAGATTCTTAACCACATCAGCAGAGTCCCTTTTGCCATACATGATAATATATTCAAAGGTTTCAGGAATTAGGATGTGGATATCTTCTGAAGGCCATCATTCTGTCTACTCTATAATGGCCAAGATCACACAACTACTAGGGCAGCTACTTCCAAGATTCAAACCCCCAGGTCTTGGCCTCAGAATCCATGCTTTTGGCTTTGTTTTATCTTTCCCAACTACTCCACTCTACCTTCTAATATATGTGCATATGTTAGTAGAAATACTTTGTCCCAGCTACTCAGGAGGCTGAGGCAGGAGAATAGCTTGAACCCGGGAGGCAGAGGTTGCAGTGAGCTGAGACCACACCATTGCACTGCAGCCTGGGCCACAGAGTAAAACTCCGTCTCAAAAAAGAAAGAAAGAAAGAAGGAAGGAAGGAAGGAAGGAAGGAAGGAAGGAAGGAAGGAAGGAAGGAAGGAAGGAAAGAAAGAAAGAAAGAAGAAAGAAAGAAAGAAAGAAAGAAAGAAAGAAAGAAAGAAAGAAAGAAAGAAAGAAAGAAAGAAAGAAAGAAAGAAACACTTTGTTTGAAAGCATTAGGAAATAGACACAGAGCTATGGTGTGTGGGTAGAAAGAGAATTTATGCCACTGCATGAGACATCTGAGGCCCCTGCAAGCAGTCATGCAAACGTGAGAGAGCTGCCGCAGGTAAGCTCCAGCTCAAAGACAGAGCGCCAGGAATGCAACAGCTTCTGTGGTCCCAGGAGGACCTTTGATAAGTCAGCTGGAGAGCACGTGCATACATCTCAAGAAAGACAAAATTTTCCCCAGCAAGGACAATGTTCCTTGGCAGTGTGGACTCTTTATTCTCCAGCAGATAGATAAATAGATAGGTGATTCTTATTAGCAAGAAGAATAACCTGCACAGAGTTTCTCCAGGAAGACATTAAGATAATTCAGCAGCAAAAATCCACTGTCAGCTTCAGTCAATTATTCATGGAAAACTTGTATAAATCAAACAGAATCCTTCAAGAACTTGTTCTGTGTTGTGTTGGCTGGTGCAAATGCTGGCATCATCCACTGTGTGGGGTTTGTTAAATCACAGTATTTCCCTAATCCTATTGATTCCAGCTTGTCCTCCTTGGGGGCCACAAGACCATCAGCTCGTCCTAAAGGCTGTGCTTGCCTCCCAGGGAAGTACGCTAGTAGAGGAAAGCAGAGACATCCTGAAGCACAGACCTGCTGTTTCCTCTTTGCTCTGCCCAGGGGCAAGGGCTGAGGAGCTGCCCAGCCTTGACAAGTGAGAGCTGGGGATGTTGGGGCCTCAGCAGGAGTGGGCAAGTGGCACTTCCTGTCCATGAATGTGATACAAGGAGCTGAGGGACCGTGCCAGAGTCCTCAAAGAACTGCTGGCCCAGAACCAGTCTTGGAGCCCACAACCAGGGACCCACCCCAACAAAGCCAGGCAAGGTCAGGATCAAGATGCAAAGGCAGATGGGGCCAAGTAACGACCTGCTGGACAGGGGAGAGGGAGGCATCCTGATGACTTGAGAAGCTCTTCAGAAGCCCCAGGCGTGGGCAATACAAGAGAATTTGAGGGAGCTTCAGGAAGCAATATTAGTGCCATCTACTGTGCCCCCTTTAGCCCTCTACTCACCTCTGTCTAAGCATATGCCATGCCGTTTATATTAATGTTTTTACTTACCTGGAGGACTGGTATTTATGGATGTTCAGATTGTACACTGTACAAGGTCACCACACCTAAAGAATGCCACTGGGCTCTCAGATACTCACTTATCTGAGAGAACACTGGAGAGTGTGTGGACTCCCAGCTAGGTGTGTCCTGGGGCAGTAGCAATGCGCTGCCACCAACAAACCCACCAGGCACAGCCAGCCCGGGCACAGTGTGCTCACTCAGGAGAGAAAGCCTCTAGGCTGTCACTGATTCATCTGTGTGTGCAGCTGTGCCTTCTCCCAATGTCACTTCTCTTGCCCATCATTGCTCCAGGAGATGCAATTCCACTCCCAGAACCCTGCCTCTGACTCTGATCCTGACTCAGTTGCCTGAGCCAAGGGCTGAGGAACAGGCAGGGATATTGGACTGTGCTCTTCAGCATCCAAATGTGCTGCCTGCCAGGACATGTGCTGCCTGCCAGGGCTCTGGAAAGCTCCCCCAGAGTGAGTCATGGTTTCTGGGCACCATTGTTCAGGTGGGACCATGTACTAACATTGATTTATTTTTTACTAGTGAAAGAAGCGCTTTTTAAATTTTTCAGAAAGGTGCCTCATGTTCTGGCTTGACCCTGCTTATCTCCCCCTCCCCATTTCAACTCACTCATTAAGCATTTGGATTAGGCACTTATTTATGCCTCCAGCAGCCAGCAGGTGATTTGTTCCAAGGCTAAGTGATGGGGAGGAGAAAGAAAAGAGGAAAGATGGGAAGAAAGGAGGGAGGGAAAGAGGAAAAGATCTGTAAGTATTTGGATGGATGGATGATGGATGGACGGATGGATGGATGGATGGGTGTCTTATACCCGTTAAACACAGAAATTCATCTTGTTCTCCTGTGGTCCTTCTGTTTTGACTATTTCAGTTACCCCCAATACTGTTTCCTTCTCTCCTGTCTCTCCCACATGCTCTGGTTTATCCATGAGGCTATCCACATCTTCTAGACTGAATCATTTTTGGGGCTCACATGTTGCCTTTCCATAGCTGCAGACTGCATCCCTACCCCTCTCTCCCACCCTTGCTGAAGCAGCCCACCCCTGGGAGCCAGGCTCCTGGCCAGAAGCATCCAATGATGCTGCTGTTCACAGCAATTCACAGCATTCATGCCCAGGAAGTGAGGGTGTCTTCCTCTCCCCTCTCTCTGGGCAGGAAGGTACCCCAGGAGGATCTGGCTGCCACTGCCTCCTTCCTGGAAGATGGAACTCCCTCTTCTATCTAACACAGTTTCCCCAAGCCCTACCTGCAGATTCAGCTTTTATCCTTGGGGAGATTTTTTTCCTGCACCTTCTCAATGCTTAGTGCTGTGAAGTTTCTTATATGGCCTGTTTCAGGGAACATTAAGCATTCTCAAGGCTCCAAGATGTTGACTGCAAAATGAATTTTCTTGGGGGTTGGGGGGCAGGGCAGGGGCTCTCAATAGGGACTCAAAAGGGTGAAGGTGGTGAAGGTATTTTTTTGAGCACCTGATCTCTGCTGGGCATTGTACTGTGCCCTGGGGAGCAGCAGTGAATAAGAGAGACCCCCATTTTCATGGAACATCCAGTCTAGTAGGAGAAAAGAGATAGTAAGTGAATCAATGATGGTACATGCTCCATCACGTGGGATAGGGGATGGACATGGCTCAGGGATGGTGAGTGGGAGGGGGACAGGTTGGCAGTGAGGCTCTTAAACCCAGGTGGTCTCTACAGAAAAGACTTTAGACTTATGACCTGAGCAATAAGCAGGAGCCACCGAGACACATGCAAGGGACAGGCAAGGGGAGAATGGGCAAGCCTGAAGAGTCGGGGGACAGACAGTGGCCAGGGTGGCTGGAGCGCATGAACGAGGAGGAGAGTGGGCAGAGCTGAGCTCAGGAAGGTGGACAGGAACCTTCCCAAACACAGTTACTGATACTTATATTAATGGCTACCCCATAGTGAGAGTGTGTTGTATGCCCAACACTGTGTTAAGTTCTTCACCTAAGTTATGTCATTAATCATTACAACAGCAATCTCTGAGATGGAGATTATTAGCCCACTTAACAGATACAAATGATAATGGCATGTACTGAGTATCTATTAGGGGCCATCCATCAGGATGTATGCTGTATATGCAGTGTCTCATTGATTCCTCATAACAGCTCCATAGAAGTGCAAGTATTCTTATTTCTCCATTGTACAGGTGAGAAAACAGAGATTCGGAGCATTAAAATGACTCGTTCAAGGTCCCACCATTGCAAGTCAGATCAAACTGTGGATGAATGGATCCAACCCTTGTGTCTGTTTGCCCTTCAGGTCTGTCTTGATGTTGACTTTGGGGAATGAGGGGCACAATTTCTGCCAGAGAGAACTGCTGGGGACATGTAAGGATTTGTCCTTTTATCTGGGCTCTTCCCAGAGCCCTGGGAGGGAAGCTGAAGGGAGGCCCAGAGGAGCTGGTGGGGGTGGGTGCATAGCACCCCTCCCAGCAGGCTGTGGGAGCTGGCCTCCCCAAAAGTGGGCTTGGATCATGCTCCTTCTCCAGAGACTCAACCCATTCCACCACTGCCTTTAAAACTGTTGCCACATTTGAGAAATATTCCACCTCTAAAGCCTACCTCCTGCACAGCACCATTTTCATCCTTCTTTGTCACAGCCCAGACCAACCCCAATCGACTTTAAAGTGATTTGCCTCCCAGAATTCTCCCAGTACTCCCCAACAGCATTTGGGCTAGTGTTCGGGCCAACAGACCATTTGGAATGTTTTTATAACATAAAAATCCAATCCTTTATAGCAAGCAATCAGCAGTCTTAAAATAATTGCCCATAACTAAAGACAAACCAAAGTAACAGCAAATGAAATCTGATTAATGGGTAATAAAAACTGATGTTCTCTAAAAAATTCCTCAGAATAAATTTCACTAGAATAATCTCTCCATGAAGATATTTCTTTAGGGGCTTAAGATAAATAGACTTCTGTTTTTCAAGGTACCTCATGACTAAATTACATAGCACATGGGGGAGGTTCTGGTTATTTTCCTAAGTAAAGAACTTTCTGTGTGCTTCTATTTTCCCTCAAGGCCATCACAGAAATAGAATAAAATTTCGTTTTCCCCCTACAATTATGTATCTGCATTATTTTTGTAGTAGGCTTACTAAGAACAAGCTCCCCAAACACAATTCTGCAACTGAGGCACACAGGGTTGAAATCAAGAGACAAATCCTCTTTGCTTATTTCTGGGCTGTATTTCAAAAGGTCAGTGTTAATGACAATTGAGAAAACTCAACTTCTCCTCAGAGGCCAAGGTTTTTAAGATGCCTCAGGTGGCAATTTGGAACAGAGCCTAACCTGTTGCAGGAGTGAAATGGGGGACTCAGGAGACCCAATTCTCACCTCTGCCCTGGCCCCCACTGGTTTCATGCCTTTAGCTCATGAAATCATTAAACATATAAGGTAGGACCTTAGAAATAGAGAAACTGAAAAGGAGACTTGCTGAGCTAATGAGAAGAGGAGGGGTGGAGGGTGATTAAAGGACTATTCCAAGGTGAGAAGAACGAATGGCGTTAGTCAGGTAGAGGGAACAAAATAAGCAAACTCCACGAGAGGAAAACATCCAGCTTCAGTGAGTGACCCCACACTAGAAGAGAGACCAGAAGGAAGGAGACAGAGCTGGGCAGAGATGCAGGTGGTTTTGGAAGATGGAACAAAAATCCTTTTCTGGATGAGAATCCTCTTCTGAGCATCAGTGGGAGGCCATGTCAACCTCCAGTGGAAAAAGGAGAGGTGCTGGCATAGGAGGTTGAAGAGAGGGGAGAGAGTGTAAGAGTTTTTGAGAGGACTGGGGGACACCACTGCCCAGGGCACATGTTCTTTCCAGGTAGAGTTGAGCACCTGACTCAGGTATCAGACCATGAGTTTCTGGTGACTCAAACAGCAACATTGTATAATTGTGCCCAGCAGTGTTTAGCAGGTAGCCCAGTAAGAGTAGAGATGGTGGAGGGCCAGGCTGCCCCCATGTGGAAGTATAGATAGCACTGAAGGGCAGATTAGGTAAAGGGAGTGAAGCTGTTGGCAAGAGAGAGACTGAGATGACAGACCCCAAGGTCAGGACTAGATTGAGAGGGAAGTAAGCAAATACAAAGACAATCGACGGATTAAGGAATTAGAAATCTCAATGTAGACAAAGAGCAGATGCTGTGAGATGAACCCAGGGAGAGTGACAGAAAAATGCAAGGTGTGGTCAAAGTATTACTGTCGTTTGAGATCCCAGAGTGGAGGAGACCCAAGTGATCACAAGGGTATGACCATGGGAATAGACAGCTGAAGTGGAGAGGAGTTGAAGGCTTCCTGAGTTAAGGAGATCAGGATTCTGAGGGGCCAGAGCATGGAACTGACCACCACAAAGATGCTGAAGTCCCTAATAATGGCAGCAGGACTCAGCATGGGGGAGAAAACTCTGCCCAATGCATTGGTGGAGTCTTGGGACAATCTACTTTGAGGAACTGGGACCCACCCTTTCCCCACCCCCAGTTCAAAGAAGCATTTTTCTAACAGGACTTTCTCCCTTTGATCAACAAGCTATATCATAAATTATCTGAAGCCTGAGGAACTTAAATTAAAAACAAGAGGACACAATTAGATAAAGGTGGAAGCTAGACTTTGAAAGTAAGTGCTGTATTTGAAATGTTATATCCCAAATATCTCTTTAAACCCACCAGCCTCTCTTGCTCTGAATGTCCCTTAGTCTCTGATACAAGTAACCTCATCTCCTGCTCCTCCTATGGCTTCCTAGTGATCCCACACCCCCATCCGAAGACTCTATTTCCACACCTGAGTCCCCGCAGAGCTACAGTGCAAAATAGGTCATGTCTTACCACACTGGTGGCTGCCAAACACTTCCCCAGTACCCTGTGACATCCTATAGAGAATGTACTCATATAACATATGAATATGGAATTTCTTGGTTGAAAAGGGATGGGAACTCTAGAGAGCTCTGCCTATTTAGCCTCCCTCTCACTTGGCCATCTACATCCCCATGGGCCTGTATGTTTATTTCTCTGTTCACTTACATGAAACAAAAGACTTATAAGAAGAATGGCAATAAGGTTTGACACAAAACAGTAGAGCAGGCATCATTCTATTAAGGGTACAGTATGGTACAGTCATTACAAATGGGGGTTCAAAATATAGGTGCTGGGTTTGAAATCCGGCTCCTTCACCTACTGTGTGATCCTGACAAGTTACTTATCCTTAGTTCCCCATTTTCTGCTGTAGTTAAGTGAGTATAATAAAAGTATTTAATAACTGTTAATAATTTACACCTATCAACCCTTGCTGGATACATGATTTCATTATGTGGATGTTATGAATGAGCTGTGCAACTGTTGGTGATGGATTAACACAAAAAAACAAGGAGCAAGTGACCAAAGTTAGCCCAGTCCCTGAGTCTCAAAATGTATATCTGGAAAACATGGGCTAAGCAGGCCTCGCTTGCCACTTGTCTTAGTTTATATTGCCCCAGAAGCAGACTTTGAGCCAAGTCTCTGAGGACAAGCCACCTATAGGGAGGTGCAAGGAACAGGGGTAGGAAGGAGGGCAAGTGGTATGGGAGGGGAAGGCAACCATTATTCAGCCAGCTACAACAGTGGAAGATTAAAGCTTAATCCCCTGGGGGCGCTCTGGTAAATAGCACAAAATAGGGTTCAGAATTATTTTGGCCAGGGAGCTGAATATTCTTGACCAACACTCATAAACCACTTGTCAGTGGTTAAGCGTGATTAATTCATAGGCACTTCCTGCTGGCTGTTTACAGGGACAAAGGGGTTTTCTGTACTCTGAAGGCAAACCACAACAAAGATGAAAGTATCAGTTACCAGACATCAGGTTGGCACAGGTGGAAATGGTGAAAATACCTGAGGAGCTATGGGCAGAACACACACTGCAGCTACACTAGTCATATTTGTATAGGTTTCCCCAATGGGATTACAATGATGAGGCAATTGTCATAAGGTGCAAATGTTGTTCTTAGCTATCAGTTCCCACCCTGCCCTTCCACTTCCCTTAAGACCTGTGTGATTTAATGCAGTCAATTTTCTCATGATAGCACTTGATCTGCCCCAGGTATGTGTACTGCTAAGAATGCTTGGCATGAACATGCCAGGGGTTTCCATCAGTGAATGGGAAGGTTTATGCAAATAACACTGCACAGCACTGAGACATTGATGCTGAACCTTGACTTTTCCCTGTCTTTTGCTTTACAATGCAAGTTGCAGATGTCGGGAAAGGAGCTGAGCAGGAAGAGAAAGGGAGCCAGCACTGTGCTGGGGTCTTTACGCCTCACCGAATCCACAACCAGTCCTGCAGCAGTAGAGAGTGAGTCTTCTTCCCCCTGCCTTCACCAGCCCTGGGAGACAGCCATCACATCCTTCTGTGCCAACCTGAAGGGTGGCAATGAATTCATTTCAGTGTTATTTTTACTTGAGTTGGCTTGCTTACAAATGACGTTGAACTGCTTTTCATGTTTATTGTTCTCCAGCCTTTTAACTTCTACATCATCTCTTTCTTCGGCACGCACATACCACTCCTCGCCTGTTTATAACATTGTTCCCCGGGGAAAGTCAATTTCTTGTCCAAGATGCAGTTTTGAGGAACAAGCTGTGTTCTCAGCCTGCTTGTGTTCACAACAGAACCAGGTGCAAGGGGTGGAAAAGAGGGGTCGAGACAGCAGTTTCTCCAGAGCCTTTGGGGTTCATGTCATCTTCCACCTGACTCTGAACTTGAAGAAGATAGAAGCCTGGATTATTCTCCATTTATAGTCACCCTCCATCCATTCTCTGCTCTGCATTGCACCTAGAGGCTGACCTCCAGGGACCACATCACAGTTCCCTTGCTTTCCAGCTTCCAGTTGGGTCCGGCCAGTGATAGGCATCATAATGAGAGAAAACAAGGGGACAGAGTTGAGAAAATTTTTTATCCTACACTAGTGTTAGTTTCCTAGAGCTGCCATAGTAAATTACCACAGACTTGGATGGCTTAAAACAACAGAAATTTATTCTATCACCGTTCTGGAAGACAGAGGTTTGAAATCAAAGTGTCAGCAGGGTTGGTTCCTGCTGGTGACTCTGAGGGAGCACCTGCTCCATGCCTCTCTCCTGGCTTCTGGCAGCTGCTGCCATCCACAGTGTTCCTTGGCTTGTAGGTGCATCACTCCAACCTCTGCCTCCATCTCCACATGGTGTTCTCCTCTCTGGGTCTGAGTCTGTCTCTTCTCCTATTATAAGGACACCAATCATATTGGATTAAAGACCACCCTAATCTAGTATGGTCTCATCTTAATTATTATGTCCTGATTTCATCACAAGGACTCTATTTCAAAAGAAAAAAAAAGCCACATTCACAGATACCAAAGGTTAGGACTTCAATATATCTTTGGAGCGACACAGTTCAACCCATAACACACCCCTGCCTGGCCACTGCTGTGGCTCTGGATGGCTCCTCTGAGCCACTACACCTATCCAGTGGCCTGTCTTTCACATCCAATATACTATTTCCTCTCCCAACCCTTTCAGGGCATGCTGCTAGTGTCCAGGAGCCTCACAATCTTTTGTCCTTGCCCTGCCCACACCGCCTTTACTCACAATCCCTTCACTGAACCCTCCTGAGCAGCCCTCTAAGTGCTCAACTCTTTCCTGGCCAATAAACTGGCCCATGGCCAAATTGTGAAGTCAGAAAAATGCAAGAGTATTACAAAAAACATTTGTGGAGTTTGACCTGTGTCTTTGGTGTGTGACAGGCACAGAGATGGCTGCACCACCTAGGTGTAAAGGAATGCATGGGAAGCTGGCTGAAACAACCTAGGAGCAAACTGCCTTCCACCCACAGCTGGACAGAGGTGCATCCTGTGTTTTAGCCCCAGGGCTGCATTATGGAAGCCAGATGGGTCATTTTGAAAAGACCAAAACTGCCTTCTCTCTCAGGACAAGGCAACCCCAGCAGGTAAGAACTTTCCTACCCCCTTCTTTCATTCTACTCAGGAGGAGCAAGAGGCAGTGTGGGGAAGAGGGTGGAGAAGGCTAGAAGAGCAATTCAGAGAAAAACAGAGGCTGACTGTCAATGCTCACTGCATCCTCAGTGCCCCCACCCAGCAAGGTTTCACATCCAGAAGTAGACTCACAGCTGGGGAAGTTGAAACTTGAAAACAATTCTGAATTTTTGTTACTGCTCAGAAGTGAACATTGAAACTATGAAGATGAGACTGTTCTTGTGATTGAAAGTGAACAAAGAATGTTTTTACCTAAGATTGACAAGAAAAGTTATGGTACTGTGTAGCAATTTCATTTTGGATGCAGGGAAGAGTGGTGTCCACAGACCAGGTCTGATGGGATAGTGGTGCAAAAGAATAAATACACATAAATACTTGTCTCCTGCTAGCACCTTGTCAGGTTCCACTCATTCTATGTGCTTGATAAAAGGAGCTAGAGCTAGATATATGAATATAAATATAGATCCAATAAACATCAGAAACTAGTGTAAATAAAGTAGAAAGATGAATCAAGAGACAGCATACATAAATATGGGGTTCACAGGGTCAGACAAGGGTGAAAGGCTGGACTGCAAATATGACTCTGAGATTCCTGGGAGCCAAAAGAAGACAATCAATTATGAATTTGAATCTGTCCATGGAAAATCAAGCATAGCAGTTTCTTGGATGAAACAAAGCCTTTCTTGTATTCAAGCCTTCAAATTTTCATGTGGCTCTTCAAACAGGGTCCACTGATTTAGTGTCAATATCCTCACCAACAAGCTATGATAAATACTGTAGAGGAGTTTCACTGATCAGCTCCCTACATCATCTATCAAAAGAAGCTGAGAACAGGGCAGAAAATGCACACTTACAGAAAGTTAACACAATCTGATATAAGTAGGTCACTCCTCTTGGTCTGGCTTGATGGGTTTTTACTGTTTTCATCGGAGCAGCCATTAGAAGGGTGCACACCTGATGAATTTCACAAATCAGGAGATGGGGGCAGCATGGGCAGATGGAAGGGCCCTGTGGAAAGCAAAGAGGTCACTATTTTTCATCATCCACATTCCTCAGGAAAGAAAACTCATCCATCACTGGCAGCAAACACTGGCATAAAAAGTCTAACCTGCTCAGGTGATTGAGACAACCTCAGGCTTTCCACGGTATCCAGAGGGCACCATATATATGAAATATATTTTCTTTTTGAGGAAGATTTAATTTTTTTCTAGGTTTTGATTCACAAAACACAATTAGGAGCTTATTTGTGTTAATTCCAACTACAACTGAACACTGAAGCTGAATGGTGTCAGAAAATGAAATGATCTTCCATCAAGATTAAATATGTGTGTCCTGAAAGACTGTTTTTCAAAAGTAGACTTATTCTAACAAGAAATTGATTTGGATGTACAAGTATACTATTATTCAAATAACTTTCAAACATAACAGGGCTTAGAGAAAAATGCCATTTTCTACCTCAACAGAGCATGTAATGGTTTGTCACTGCACGTAAAGTTTAATTTGCACAAAAACTCAATATGTCTTCCTGAAGCCCTCCCTCTCTGAGACCCAGGCGGGGCTATCTGGACCTCCTTTCTCACTTCTGTCGGCCTGTGAAGTTTTAGGAATGAATGAATACGACACAGTCTATTACCAGCTGCACTGTTTCCAACTCCACTTAAACTACAAGGAAGATTAAAGACGGTATTTGGAAGGAAATTCCCAAACCACATGGGCATCACCACAGTTAGGAACTAAGTCAGTGCTAGCCAGAGAGAGAGAGGAGCACCTGGGGCAGGTGGCCATGAGGACATCCAGACTGGGAGACCAACATGTGCCAACGCCAGAGGTTGCAGAGCCGTGAGAGCAGGTGCATGTTAGGGAGAGGATCCTGGAAGCACCCCAGGGCCAGGAAATGGGGCTGGTGCCAGGGGCAGGGGTCAGATCTCAAAGGTCTCTCCTCACGTGTCCTGGAAAGAAGTTTGGGTTTTCTTTCTCCTGAAGGTGATGGAAGACACACCAGTGAAGGATTTTGAGCAGGGCAGTGACACTGACCATCAGAAAGCCTGGAAGAGCATATCCCCAGACAGAAGCATGGATCTAAGATACCAACAGCATCCCACACTCCGTTTGACTTTTGTTCACATACATTTCAGGTGTGTGACTTCCTCCATTCACGGATTGTCAGCTTCCAGAGGGCAGGAGCATGTGTTCTTCTGAGTTCCCAGAGGTCCCTGACCTCACAGCTCATGTGTCCTTGGTATAGAGTCCACCTGCTTCTTTACACACATGGCCTTGGGTGACACAATAGCCTTGCTCTGGCATTAGACTGGTCAGTTTCCTTCTCTGATTTCACTAACCAGGAACTTTCTCAAAGATCCAGTGCCTTTGCTGTAATTAGGAAAAGGCCTCCCTCCCTCCGGTGCCCCTTCTCCAAATGCACATAGCCAGGGTGTGTGGCTGGGCAACAGAACACGGGCTGGTTCTCAGGCCCACTAAATCCTTCAGGCAGGCACTCTTGGACAGAGTGTAGCCTGCACAGTCATACCTGGCAGCCCTGTCTCTCCAGGTCAGGGACAGGAAGCACACAAATATTTGAAAACGACTGTTCGAAATCCTTCAAGCCAATACACATGGGGTGCTCTTGAAAAAAATCTGTGTGCTTTATTTGTGGTTTGGATATGTGCTTTTATACGTGCATTTTTTAAAAAAGCAGGAAGTATACAGAGCAAACTGTCATGAGAGGTTATCTTAGAGAAGCAAGACTGGAGGGAAGGAAGGTTGATTTTATTTGTGGCTGTTTTGTATAAGGAGCATGTATAACTTTTATAATGCAATTTTTCAAGTTAAAAAAAATTCCCTCAAGGCTCAGTTCAGGCCCTGATCCTGCAGTCTTAAGACTCCAAGCCTGTTGTCTTTCCTATCTTATAACACCTAATGGGCAGAGCAGAGACCCCCAAGTCAAGTCCATTGCCATGTGTTTTCTGATGCTTTCCCTTCATCTGTGCATAGACAGAAGGGTGAATGAGATGTTCCAGCCCAGCTCAGAATCACAACCCCGTGCCTGAGGATTTTAGTGTTAAATGCCCCTAATTATAAAGAGAGTACCAAATGCTTATTTTTTTATATATACTTTAAGTTTTAGGGAACATGTGCACAATGTGCAGGTTAGTTACATATGTATACATGTGCCATATTGGTGTGCTGCACCCATTAACTCGTCATTTAACATTAGGTATATCTCCTAATGCTATCCCTCCCCCCTCCCCCCACCCCATAACAGGCCCCGGTGAAACAACCAAGTGGTCCTATAAGCCTGCCCCACTACTCCCCTCTCCTTATACACAGACTAGAAAGTCAAAGGAGGTCATTAATGAGAGAAAGAGTCCCTGGGGGAGATGGCTATGAAAGAAGTGGGGAGATGAGTGCTCCTGTCCAACCTAGGCCGGGTGAGAAGGGCTCTTAGGACAACACTCAGCGAGATGCAGGATGCTGCAGAAAGGGAGCTTGACCATCCTCCCCAGCCAGATGCTTGCCGAGCTGCAGAAATCCCTGTCCTGTCCTAGGGCTGCCCCAGTAAAGAATGTGGGGACACTCTTCTTGGGAGACTTGGACAAGAGTTGCCTGTACTTTAGGGGAGAGAAGGCATAGTCTCCTGGATCTCAGCTGGAGAATTCTGAGGGTGGGAGGCTGAGCAGAGTAGCCCATGAGGAAAGAGAGCCATAGAATTTGGAGGAGCAAGGGTGGACCTCCCATAAGCCAAGGAGCCCCAGCAGGAAGGGACTGTGTTGTGGGCAGGAGCTGGGGACAGGAGCCACAAGAGGCCAGGCAGGGAGTGCCTCACCAGGAGGCCAGGGATCTGGGTGGTAAGGCACCCTCCTGAGAGGCTTCTGAAAAACCCACACATGTAACTGCAAGACAGCAAGCACATTCCTCCCTGGCACTAAAAACCATCCGTAGCCAGCCCCTGTGAGCAAAGAAGGAACCATAACAGCGGAGCCCATTAAGTACAGGGGCTTTGACCCCTTTCTTCAAGTTCTCCCTCCTCTTGCCCACCCCCCAAAAATCCTAATGACGAAGAGAGAATGAAAGAAGTCCTGAGTCACACACAGGCCAGGCTGAGCTGGGGAGAGGGAGAAGCTTTAGAGGGGAGAGAGGGAGGCTGAAGTTGCAATTTGACCCCAAGGACCATTTGCTGCCTGAACATGATTCCCAGCTGTCAAAATGACCATCATTGTAGCTGACAGGACCACGTTACAAGATCTGCCTGAACTGTTGTCAAGGGGTAGGAAAAGGAAAAACAACAGAGCATGTTTGAAGCCTGTGATTGGAGAAAAATTCTTGTTTTGTGCTGTCAGTTGTAGGTAAGTATGTGTATCATCAAGAAGATATAATCTCTTCATAGGAAAGGGTTATGTAGCCTATGTCCCTGGCATCAACCTGTCCAGCACTGGGAGCCCATGCAACACCTAATAGATCTGTACTGATCCATGAATTGTGGTCTGATTCAGCAAAACTCACAACCCAGACAGCCCCCTCCATTTGGAAACTGTATTAGTCTGTTTTCACACTGCTGACAAAGACATATCCAAGACTCGGGGGCGGGGAAAAAGAGGTTTAATTGGACTTACAGTTTCACATGGCTGGGGAGGCCTCAGAATCATGGCAGGAGGTAAAAGGCACTTCTTACATGGCAACAGCAAGAGAAAATGAGGAAGAAGCAAAAGCAAAAACCCCTGATAACCTCATCAGATCTCATGAGACTTATGCACTATCATGAGAATAGCACGGGAAAGATCAGTCCCCATGATTCAATTACCTCCCCTTGGGCCCCTCCCACAACACGTGGGAATTCTGGGAGATACAATTCAAGTTGAGATTTGGGTGGGGGCACAGCAAAACTTTATCAGAAACTGACCTCATTTAAAAAATAGAAGCCTCAAACACAAAGCAGGTGTTTTAGGCAAATGTTCACCAACCTGCCTGAAATTCAGAATCCTTTATAAAAATGCTTAGACCAAACTTTAGCCTCTCACTATGAAATGACCATTTTTATCTCTAATAATGCTCCTTGCATGATTTTAATACAGCCTATCAGTTATAAACTGGTATAACACCAATTTTCTTAGGCTTAGTATTTGCATGGTATATATTTTTCTTCCTATTCTTTCAATCTGTTGTGTCTCTGTATATCTTTTAAACAGCATAGGGATGGGTCTTGCTTTTTTATACAATCTGTCAATTGCTGCCTTTTAAACAACATGTTTAGTTTGTTTATATTTAATGTAATTCTTATTTTCTACTTATTTTTTCTGTTCTTTCTTCCTGTATTACTGACTTTACTGGGGTTAATTAAGCTTTTTTTAGTTTAACATTCTGTCTTCTCTATTGGCTTGTTAGCTATAACTGCTTTTATTATGTCTTCTGTTTGCCTACTACATTAAAATATGCATTTTTGTCATAGTCTGCCTGGAATAGATATTATACCACTTCATTATAATGAAGAAACTTACAAAGTATAATTCTGTTTATACTATCTCCTTCCCTTTGTATTATTGTTGTATATTTTACTTCTACATATATTTTAAATGCCACAATCCACTGTTAGCATTTTTGCTTTCAACAGTCCATTGAATTTAAGGAACATAGAAAATAAAGAAAAATAGTATTCTCTATTTACTATTTCCATTGATCTTCTTTCCTCCCTGTAGAACTAGATTTCAATCTGGTATCATTTCCCTTCCACCTAAGAAACTTTTTTAGCACATCTTGAGTTCAGATCTGCTAGCAACGAATTCTCTCAGCTTTTATCTATCTGAAAATGTTTTATTGTACCTTTTTTTCTATTAATGTTTTCTCATTAAAGCTCTCAAACATGCAGGAAAGTTGAAATAATATTACCCTGCGTATTTACTACCTAGAATTCAATGATTGGCATTTGATTATAATTGTTTTATTACATATCTATCATCTATCCATCTCTCTACCCATCAATTCATCTTATTTTTACATAAGTTTCAGATATAAGTACATTTTACCATAAATGCTTTAGCATGTGTATCATAACTATAGTTAGTATTTACATTTTTTTAATTTTGAGGTGAAATTTACATACAACAAAATGCACAAATCTTAAGTGTATCAATTGATCTGGCATATGTGTACACATGAGCAACCCAAACCTCTTTCAAAATACAGAACATTACTTCACTCCAAAAAATTCCCTCATGTCACTTCCCAGAAAAATCTCTGCCTTGCTCCTCAAGGCAACAACTGTTCTTTTTTTCCTCCATAGATTATTTTTAGTACTTTAGTAATTCATATAAATGAAATTACATAGTATGTGGTCTTTTTTGAGGTTTACAATGGATAAATCTGAGGATTCATTTATATCATTGTATCAGTGGTTCACTCACATTTCTGAATAGTATTTAACTGTTTCTCTATGTGTTTGCTGTTTGTCTCCTCTGTTTATTGTTCCTCTGCTCCGCCTTTCCTGCTTTTGTTTTGGATTAATTAAATAATTTTTAGAATTCTTCTCTAGCTTTTTGACTATGTCTGTTTGCATTGTAGTTTTTATGATTGCTATAGGAAGTATAATATACATCCTTAATTTTTCACAGTCTATTTAGAGATAATATTGTACCATTTTATGTTAAATATAGAAATCTTGCAATAATATAGATGCATTTCTCTACTGTGGTAGGCAGAATTTTAAAGATGGCTCTAAGACCCCTATCCCCTAGTTATTCAGTCAAATACTAATCTAGGGACTGCTGGGAAGGGATTTTACAGATATAATTAAAGAGCAAAGCCAGTTCATATTAAGATACAGAGATTACCCAGGTGGGCTTGAACCATAAGGTAAGTCTTTTAAAAGCAGAGAATGTTCTCTGGCTGGCAGCAAAAGAGAAAGTCAGAGATTTGAAGTACAAGAGGAATCTGAAGTTCCAGTGCTGGTTTAAGATGGAGGGGGCCATATGCCAAGAAACTTGGGAAGCTTTTAGAAATTGAGAGCAGCCCTTGGCTGACAGCCAACAAATAAACAGGCTACAACAATAAGGAATTGAATTTCACAAACAAACTGAATGAGCTTGGAAGTAGATTCTTCTCTAAAGCCTCCAAATAAAAGCTCCACCTAGCCAACACCTTGATTTTGGCCTTCAGCTGAACCATGTTGAACTTCCAACCTACTAAACTGTGAGCGAATAGATTTATGATGTTTTAAGCCACCACATTTGTAGTAATTTGTTAAGCGGAAATAGAAAATTAACACACCCATCCCCCATTCTTTATCTTATGACTTTTACACATTATTTACACTGACATATGTTTAAAATCCCACAAGACAATGTTATAATTTTGACTTTAAACTGTCATAATTTTTTAATTAAGAGGAAAGTAGTCTTTTATATTTTATTTGCCCACATATTTACCATTCTGATGTTCTTCATTCCTTTCTGCACATCTGAGTTTCTATCTGGTATCATTTCCTTTCAGCCTAAATAAATACCTTTAGTCTGAGTTTCTATCTGGTATTATTTCCTTTCAGCCTAAATAAATACCTTTAGCATTTTGTGTAGTGCAAGCCTGCTATCAATTAATTTTCGTGTGTATGTGTGTTTATAATCTGAAAGTGCCTTAATTTTGCCTTTATTCTTAAAGGATATTTTTGAATGACATGGTATTCTGTGTTGACAGTTTGTTTGTTTTCCCAATGCTTTAAAACTTGTTCTATTGTCTTCTGAGTCCCATTTTTTTCCTGAGGGTAAGTCAATGGTCACTTGGAACACGTTATCCTGTATGTACTGCACCATCTTTCTCCTGATGTTTCCAAGATGTTTTTATCTTTGGTTTTCAGCAGTTTGACAATGATGTGTCTGGGTGTGATTTTATTTGAATTTATCTTGCTTAGAGTTTACTTAGCTTCCTAGATTTTGGGGTTGTTGTTTCTTAACAACTTTTGACATTTCCAGCCAAAATTCATCAAAATGTTTCTGTCTCATTCTCTCTCCTTTCCTCCTAGAACTGTAATTACCTGTATTTTAGACCACTTGTTGCTATACCACAGGTCACTAAGTCTCTGTTTATTTCTTTCTACCCTTTTTCACTTTGTTCTTCTGTTTGGATGGCTTTTACTGCATGTCTTCATCTTCGCTGTTCCTTTTTTCAGTTGTATGTATAATCTGCTGTTCCACACAGTGAAATGTTTTTAAGGTGTATATATATTTTTTTTAATTTTAGGATTTCCAATTGGTTCTCTTTTATAGTTTTTACACCTTCTCTAAAATTTCCACATCTCTTTACTCACTATATTCATCTTTTCATGTAGCTTTTTTAATGTATTTACTACAGTTATTTCGAAGTTCCTGTCTGCTAATCTCAACCTCAGTGCTACTTAGTGATTTTTCTCTTGTCTATGGTTCCCATTCTCCTGTTTCTTTACATGTGTTATAATTTTTATATATGCCAGGTATTGTTTATAAAATAATAGTAGAGGCTAAAGTATATAAATTGTGTGCTTTAGTTAGGCAGCTGGGGTAAAGATGTTTGGTTGCAGCTTTGATTAGCTTCCATTAAATTAGCTTCCATTAATTAGATTCCAGTAAATATGTCTTCAGATACTTAAATAAGTTGAGACCTCTCCCTAAAGCACCACATGACTGCTAGACCTTAAGATTTTGAGACCACAGGCTGCTAGACCTCAAAACTGAAATCACAAAACTATTGAGAGCGCATTGCATGATATTATGGAACCTCAGAACTGCAGGGCCAGGAAACTGCGAGACCACAAGAATGAGAGACCATGAGACTTCAAGATCCCAAGATTTTGAAACTGTAAGACTGCAGGATCACAAACTTGCTTTCTGCTTCCCAGCTCTGTCTCAAAGCTCTGTTTATTACACAGGATTTCTATGTAAGAGAATTACTGGGCAGAGTAGATTATCTTTGCATTGAAGTCTCCTCCACATTCAAATCCAAAGGCCAGCCACAGATTTGTAAAAAAAATAAAAATAAAAATAAATTGGCTGTTTCTTCTTATCCCAGCCAAGACTCTGGCAGGCTTGCTCTTTTGCCCACAATGTCCCTAACCTCGGTACAACCAGCCCCTGATATGAAAGTGTCCACCCCCAGTTTACCTAAAAAGGACTGATATCTCTGGAGTCTATTTCTTTTCTATTTCTTTGCACCTACAGCTCTTTGATGGCTGTACAGACATGTTTGAGTCTATGGTTTGTTTATCCAGTGATTTCTTGTTAGCACTGAAGGTCATTTTTATCCTTCATTATTTGAATCAGAAGCAAACATTTTGTGTACATCCTTGCTCGTCTTCCGTTTCCACTGCCATTACCATGAAAAGCTTTCTGGGATTGGTCCTAGGACAGTGTTCTCAGATGGTGCTGATTAGGTGTGGACTATAACCCTGGAAACTGCAAGGATAAAGTCATGACAAGGAAGTTCATACCCTGAGAAGTTTGGCTACCCTCAATGATGCCAACTCCACAACCCATCACTCACCCTCAGAGATTCTCAGGGATCTGCTATACAGGAATTTTACTTATTTTAAGATTAGTTATATTATTAGCCTAAAAAACTGGTTCCTTAAATTTCTTCTACCCCACGAAGAGCTTCTCTTTAAGTTCTAAATTTATCTCCTTCAGACTTTGAGGAGAACCCTCTAATCCTAATATATTGCCTAATACATTAGGATTCAATTTCAGATTCTCAATGCATTATAGGGAAAGGGTCAATGTATGTGCAAGGCATGTATTTCAATGCCCCACTTCATTCCCTCCCAACATTGATTGTCCCCAAGCCTGTCAAGAGCCACTTCAAAAGAAACTGCTTGGATTTCAAACCTAGCTCTGCCACTCACTAGCTGTGTGAACTCAGCTAGCTCGTTAGCCTGCCTGTATATCAGCTTTCCCATCTTCAAAATGAGGATCAATTTTCGTAATGATACTACCCCTTAGTGTCATTCTGAAAATTGAGCTGTCATTTGTAGAATGTGTTATGTGTCAGGGCTGTGCAAGTCATTTTTCATCCATTTTCTCATTTAAACTTATAGCAACCCTTTGAGGACATATTATTATAATCCATGTTTAGCTGATGAGAAGAGTGAGGTGTAGACGGGAAGTAACTTGACCAATGTAGCACAGCTAATAAGTGAAAGAGTTGGGATTCAAACCCAAGTCTGACTAAAGCCTGAGCTCTTAAGCACTCTGCAAGTATTTCCCAGACTTGCCAGAGCATGAGAATTACCTGAGCTACAGAGTGAAAATTCAGATTCCCAGGCCTAACCTCAGACCTACTGAATTGCCTCCTCTATGATGGGGTCTAGGAATCTGTATTTTGGCAAGAGACCTCACATTACTTTTTTTTTTTTTTTTGAGACGGAGTTTCACTCTTATTGCCCAGGCTGGAGTGCAATAACACTATCTCAGCTCACCGCAACCTCCACCTCCCGGGTTCAAGCAATTCTCCTGCCTCAGCCTCCCGAGTAGCTGGGATTACAGGCATGCGCCACCACGCACGGCTAATTTTGTGTTTTTTGGTAGAGACAGGGTTTCTCCATGTTGGTCAGGCTGGTCTCAAACTCCTAACCTCAAGTGATCTGCCTGCCTCAACGTCTCAAAGTGCTGAGATTACAGGCGTGAGCCACCACACCTGGCCCCCACATTACTTTTTATTAGTAAAGTCTGGAAGGTGTCACTTAAATTCTATCCATGTGCAACCTATACAACTCATGCTGAGGACAGCCCTCCCGTCTTTGTTCAAATAATGAGTACTACCTGGCAGCTCATGGAAAACCAGTCCAGTACATGTACAACTAACTCTATAAAATGTTTTAATTCCATGCATAGGGCTAAGCATGTGGCATTCTGGGAGCACAGAGGAGGGACACTGTGCTATCCTCATGGCATGGGTTTTCCTCTCAACTTGGAAACTGATGGGACTGACAGGCTGTGTCTACTTTTATTGCTCTTAAGAAGAACTCATGAAGAATCTGTGAGTTCATTCCTAGGAAGCAAACAATGCAAATGCAACATAGGAAAGGAATTTTTAATGTTGGCAAAACTCATGCAAGCAGTCCCGTCTTTATCTGGAAAGTATGTTTGCTTGTGTTTTAGTATTTTTATCACATAATAAGAGGAGGAAAAAGATTTTCCCTGCCCAGTGTTTCAAATGAGGTAAGACAGCTATTATTATATTCCATAACTAGAGCTCCTCAAATAAGGTAAGAGCATTTCAGTTAAATATTACCAGTGACCCAAAATTTCTGCCCCAGGAAAGCAAAACAGAGAGGGCCAACCACTCCCTGCATTGAGATGGTTACCCAGGAGTGCTAACAGAGATTTAAAGCGGAGAGCAGGCATCCACCCTGCTGCCCACCCCGAAGACCAATAACAATAACAGAAAACCCTTACATAGCACTTACTACAAGCCAGCTACTGTACTAAGTACTCCACGTATGTTAACTCATTGTTCTTTCAACAACACCATGAGGTTGGTGCTATGGTCTGAATGTTTGTGTCCTCTGAAGTTTATGTGTTGGAATCCTAACTCCCATAATAATGGTTAGGAGATAGAGACCTTGGGAGGTGATTAGATCATGAGAGCAGAGCCCTCATGAGTGGGATCTGTGCCATTATAAAGGAGGCTTTAGAGAGCTGCCTTGCTCCTTCCACCATGTGAGGTACAGGGAGAAGGTGGGCCTTCACCAGACACAACATCTGTCCTAATCTTGGACTTAGCCTCCAGAACTGTAAGAATTAAATTTCTGTTGTTTAAGCTATCCAGTCAATGCTATTTTGTTATAGCAGCCCAAAAGGACTAAGACAGTAGGTATAGCTGTAAGAACCTCTATTTTGCAGATAAAGAAATGCAGACACAGAGAGTGACTTCCTGGTGTTACATACTACTAAGTGACAAAGCTAGAAGTTGAGCCCTGGCTGTCTGGGTTTGAGTCTCTACTCGAGTCCTGGACCAATTGGGCAAGTGACCATCTGGCAATATTAATGAGAGCCAGCTCTGATTTGACACTGCAGGTTTTAGGTGTCTGTCCCTCAGGTTCCTAAGACCTGTGTCTCATAGCAATTAAAACGGTCAGAATAGGTGGTGTGGCCAGAGAGAGAAGGTCCAAAGACCCCACTGAGAGGTGAATGATGCAAATATGAAGGTGGAACATTTGCTGTTTAATAAGAGTGAGATCAGGAAGCTAAAGGGATGAAAGGAATAGAGGGATTTAAAGTATGATCCAGAAAGTCTGAAAAGATTTGGAGTTGGGTGGGAGGGGGAATGAGGTCTTACCAGGCCTACTGAAATCACTGCACATGGGCAGCCATCTTCTCGGCCCACAGGCAGCTGACAGCTGTGTTCATCACGGCTGCTTATATGGGATTCTTTGAGTTCCATTTAAGTGAATTCCATTCACATTTACTGAACATATGCTATCTATTAGAGACTGTATTATGTGTTATAAATACCAAAATGAGTAAGGTCTGGGACATAGCCCTCATAGAGCTCAGAATCCAGTGGGGAAAGCAGAAATGCCAATCAATGGCACTTGTTTGTAGTAGCAAAATATTGGAAATAAATGAAATCTCCAAGAACAGGGGATTGGTAAAGTATGGTATTTCCATTGAGCACTAGGCAGCTGTAGAAAAGAATAAGGATGTTTATTTGTATTAGTATAGAAGGGGATCAATGATATATTAAGTAAAAAAAAGCAAGGTATGTTGCCTTCCACATAAAAATGGGGGGAAATTCCAAATTCCAGTATATATTAGCACAAAAACAGTCTGAGAAGACACTAAAAACACAAACAACAGTGGTTCCTGGGGTTGGAAAACTGGGAAGGGGCTAAAGGTGGGAAAGGAGAAGTTTGACTTGTTTATTTATTTTATTTATCTTATTTTATTTTGGAACGGAATCTTAGAACTATTCAAAACATTAAATTAAAAAATAGATGTAACTGCAGCCAATAAAAATAGTCTTAGCATTGCCTCCCCATATAAATAATACCCTGTTCTTTCTCCTTTTTCCTATCACGCCCCAGTGCTGAGTTCCTGCACCATCCCTGCACTCCTCTTCATTAACCTCCTGCCCCCATCAACAGCATAAGTGGATTATTTCAAAGCAAACCCTAAGCCTACTGAACTCTCAAAGGCAATGGAGGACTCTGAAGGCCAAGCTCAGCTAAATGTTTTTGCTTCTTGCCTCTTTCCTTTTTAATTACAGTGTAATTTGCATTTATGTGATTTCCTTCTGCCATTGGGTTGTGGACAGCATTGATGATGATCGACATTCCATAACTTCCCATCATAGCTGGAGAGCAGAAGGATGGCCGCCGTCTCAGATAAAATTCTATCCAATTAAACAGTTCAATGAACACGTCATGGTTTGAGGTTCTCATTATCCTCTGTGTGCATGTCTCATGGATATTTCTTTACACCCATCATCGTAATAAGGTCTTAGTGCAGAAGATGCTCCATGAATTATGCTCCCCCACTGAGCGTTATAATGACATTGACTTGAAAATGGGTCTCCTTAGACTTGCATGAGAAGCTGAGCTTTTTCATTTAATTGAATTGTTCTGGACTTTATTTTTCCAGGTCTTTTGTCTAAATGGTATCAGATGCTCCACATGATGAAACATGTCACAGACATTGACAAAATAATGTTGGCTCACTAACAGGGTACATCTACTGAGGGCAAATGTGTAAAAAGTTTTCTCCAATCAATACCCCAGCACATGCTCCCTGCTCTGGATGGTGTGGCTCACCTGGCAACTGTGGTTCACCTGGCCAGCTCCCCTGGTTGAAAATACAAGGTCAACAATTAAAAGTACATGTAGTCTGTGTAAGTGTTCACCCATCTGAGGTGATTTTAGAGACCATGGCTACCCCAAACCCATGCCCTACTCTGCTGCCAGGTACCTATCCAAAACATTGATCTGAATGTGTCACTTGCTAATTCAAACATCTCCATTTAAACCTCTGAGGAATGCAGGGTGGTTACTTGAAAATATCAAAGGTTTTGAGCAAGATGGGTCTGGGTTGGAACTCTGGCTGTACCACTTACAGGGTGTAAGAAAAGTTACTTCATCAGAGTTTCACTGTCCACATTTGTAAAATGGAAGCAATAATGTTGACCTGGTTACTTTGTCATGAAAATTAACTGGAGTAATTTCATTAATTATTGATCAATCTCAACAAATGACCATTCTAATCCTTCCCTTTTCCTTAGCAGAGCATTCAAGGCCCCTCTGGACTTTTCCAGCCTCATCTCCCAGCATCTCTCCAACCATACCCAAAATTACTTGGCACTCCACTAAAAACATTTGCTTTCAGTTCTCTTGATTTTGTTCAAATAGTTCCTTCTCGAAATGTTCTTCCTCTTTTTCCCTCTGAGAAATATTGTAACATCCATAAACCACGCTCAGAAAAAAACCCTCACACAGCACAGTCCTTCTCCCCACACACTCCACACCTGGCTCTGTGGCCTATCTGCAGCATTGACACAGCTGATCACTCTGCTGTCCCTCCTACTTCAACGTGCCTTCACTTGGCTTTCTGGACACCAGGTGGCCTTGGTGTCCTCCTATCTCACAAACTGTTTTGCTGATTCCTCATCTCCCTGACCTCTTAGCTCTGGCCCACCCCATGGTTCAGTTCTTGGACCATTTCACTTCTCTAACTGGACTGAATCCCTTAATGATCTCATCTGCTCTCATGGCTTTTCATGTCATCTACATGCAGATGATGACTCACAAAATTATGTCAACCTTGACCTCATGCCTAAACTCCAGACTCACATGTCTAACTGCCTGCTCAGCATCTCTACTTGGAAACCTACTAGGAATCTCAAAATTTAACAGGTTCAAAATCAGCTCCTAATCTTGCCCCCAAAACCCTGCTTCTACCAAAGTATTCCCATCACAATTAGTGGTAACTCCATGTCTCCAATTGCTCAGGCCAAACATCTCGAGTCACTCTGAATTCCTCTTTCACATCCCGTATCTAGTTCATCATCAAGCCCTCCACTTCTACCTTCAAATCCAACCCTCCTCACCACCTCCAGTGCTATCACCTACATGGAGCTACCATCATCCCCTCTCCCCCTGGATTATCACAAGGACCTCCTCTCTGGTCTAGCCACTTCTTCCGCTGCCCCTCACACACCCTGTCAGCCAGAGAAATTCTAGTAAACATAAGTCAAATCATATCCTTCCTCTGTTGAAAACACTCCACGGGCTTCTCATCATCCCCAGGGTTAAAGCCAAAGTCATTTCAGCAGGTTACTTCTGCTTTGACCTAATCTCCTGCCAGTCTCCTGCACCCTCTCACACCAGGCACACTGGTCTGCTCAACACTTCTCTCACAGCTCAGGCACACTCCCATCTCAGGGCCTTTGCACCTGCTATTCCCTGTTCTTTGAGATGTGCACATGGCTTTTCACTACCTTAGGTATCCACTCAAATGTCCCCTTCTTAGTAAGACCTTCTGTAATGACCCTTTTTAAAAATGCAATTCTTTCAGACACCAAGAGCCTCTGCCTCTCCTGTACCTTATTTTCTCTCTAACACTCACATATAAAATATTATATATTTAACTTGTTTTGCTCATGTTTGTCTCCCCCCATTCTCACGAGCATGTCAGCAAGAGAAGACAAAGATTTTGTCAGCTTCATTCCTACCATACGTAATAGTGCTTAGAACAGTGTCAGGCACAGAGTAGGGCCTCATTACATATTTTTAGATAAATGAATCTAAACAATATTGAGGGGGCTGCTTTTTAGTTTAGAAAAGGAAGACTTATAAAGAAATTCACCAAAATACCAGGTACGAAATTCACCTAAATACCAGTAGTAGTTACCTCTGTGTGTTCTGATTACTGGTGCATTTTTAGTTTTTTCTCAAACCTTTTTTGTGGTTTCAAAGTTTGTGTTTGATTTTTGTTGTTGCTGTTGTTTACCATTTAGCACATTTAATGTTATAATAAAATATTTTTAAATAATACTTATACCCATAAAAAGGGAAAATTAACAAATTAAAAAATGTTTATTTACAGCTGAGTCTATAGCCACTACTCTGACAAAGAGAGAGGAAAACAAGTACCAAAGATACCTTCTCCACAGTGGTCTGTTTGTGTCTCTTCCTGTGCCTTCAGAGCCCTCTAATAGGCCTGTCTACATCAGCCCCTCACCCCCACCCCATTCCACTCCACCCTAACCAATACATGTAAATTTCAAGTGCACCAGTGCCAGAAACCACACAGAACCACCCCCACTTTATTCCTGAACCATTTTTGTTTTCTCCACTTTCAGCCTGACTCCTGATTTTCTATTCAGGATCCCTTTCGCACCCCTCCCCTGTGCCATGGTCTTCGTGTTGATTTTGACTTTGCCTCAGACACAGGTCTCTGGTTCTTTCTACGCCAGACCAGAGTAAGAAGTCCACCCCAAGTATAGGTCCCCCCAGGTTAGCCCTCTGGGCCTTGGGGGTGAGAGGGAAATACAATCTGTAGGTGAGATTGTGCAAAGTAGTTTGAGCCATACTCTCTGGGGACCGTAATTAGTGAGCTGCTTAGGGAAAAAAACAAACGAACAAACAAACAAAAACATGAATGCAGTTTTCTTAAACTTCCTCCTCCAAACACTCATTATGTCTCATCTTTAAACTTGAGGTCTCAGGCAAAAGGATTACCACAAGAAAGTATTGCTTTGGGAGGTACCCTGGGGAGGAAATGAAATGTTTGTGAGGGTTAGACCTGTCTTATGCATTAGAGCCCACCAATTCTGAGGCTGCTCGCCTCCCTGGACTAAATGGTACTTCAATTTTTTTTTTTTTTTTTTTTTTTTTTTTGAGACGGAGTCTCACTCTGTTGCCCAGGGTGGAGTGCAATGGCATGATCTCGGCTCACTGTAACCTCCACCTGCTGGGTTCAAGCGATTCTCGTGCCTCAGCCTCCTGAGTAGCTGAGACTACAGGCGTGTACCATCATGCCTGGCTAACGTTTTGCATTTTTAGTAGAGATGGGGTTTCACCATGCTGACCAGGCTAGTCTCAAACTCCTGACCTCGTGATCCACCCACCTTGGCCTCCCAAAGTGCTGGGATTACAGGCGTGAGCCACCGCGCACAGCTTCAATTATTTTTAGTTAGGATAAAATGAAAGTTTTCAAAACCTGTCAACCTAGTCTCGAGGTCTGGCCAAAGGGTTTCACATGCCTTTTAATTCTATCAAATGCAAAATCCAAGCAATATCTTGTTATAACTTGCATTCTACTCAACCATTTCCCTAAGTAGCAGAATATTTCCTGATCTAAAAACTTTTAACCAGATCTGACATTTCTCTGTCAGTGTCTAAAGCCGATGGCAAAGGCAAGCAAACTGTCCCTGGAAAAGGTGGGACTTGAATGTCATGACCCTTTGTATTACTTTGCTGGGCAAAAATTTTGGGTCCAATTTTTGAAGCAAACTGCAATTGCAACTTCTTTTTTACTTATTTGGGAGTCAAAGGAACAAATTTCTCCTTAATTTCATTAGTTTCTGTAGAGCAAAAATTGTGAGTCTTCAGTAAAAGCCAAATACAAATTCCTTTTCATATAAACTACATATGTATCAAAAGATTAAATAAATGAAATTGCTAAACAAAAGGGGCTTTAAATAAGAATATGAGAATAATGTTCACTCTCCCCCAGTGAAAACCATCCAAGGTAGGGTATGTGGTTTGGGCCTACCTACTTAAGAGTAGGTGTCTCAAATTATTAATGCTATTTGTTCTTATAAGAAAGAAAAATTATTATTTGACCATACAAGGGATTTTAGACCTCATTCAAGGACTCAACTGCAGACCCCATATGATATTAATGATAGCCATTGGTCACTGTAGTCACCAATTACTATTTCCACTTCAGCATACATCATATTTTAGGCAAAAATTTCCTTTTTCCAAAGTATCTGTCAGCAAATAGCATGCAATGATTTGTTCCCCCAAAGTTAGAAATTTGCTCATAGATCATAAAGGAGGTCATTTCTAGTCTTTTTTTTTGTAGAAACCAAGATCCTTTTTTGTAGATACTAGGATCCCTCTCTGTGGTACTGTATTAGTCCATTTTCACACTGCTGATAAAGATATGCCTGAGACCGGGCAATTTACAAAAGAAAGAGGCTTATTGGACTTACAGTTCCATGTGGCTGGAAAGGCCTCACAATCATGGCAGAAGGTGAAAGGAAGGAGGAGCAAGTCATGTCTTACATAGAGGGCGGCTGGTGAAAAGAGAGAGCTTGTGCAGAGAAACTCCCATTTTTAAAACCATCAGATCTCATGAGACCCATCCACTATAACAAGAACTGCACAGGAAAGACCCGCCCCCATGAGTCAATCATCTCCCACCTGGTCCCTCCCACAACACATGGGAATTATGGGAGCTCCAAGATGACATTTGGGTGAAGACACAGTGCTAAACCATATCATTCTACCCTTGGCCCCTCCCAAATCTCATATCTTCACATTTCAAAACCAATCATGCCTTCCCAACAGTCCCCAAAAGTCACAACTTATTTTGGTATTAACTCAAAAGTCTACAGTCCAAAGTCCCATTCAAGAAAAGGTAAGTCCCTTCTGCCTATGAGCCTATAAAATCAAAAGCAAGTTAGTTACTTCCTAGATACAATGGGGGTACAGGTATTGGGTAAATACAGCCATTCCAAATGGGAGAAATTAGCCAAAACAAAGGGGCAACAGGTCCCATGCAAGTCCTAAGTCCAGCAGGGCAGTCAAATCTTAAAGCTCCAAAATGATTTCCTTTGATTCCATGTCTCACATCCAGGTCATGCTGATGTAAGAGGTAGGTTCCCAAAGTTTGGGCAGCTCCAGCCTATGGCTTGGCAGGGTATAGCCTCCCTCCCAGCTGCCTTCATGAGCTGGCATTGAGTGTCTGTGGCTTCTCCAGGTGCACAGTGCAACCTGTCAGTGAATCTACCATTCTGGGGTCTGGAGGATGGTGGCCCTCTTCTCAGTAGGTGGTGTTCCACTAGGTGGTGCCCCAGTAGGAACTCTGTGGGGGGCTCCAACCACACATTTCCTTTCTGCACTGCCCTAGCAGAGGTTCTCCATGAGGGCCCCGCCCCTGCAGCAAGCTTCTGCCTGGGCATCCAGACATTACCATTCATCCTCTGAAATCTAGGCAGAGGTTCCCAAACCTCAATTCTTGACTTCTGTGTGCCCCCATGCTCAACACCACATGAAAGATGCCAAGGCTTGGGGCTTACACCCTCTGAAGCCACAGCTGGAACTGTATCTTGGCCCCTTTTAGTCACAGCTGGAACAGCTGGGATGCAGGGCACCAAGTCCCTAGACTGCACACAGCACAAGGACCCTGAGCCCAGCCCACGAAACCATGTTTTCCTCCTAGGCCTCCAGGCCTGTGATGGAAGGGGCCGCCATGAAGACCTGTGACATGCCCTGGAGACATTTTCCCCATTGTCTTGGGGATTAACATTTGGCTCCTCATTACTTATGCAAATTTCTGCAGCCAGCTTGAATTTCTCCTCAGAAAATGGGATTTGGTTTTCTATCGCATTGTCAGGCTGCAAATTTTCCAAAAAATGCTCTGCTTCCCTTATAAAACTAAATGCCTTTAACAGCACCCAAATCACCTCCTGAATGTTTTGCTTCTTAAAAATTTATTCTGCCATCTAGATACCCTAAATCATCTCTCTCAAGTTCAAAATTCCACAAAACTCTAGGGCAGGGGCAAAATGCCACCAGTCTCTTTAAAATATAACAAGAGTCACCTTTGCTCCAGTTCCCAACAAGTTCCTCATCTCCATCTGAGACCACCTCAACCTAGACCTTATTGTTCATATCACTATCAGCATTTTTGTCAAAGTCATTCAACAAGTCTCTAGGAAGTTCCAAACTTTCCCACATTTTCCTGTCTTCCTCTGAGCCCTCCAAACTGTTTCAGCCTTTGCCTGTTACCCAGTTCCAAAGTCACTTTCACATTTTTGGGTATCTTTTCAGCAGCACTCCACTCTACTGGTACCAATTTACTGTATTAGTCTGTTTTCATGCTGCTAATAAAGACATACCTGAGACTGGGCAATTTACAAAAGAAAGAGGCTTATTGGACTTACAGTTTCATGTGGCTGATGAGGCCTCACAATCATGGCAGAAGGTGAAAGGCAAGGAGGAGCAAGTCACATCTTAAATGGATGGTGACAGGCAAATAGAGAGAGCTTGTGCAGAGAAACTCCTGTTTTAAAACCATCAGATCTCATGAGACCCATTCACTATCAAGAGAACTGCACAGGAAAGACCCATCCCCATGATTCAATCATCTCCCACCTGGTCCCTCCCACAACACATGGGAATATGGGAGCTACAAGATGAGATTTGGGTGGGGACACAGAGCCAAACCATATCAGGTACACTCTACTCAAGATCCCACCCACCAGCATGTTCTGTTCACTAGTACAAAAACATGAATAAAAGTACTCAATTCTCAGGCAGCATACTCCAAAGTCATAGCAACATCTCTAAGAATATTGTTGTTTGAAAATTCTAATGCCAGTCAAAATGAAGTAAGCCCACTTCAACTTTTTCTCCCACTGGTTACAACTAAAAACTCAGACAAAATACAAAAAGCAAATACTTGCTGACTCTAAAAAATAACAATAGTAGGTAGATTAGGGAAGGAGGCAACATAAAAAGTGATGTATTTCAAGGAATGTTTCCTAGTTTTTTTTTAATTCTTTTATCCTCTGAATTTGACTCAATGGTGGACCACTGCAGAACTATGCAGCAGACAGGGATTTTTAAATACTGAGAAAATCAGCGAGTCATGGTGGCTCACACCTGTAATCCCAGCATTTTGGGATTCTGAGGCAGGCAGATTGCTTGAGTCCAGGAGTTCAAGACCAGCCTGGGCAACATGGTGCAACCCCGTCTCTACAAAAAATATAAAAAATTAGCCAGGTATGATGGCATGCACCTGTAGTCCCAGCTACCCAGGAGACTGAGTTGGGAGGATCACCTAAGCCCAGGAGGTCAAGGCTTCAATGAGCCCTGACTGCTCCACTGCACTCCAGCCTGGGAAACGGGGCAGAGGATCTGGAAAAAGGAACCCTGTGAGCTAAAGAATGTAGATAAAATCTTAGAGATAAGATAGCTGGAGAAAGGGACCCCCTAATTCTGCCGCAAGTTCCAAGATAATTTCTAAGCTGTGCTTACACAAGATAAATCCAATGCATCATAGCAAAGCCTTTGAAATCTGAACTACAGTATCATCCACCACCCATGTCTCAGAATGTCATGTGCATGGACTACACCCAAAACAGTATAATAAAACTAGGCTAGCATTGGAACCACTGCCCACAGATGGCAAGAGAGAACTTGCACTTTGAACTTAATCGATTGATTACCTGCTAAAACAATAAAATTAACATTCTCCAGAGAATTTAATGGGACAGAGATTTATTACATAATGTTCAAAATGTTCAGAATAAAATAAAAAAGTACTCAATGGTTTTTTGTTTTTTGTTTTTTTTTTCTTTTGAGATGGAGTCTCGCTCTGTTGCCTAGGCTGGAGTGCAGTGGTGCAATCTTGGCTCACTACAACTTCCACCCCCTGGGTTCAAGCAATTCTCCTGCCTCAGTCTCCCAAGTAGCTGGGATTAAAGGCATGCACCCCATGCCTTGTTAATTTTTGTATATTTAGTAGAGATGGGGTTTTGTCATGTTGGCCAGGCTGGCCTCAAAATCCTGACCTCAAGTAATTTGCCTGCCTTGGCCACCCAAAGCGCTGAAATTACAGGCCTGAGCCACCACGTCCAGCCCAAAAGTACTCAATGTTTAAAGAACTAGTACAATGTGATCGACTTTCAAGGAAAAATATATTCAACGAATGCCAATTCTAAGATGAAACAGATTTTGGAATCATCAGACAAATACTTTAAAGAGCTGTTATAAACAGGCTTCATCAAGCAAAGGTAAACACTGTTTAAATGGAAAGGTAGACATTTTCATCCAGAGAAATTTAAAAAAAAATTTTAAGTGGACATTTCAGAACTGAAAAAGAGAATATGAACATGTGAAATAAATAATTCACTGAATGGGCTCAATAGCCCATTGGGCTCACCCCATGGTCTCAATAGCTCAATAGAATGGAGATGACAGAGGAAAGAGACAGCAAGCTTGAAAACATATCAGTAGAAATTACCTATTTTAAACAACAACAACAGAAGATTTTAGAAAGTGAATACAGCCTCAGGAACCTATGGAATCATATCAAAAGTTCTGACATTTGTGACTGACATTGGAGTGCCAAAATTAGAAGAGAAGGTTGGTTCAGATAACGTTTTGAAGAAATAATGACCAAAAACTTACTAAATTTTCTGAAAAATGTGGAAATGAACCTCTATGAATGGACACAGAATGGAAAGGTATTTATGTTCCATATAAATGCTCACCTAAGGAAATCCATTACAGAGGACGTTCTTCATAACATAGACAAGGTAAAATGTTCTGTGGATACAAATCACCCCAATGTGTGTTCAACAGATCATGTACATAGTGGGCATAGTGGCAGGGCATCAGTTATACATGGGCCCAACAACATAGATTTCCCCTCACCAAGGCAGACTTTACTACTGCTATTGCTAAGTATCTAACTTGCCAGCAGCAGAGCCCAACCCTGCATCCTAAAATGCCCTAAGGGGACTAGCCAGACACCTACACATAAGTTGACTATAATACATCCATTTCATCACAGAAGGGAAAACAATATGCTTTCACTTGACTAGGCATTAATTTTGGATGTGAATTTGTCTTATCTATCTATGCTTCTACCAGCATGGCATTCCATGCAATTGCAAACTGCCATGTCAACATCATGGTTTTCTACACATATTGTTTCTGATCAAGGAACTCTCTTCACAGCAAAAGAGGTGGAGCAATGGGCTCATGCCCATGGTATTGCATGCCTCATCACTCTAAAACAGCAGAACTGATAGAATGATGAAGTGATACGCTAAAGATCTAGTTACAGAACCAGCTGGCAGATAATAGCATGAATGGATAGGGTTCTATTATGCAGGATTCAGTACACAGTTTGCATTGGTCACAAATCTATGGTGCCACTTCACTAACTACAAGAATACAGCAATCCAGGAATCAAAGGGCAGAAGTGAAAACGGTTCTTCTCACTACAATACCTAAATTACACTAGCATAACTTTTCATTCCTGTTTCCTCCACCTTGAGTTCTGGTGGTTTGGAGATCTTTGTTCCCCAGAACAAAGGAATGCTTTCACCAGGACACAAAATAATGACTTCTATTGGATTGGACATTGAGACAAGTCACATGGTCATTTGGGCTCCTCATGCTGCTGGAATAATTGATCCTGATTAGTGAGGGTTAGGTTACCGCCACTAAATGACAGCACAGAGGACTATGTCTAAAACAAAGAGAATTTTCTGGGCTGGCTGTTAGTAGTTCCCTGTTCAACAGTGAAAAATCAATGGAAAACTACAGAAGACCAAAAATGGCAGGACCACTAAAGACTTAGGCCCTTCAGAAATGAAGGTTTCAGTCACCCCACGTCATAAAGAACACATACTAGCTGAGGTTTTCTAAAAGCAAAGGAAACATGGATATCGGAAGAAATAAATTATAAATGCCAGCTATAGACTTGTTATTAGTTATAAAAACATGGACTGTAGAGCTGTGCATACTTTTTTCCTTGCTTATTGTATATGTGTGTATATGTTTGTGTGTTCTGCCTCTCTCCTAGTTCCCCTTATTATTTTTACAAGTATTAGTGGAGATGGTTAATTATACAATATGAAGATAACAGTGTTCACATAAGATCATGATTGAATTTGATGAGATGGATACAAGAACTATCTTCCAATGTTTGTTGGAACTGTATATCTCCTCATGTTGGAAAAAGAGTGAATCTTTGTTTGTACAAAGTATAGTTGAATCCTTTTAGGTGAATATTTATAGCAACCTTACTAACAATAGTCAAAAATGAGGAACAGTCCAGGCACAGTGACTCACACCTGTAATCCCAACACTTTGGGAGGCCGAGGAGGGTGGATCACCTGAGGTCAAGAGTTCAAGACCAGCCTGACCAACATGGTGAAACCCCATTTTTACTAAAAATACAAAAAATTAGCCAAGCATGGTGGCACACACCTGTAGTCCCAGCTACTCAGGAGACTGAGGCAGGAGAATCGCTGGAACCCAGGAGGCAGAGACTGCAGTGAGCCAAAATTGTGCCTCTGGACTCCAGCCTGGGAAACAGAGCAAGATTCCATCTCAAAAAAACAAAAAGAGAAACAACCCAAATATTCATCAGTAAAGATAATGTGGTATGTTCATACAATAAAATACTACTTGATATGGTTTGGATCTGTGTCCCCACCAAACCTCATGTCAAATTGTAATCCTCAGTGTTGGAGGTGGGGCCTGGTGGAAGGTGATTGGATCTTGGGAGTGGAGTTCTCGTGAATGGTTTAGTGCCATCCCTTTGGTGCTGTTCTCGTGATAGTGAGTGAGTGAGTTATCATGAGATCTAGTTGTTTAAAAGTGTGTAGCAGCTCCTCCCTCTCTCCTCCTCTTGTTCCTGCCATGTAAGCTGCCTCACTCACCCTTTGCCATCTGCCATGATTAAAAGCTCCCTGAGGCCTCCCCAGAAGCAGATGTCACTATGCTTCCTGTACAGCCTGCAGAACCATGAGCCAATTAAACCTCTTTTCTTTATAAATAACCCAGTCTCAGGTATTTATTTATAGCAGTGTGAGAACGACCTAATACTCTACCCAATAATATAAAGGAATGTCCTGGGACTTGCACTTCCAGGAGATGGAGTAGATGTACTTTTCCCTATTGCCTCCTCTAAATACAACTAAAAACACTCTACATTTTACATAGAAGATAAAGATAAGAAGACTGAAAGTGTAAATAAGAAAGCAGACAAGCTAGGAAGCTCAGCACCCAAGGTGTCAGAGGTGATGTCAGAGAAGACTTAAGGAAGTGTCATCTGTGTTACATAAATGAGCCAAATATGACCTCTGTGTATTGGCCCCTGGCTTGTTTACTTCTTCACAGAAGGCTGAGATTAATTCACTCAAAAGCCAACTAGTATCAAACTCAAGTTTTACAAATCCAGTTACTTCAAACACAGCTCAAAGAAGCAGACTGTTAGCCATTTAGAGCCTGTCTGCTTTGCATAGCCTATGAAACTGTACCAAACATCTACTAATCATAGATAAGATAAAACCAGCAGTGATAACAATCCCATTCACAGCGCTCTGACCCAAAGACTCCTGATTACTTATATGTGTTAAGTTCCCTCTCTGATCCACCTCTCTCCTTCTCTGGCAAGACCCAGAGAAGATAAATCTAAAGAAATCCACACCTAGGTACTTTATACTCAAACTGTGGAAAACTAAAGACAAACAAAATGTCTTAAAAGCAGCAAGAGTGAAATAACAACTTATCTAACTTATCTATAGGTAGAAAACAGTTCAAATGACAATGAATTTCTCATCAGAAACCATGAAGGCCAGAAAATAATGACGTATTTTTCAAGTTCTGAAAGACCTGTTAACCCAGAAGCCTATATGCAATGAAAATATTCTTTATGAATGAAGGGAAATTAAGAAATTTTCAGATGAAGGAAAACAAAAGAATCTGTCTCCAACAGACTTATCCAAAAACAAAGCTTAAAGGAAGATCTTTAAACAGGAAGGAAATGATAAAAGAAGGCACTTTGAAACATCCAGCAGGAAGAAGAAACACAGTAACTGAACATAGGAGAAAATATAATACTTTTCTCTTGAGTTTTCTAAATCATATTTGAAATTTAAAGAAAAAATTATAACACTCTGTGATATAGTTCTAAATGCATGTCAAGAAAATAAGAAAATTATATTATAAATGAAAGTGGATAAAGTGACACAGAGGGAGGTAAGGTTTGCATACTTCACTTGAACTGGTAAAATGACACACCAGGAGACTGTGTTATGTGCATATAATGTAATACCTACAGCAGCCACCTAAAAAGCTATCTAAAAAGACATACTTAAGAATAGATACGAATAGATAATCAAAATGGAATTCTATAGAATGTTTAAGTAACCCACAAGAAGGCAGAAAAACGTAAACAGAAACAAAAAAGAGAACAAAGGAAAACAAAAAATTAAATGGCAAACTTAAGATCTAACATAATAATTACATTAAATGTAAATAGTCTAAACATGTTAAAGACATATTGACAGCATAGATTTAAAAACATGACCCCAACATATACTATCTACATGTAACTCATGTCAAATATTACAAGGTTGTATTTGAATATAGGCAGGTTGAAAGTAAAAGAAAATGGTAGATAGTAGAAAGTAAAAGAAAGTGGTAGATAGTAGATGATAGATAATCATGTAAACATTAATAAAAAGAAAGCAGAGTGGCTATATTATTAGACAGAGAAGACATCAAAGTAAAGAAAATTACTAAAGATAGAGAGAAACATTATGTAATGACAAAAAGGGTCAATTTACCAAAAGACATAGTAATCCTATATGTATATGTGCCAAACAACAGGGACATAAAATAATTGAAGCAAAATCTGATAGAAATGAAAAGATAAATAGACAAATCCACAATTTTACTGGAAAACTTTAACACCTCTCTCTCAACAATTGATAGAATAACTGGACAGAAGATCAGCAAGGATATAAAACTCAGTAGCACCACCGACCAACCATATCTAATAAAGATTTATAGGATGCTTCCCACAACAACAGCAAAATACATATTCTTTGCAAGTGCCAATGGCACAAATATAAAGAAAGATCATCTCCTGGGCAAACAAATTATACAAATCACAACAAATTTAAAATGACTGAAGTCATACCAAGTATATTATCTGAGGACAATGGAATAAAACTACAAATCAGTAGCAGAAAGATAATAGTCTCCAAACACCCAGAGCCTAAACAACATGCATTTAAATAATTTATGGGATAAAGCAGGAGCTACAAGATAAATTTTAAAAATACACTAAGCTGAATAAAAATAAAAATGAACAACTCAAACTTTGTGGAACACAGTGAAAGCATGCTGAAATGAAAATTTTTAGCACTAAAAAAGAAAAAAATCTCAAATCAATCTAATCTCGCACCTCAAGAATCTAGAAAAAGAAGAGTGAAATAAACCCAAAACAAGCAGAAGAAAGATAATAAGAAAGATGAAGACAGAAATTTATAAAATTGAAAACAGAAAAATAGTAGAGCAAATCAGTGAAACAAAGAGAAGTTTCTTAAAAAAAAATCAATAAATATCTAAAAGCCTCTAGCAAGAGTGACAAAGAAATAAAAAGAAGACACAAATTACCAGTAACAGGAATGAAACAGAAGATATTACTACAGACATCAAAAGGATAATAAGGGAATATTCTGAATAACTCCACATACAGAAATTTGACAATTTAGAGATTATAGATTAATTCCTCAGAAAACTCAAACTACCACAACTCACCCAATATGAAATAGATCATTTAAATAGCCCCACAACTATTAAGGAAATTGAATTAATAATTTTTTAAACCCACCAAAAGGAACACCCCAGGACAAGAAAGCTTCAACAGGTAATTCTATTCAACATTTAAAGAAGAAATAATGTTCATTCTACATAATCTTTTTCCAGAAAATAGTAGTGAATACTTTTTTGTTCATTTTATGAAGCTACTATTACCCTGATTCTAAAACATGAAAAAAAAAACACAAAAAAGAAAAGCACAGATCAAAATTCCTGATGAACACAGAAACAAAAATTCTCAACAAAATATTAGCAAATAGAATCTAGCAATACATGAAAAGAATTACATGCCATGACCAAGTAGAGATTATTCTAAGGATGTAAATCTGCTTTAGTATTCAAAAATCAATCAATGTAATCCACCATTTGAACAAACTAAAGAAAAAAAATCACATGCTTATATAAATTGAAGGAGAGAGATTGGTTTATACAACTCAACACCTATTAATGATATTTTTTAAATCTCCCAGCAAAGAATAGAGAACATTCTTAACTTCATAGAGAGCATCTACCAAAAAACCTTACAGTTAACATTATACTTAATGATGAAAAATTGAATGTTTTCCCTTAATGTTTGGAGCAAAATAAGGATGTCCACTATCATCACTTTTATTCAACATAAAAGTTCTAGCCAGTGAAACAAGATAAGTAAAAGAAATAAAAGATGCACAGAGTAGAAAGGAAGAAATAAAAAATGTTCTTATTTTCATATTGTCAGTGTTGAAAATCCAAAATAATCTTTAAAAAGAAAAAAAAAAGAAGAAATGAAACTAAACTGGGCAAAGTGGCTCCCACCTGTAATCCCAGCACTTTGGGAGGCCCAGGTGGCCGGATCACTTGAGGTCAGGAGTTCGAGACCAGGCTGACCAACATGGTGAAACCCCCATCTCTACTAAAAATACAAAAATTAGCTGGGTGTGGTGGCAGGCGCCTATAATCCCAGCTACTCAGGAGGCTGAGGCAGGAGAATTGCTTGAATATGGGAGGCAGAGATTACAGTGAGCCAACATCATGCCACTGCACTCCACCGTGGACAGCAGAGCAAGACTTTGTCTCAAAAAAAAAAGAAAAGAAAAAATGAAACTAATAATGAGTTCAGTAACGTGGCAGAATATAAGATAAATACATTTAAAATAAAATATATTTTATATATTCACAATGAATACATTAATATCAAAATTACAAACACAGGTTGAGCATGGTGGCTCACACCTGTAATCCCAGCACTCTGGGAGGCCAAGGCGAGCAGATCACTTGAGGTCAGGAGTTCAAGACCAGCCTGGCCAACATGATGAAACCCGGTCTGTACTAAAAATACAAACATTAGCCAGGAGTTGTGGTGGGCGCCTGTAATCCCAGCTACTCAGGAGGCTGAGGCAGGAAAATCGCTTGAATATGGGAGGCAGAGGTTGCAGTAAGCCGAGATAGTACCACTGCACTCCAGCCTGGGCATCAGAGCAAGACTCGATCTCAAAAAAAGAAAAAAATATATAAATGCAATGGTATTTACAATCACTAAAAAATTTAAGTGCTTAGGTATAAATTTAATAAAACATGTACATGTTGGATAGAATTACCCATTGAAGCTTTCTTGTCCTGGGGTGTTCCTTTTGGTGGGTTTAAAAAATTATTAATTCAATTTCCTTAATAGTTGTGGGGCTATTTAAATGATCTATTTCATATTGGGTGAGTTGTGGTAGTTTGAGTTTTCTGAGGAATTAATCTATAATCTCTAAATTGTCAAATTTCTGTATGTGGAGTTATTCAGAATATTCCCTTATTATCCTTTTGATGTCTGTAGTAATATCTTCTGTTTCATTCCTGATACTGGTAATTTGTGTCTTCTTTTTATTTCTTTGTCACTCTTGCTAGAGGCTTTTAGATATTTATTGATTTTTTTAAGAAACTTCTCTTTGTTTCACTGATTTGCTCTACTATTTTTCTGTTTTCAATTTTATAAATTTCTGTCTTCATCTTTCTTATTATCTTTCTTCTGCTTGTTTTGGGTTTATTTCACTCTTCTTTTTCTAGATTCTTGAGGTGCGAGATTAGATTGATTTGAGATTTTTTTCTTTTTTAGTGCTAAAAATTTTCATTTCAGCATGCTTTCACTGTGTTCCACAAAGTTTGAGTTGTTCATTTTTATTTTTATTCAGCTTAGTGTATTTTTAAAATTTATCTTGTAGCTCCTGCTTTATCCCATAAATTATTTAAATGCATGTTGTTTAGGCTCTGGGTGTTTGGAGACTATTATCTTTCTGCTACTGATTTGTAGTTTTATTCCATTGTCCTCAGATAATATACTTGGTATGACTTCAGTCATTTTAAATGGTGGGTTTACATTCCCACGAGCAGTGTAGAAGTGTTCCCTGATCACCGCTTCTATGCCAACATCTACTGTTTTTCAATTCTTTGATTATGGCCATTCTTACAGGAGTAAGGTGGTATCGCATTGAATACTACTCAGCATAAAAAGGAATGAATTAACAGCATTTGCAGTGACCTGGATGAGATTAGAGACTATTATTCTAAGTGAAATAACTCAGGAATGGAAAACCAAACATCAGATGTTCTCACTGATACCTGGGAGCTAAGCTGTGAGGACACAAATGCATAAGAATGATACAATACACTTTGGGAACTTGGGGTAAAGAGTGGGAGGGGGTTGAGAGCCAAAAGACAACAAATATGGTGCAGTGTATACTGCTCGGGTGATGGGTGCACCAAAATCTCACAAATCTCCACTAAACAACTTATGTAACCAAATACGACCTGTACCCCAATAACTTATGGAAAAATAAAATTTTTTAAAAAATAATATTTCAGCTTGCAGCTCAACCACACAAATGTTTTTCCTCAAAATAACCACACTTTATGGGAATAAATTTCCTGTTTCCTCACATAGGCTATTAAAGTCATGTACTCAAGGGTTGAGATATAATAAAATTAATAGTTATATGGCTGCATAAAGAATATTCTCAATAAAATTGGATTTCTTTTCTGTAGGGTATAGCAGTGAAGAATATAGTACACTATTTACACAATACAAGTACAATTGTGTCCCACAGCCTTGACTCCCGCTGAGACACCAGCAATTTTATCCACCATTGCAGATGTCAAAACAACAAAGAAGATGAGTGATATCTCAGTATTATCTTGAAAGTAGTTTTGACCTTGCAAATCCCTAAAGGGTCTGGGAGACCATCAGGTGTGCAGGGACTACTCCTTGAGAATTGTGGCACTTTGGCATTGTGATTTAAAATGTACTACAAGATGGGATAATAATATGTTTACAACGGATATAAGGAAAGTAGACAGGATGGTATTCTTACAGCCATGTTCCCACCAGGGTCAAGAGAAAAGAACAAAGCCTAGTACATGCCAGGGCCATCCCTTCCAAATGGGCCACAAATGCCCCTCTGGAGGCTGCTGACCTGGAGACCTGCAATGGACACATCTTGCCAGCTCTCCTTCCTCTTTCTCCAGAGGCCTGCCCAGCCTTGCTAGCTATATTTTACACCCAACAGAGCAGAGCGATACTGGAAAATAATCAAATGTTTCCCCTTTTAAAGTGTGGTTGACAGGGACCTTTTAGAATTTCTAAATGGTCATGTAAAATGTATTCATTTTAAGACAAATGATATTTGATTCCTATGAAGCAGCTAAGGATTTTTTCCTATCTCAGATTATTATAAAAAGTATCTGCCTAGGAAAAAAGTAAACTTCTAGAGATCTTAAATCTGAAATTATTTCTAAATGGAGAAAAAAATGAATTTTTCCAGGGGGAGTAAAATATCTATGTATTTCCAAATGATAGTGCTTTTCTTCACCTAAAGTTAGTCAGACTATGGCTCCATGTAAGTGAAAACGGTTAAAAAAAAATGGGGCTTAGTTCAAAACTGACATTGTCTTTTTTATTTGTTTTTTAAAACAATTTATTGAGATGAAGCTTTGATAAAAATTTCTTGAAGGAAAAATTCAATTGATTCTGATATACATTTTAATTTCAGTTTTAGAAAGTCAGGTCCTCATTATACTGACCATTTTTGGGCCTTTCAAAACACAAAGTTTTAAGGCTTAATTTTAACGAAATGTCAAAACTCAGAGTAAGGCAACAGCTATCAATAAATTATCTCTTTTTATCAAAAAATATATAGGACATTCATACTGAAAATGAAAAAAATAGAAGAAAGAAATCAATGATCTAAATAAGTAGAGAGATACACTGTTCTTATGAATTGAAAGATTTAACATGGTCATAAGATTAAGTTCCTCAAACTGATATACAGGATTAATTTAATTCCTATCAATATCTTCACAAGATCTTTTGTGGATATAGATGAGATAATGGGAAAATGTATATTGAAAGCCATAGAAGGTAGAATAGCTAAAACAAACTTTTTTTGGAAAAAAAAAAAGTGAGAGAAATCAGTCTACCTGATTTTATGACTGATTATATAGCTGTAGTAATTAAACTGTGTGGTATTGGCAGAGGAATAAACACGTAGATCAATGGAACAGAATTGAAAACGCAGAAATAGAGCTACACAAAATTACCCAACTAATTTTTGACAAAATTACAATTGCAGTTGGTTGGAGGAAGGATAGTCATTTTAGCAAATAACATTGGAGCCTGTGTCTGTTTCACCATTGGTTGGATAGTCATATAACTAGCATGCAAACAGCAGTAACACAGCATCTTAAAATCTTAAAAATGATTTCTAAATTTTGATACAGATTTAAATTTTGAAAATATTATACTAAACTTTTATGGATTAAAACATAGGGGGCCGAGCACAGTGGCTCACACCTGTAATCCCAGCATTTTGGGAGGCAGAGGCGGGAGGAACGCTCAAGCTCAGGAGTTCAAGATCAGCCTGGGCAACATAGCAAAACCCTGTCTCTACTAAAATTACAAAAAAATTAGCCAGGCATGGTGGCATGTGTCTGTGGTCCCAGCCACTCAGGAGAGTGAGGTGGGAGGATTGTTTGAGCCAGGGGGGTTGAGGCCACAGTGAGCCAAGACTGCACCACTGCACTCCAGCCTTGGCAACAGGGGTAGACCCCATCTCAAAAAAAAAAAGAAGTCTCATTGGCTGGACACAGTGGCTCACCTCTATAATCCCACCACTTTGGGAGGACGAGGCTGGCAGATGACTTGAGGTCAGGAGTTCGAGACCAGCCTGGCCAACATAGTGAAACCCCAGCTCTACTAAAAATATAAAAATTAGCCAGGCATTGTGGTGCACACCTGTAATCCCAGCTATTCGGGAGGCTGAAGTAGGAGAATCATTTGAATCTGGGAGGTGGACGTTGCAGTGAGCTAAGATGGTGCCACTTCACTCCAGCCTGAGAGACAGCGAGACTCCATCTCAAAAATAAATAAATAATTAAATATTAAATAAAATAAAAATGTAGGATAGTTGCACCATAAATTTTGAATAACCCTTTTAAAATATACTCATAAATATTTGGGAGAAAAATGTTTAAATAATAATTAGGTTCTGAAAACTACGTTATTATTCTCAAGTTAATTTAAAGTACAAGGAAATGTTACTAATCATGCTTTTAGAATTTTTTTTAAAATGGTATTTGAATAATTGAACATCCATAGGCAAAAAGAAAAAAACAAAAAACAAACAAACAAAAAACCTTTACCTGGACCTCATACCTTATACAAAAGTTCATTCAAAATGTTTTACAGACTTAAATATAAAACACAAAACTATAAAACTTAGAAAAAATAAACAGTTCTTAGATGTAATACCAGAAAGCATAATCTACTGAAGAAAAAAAAACTTTTCTTTAAATCGGACTTCCTCAAAATTTAAAACTTTTGCTCTGTGAAAGACCCTGTGAAGAGAATGAAAAGATAACCTATAGTCTGGGAGAAAATATTTGCAAACCAGATATCCAACAAAAGACTACCATCTAGAGTATATAAAGAACATTCAAAATTCAACAGTAAAAAATAAATCCAAATAGAAAATGGTCAAAAGACATAAAAGGACATTTCACTTAACAGGCTATAAAGATGGCAAATAAGCACATGAAAAGATGTTCGATATTGTTAGTCAATAGAAAAACACAAATTAAAACCAAGTGAGATATCACTACATACCTATCAGAATAGCTAAAAATTTTAAATAATAACAACACCATAGACAGTCAAGGATGTGGAGAAACTGGATTACTGATACACTGCTAGTGAAAATGTAAAATGGCATACCCACTCTGGAAAACAGTTTGGCAGTTTCTTTAAAAACCAAATATACAACTGCCATATAATCCAGCAATTGCATCCCTGGGTACTCATTCCAAAAAATAAAATAAAATAAAATCTTATATTCACACAAACCTGTACATGAATGTATATGCTTCTTTTTTTGTAATATCCAAATACTGAAAACAACCAGATGTCCATTAATGGGTTTACAGTTAAGCAAACTATGATACAAGAGTAACATTCAAAAAATGGTCAAATAGGAAGTCTCAGGCTCCATTCTCCCCCATAGAAAGTTCAACTAGCAAACATGCACAGACTAAAACATTCTTCCAACACCTAGAAACAATGCTGAGACACTTGTGTGGTATGCAGAATTGAACAAAATCCAAATTTTGGATTTTGATTTAAGATTTTGGATTTAAGAAAATTCCACAAGATACCAGAGAATATGGGTAGACAGTTCAACAAAATCAGGGAAACAATTTATGATGTAAATGGGAAATTCAACAAAGAAATAAATAACATAAGATATAAATCCTGAGTTGAAGACTTCAGCGAATAACATAAAAGATACAATTGAGAACTTCAACAGCATATTAGATTAAGCAAAAAAAATTTATTAACTTGAAGACAGATCTTTTGAAATAGACAGAAAAAAATATTAAAATGAGTGAAAAAAGATGAGACTTATGGGACACTATTAAGAAAACAAATTTTCACATTATGGGAATTATAGAGAAGGAAGCTCAGAGAAAGGCACATAAAGCTTATTTAATAAGCTGACAAATTGTAGGACAGATATGGATGTCCATTTCCATGAAGCTCAAAGCCCGCAATTAAATTCAATCCAAAGTAGTCCTTGCTGAGGCATGTTAAAATTCAACTATTGAAAGTCAAAGACAGAGATAATTCTAAAAGCAGCAAGAGAAAAGCATCCAGTCGTGTATAAAACAATCTCCATTAGACTATCAGTAGATTTCTCAGCAGGCCAGGAGAGAATGCAATGATATATTTAAAGTGCTGGAAAAAAAATTATTCAACCAAGAATACTATACCCAGAAAAACTATCCTTTGGAAATGAAGGGAAAATAAAGTATTTTCCAGGCAAGCAAAAGCTGATGTAATTCATTACGATTAGACCAGTCTTACAATAAATGCTGAAGAAAGTGGTCCAACTGGAAGCAAAAGGAAATTAATTACTGCCATGAAAACATATGAAAGTATAAAACTCACTGGTAGAGGTAAGCCCATAAGCAAATTCAGGATAATCATTTACTGGAATAGTAGTATATAATCTTTTGGATCTCTAATGTAAATGTTAAAAGTCAAAATGATCAATGATAGCCATAGCTGCAATAAGTTGTTAAGGAATATACAGTAAAGAAATATATAAATTAAGGCATCAAATTGTAAACTGTGGGGGAGAAAGTAGAAGTCTAAAATATTTCTGTGTGAGCAAAGTTAAGTTGTTATCAGCTTAAAAGAGTCTATAACTACAAGATTTTGTAAATGCAAGCCCCAGAGTAACAAAGAAAAAATAACAAATATGCAAATTAGAAAGAGATGGGAATAAAAGCTAATGACTACAGAAAACCACCAAATCACAAAGGTAAACAACAAGAGAGAGAAAGGAACAAAATATTTACACAATATCAACACCTGTGAAAAAAAATTTTTTAATCTACAAAGTAACCAGAAAACAACTAACACAATGGCAAAAGTAAGTTCTGCCTCATCAACAATAATCTTGAATGTAAATTGATTAAATTATCCAATAAAACATATAGGGTAGTTGAATGAATACAAGAACAAGACCCAACTATATCCTGCCTGCAAAAGACTCACTCACACACTGGGGAAAGAACAGTCTCTTTAATAAATAGTGCTGGATAAACTGGATATCTACATGCAGAAGAATGAAGCTTCCCATCTCTTCCCATAGACAAAATCAACTAAAAATGGATTAAAGACTTAGATGTAAGACCCAAAACTATAAAACTACTGGAAGAAAACCTAGGGAAAATGCTTAATGACATTGATCTGGGAACAAATTATTTTTTATAAGAACTCAAAAATACAGGCAACACAAGCAAAATGAGACAAGTGGGATGACATTAAACTAAAAACCTTCTATATGATAAAAAAATCAACAGAGTAAAGTGACAACTCACAAAATGGAAGAAAATATTTGCAAACTATGGATCTCAGAAGGGGTTAATATACAGAATATATGAGGAACTCAACACAATAGCAAAAAGACAATCTGATTTTAAAATGGGCAGAAGACCAGAATAGACATTTCTCAAAAGAAGGCAAAGAGCCAACATGTATATGAAAAAATGCTCAACATCACTAATCACCAAAGAAATGCAAATCAAAACCACAGTGAGATGTTAACTCACTCCAATTAGAATGGCTGTTACCAAAAAAACACAAAACAACAAATGGTGGTATGATTCTGGGAAAACAGGAACCCTTTTCTTATTTAATAGAAATGTAAATTAGTAGGGTCATTATGAAAAAAAAACAGCATGAAGATTTCTCAAAATTTTTTTTAAAAAAAGAACTACCATATGATCCAGCAATTTCACTACCAGGTATTTACCCAAAGGAAATTAAAACAGTATATTGAAGAGATATCTGCACACCCATGCTTATTGCAGCACTGTTCATAATAGCCAAGATATGGAATGACACAAGTGTCATCAGATAAATGGATAAAGAAAAATGTAATATATATACACAATGAGATACTATTCCACCATAAAAAAGAATGAGATTCTGTCATTTGTGGAAACATGGGTGAACCTGGAGGACGTATGTGAAGTGAAATAAGCTGGGCCCAGAAAGAAAAATAACATATGCTCTCACTCATTTGTGGAATCTAAAAAAGCTGATCTCACATAACTAGAGAGTAGAATAGTGATTACAAGAGAATAGAGAAGGTAAGGGAAATGGGGCTTGAGGAAACTTTTATCAATAAGTAAGAAAATTACAGTTAGATAGGAGGAATAAGTTCTGGCGTTCTATCTCACAGTAGGGTGACTATAGCTAACAATATTGTATTGTGTTTCTCAAAATAAGTAGAAGAGAGAATTTTGAATACTCTCACAAGAAAATAGTAAATGTTTTAGGTGATGGGTATGTTTAACACCCTGATTTGATCATTACACAATGTATACATGTATCAAAACATCACAATGTACCTCACAAATCTGTAAAATTATTATGTGTCAAATAGAAATAGAATAATACTTTTAAGAAAGTAAAAAGAGAATAGAGCTTCTTCCACCTAGCAGTTTAAAATATAAGTAATATATAAATATGTATGAATAATTAAAGACCAAAGATAAAGTGTTAAAAAAAATTGTGATACATTTATACTATGGAATATTATTCAGCAATAAAAGGGTATGAAGTATTGTTATAAGCAACGAGCTGGATAGATTGTCAGAGAAATACTGGGTTTAAAAAAGGCATTCCCAAAATGTTACATTCTGTTACATAAATTACTTCATTAATATGAAATAACCAAATTATAAAGATGGAGAACGGACTAGTGATTGCTAGGGGCTAAAGAGCAGGCATGAGGTTTCTGGTTTCCAGTCCAGCATACAATAAATTGGCAAGTTGCCACTCCATCTTAACAACAAGTAAAAACCTGTACAAACTGGAAAATCAACAACTCTTAGATTCGTTAAAGTGGTGTCACAGGGCAAACTGCTGACCCCAAAATTAGAGAGACTGACCGAGGAATAGAGAGAATCACAACTGGAAGGAGCAGAAACTGCTATGGGAACTGGTGCTGAGGTAAGAAAGCATGAGCTGCAATTGATGAATTGCTGGAGGCTCAGTGTGAAAAATCCTGAGAGATTAAAAACTCCAGAGGGAACCAGTCATGACCAGTGAGGGGTCCCCAAACTTCGGTGAGTTTTACTTTCTAAACCTCTACAAGGTTCTCATGGCAATATCAGAGAAAAATCTCCTCATGTCCAGGAGGGAGACAAGAAAATGAACCATTTAAAAATATGCCAAAGCATTCTGTTCTTCTTAACAAAGTCTGCCTTCCGGAGAAACTATTTTACTACAGCCTAACCTGCTGGGGTTTTGTCAGAGCCTAAGTGACCTGGGAAAAAGGAAATACCAAATTACAGCCCACTCTAGCTATCCTCTGTCATCTAAGGCAGGGCCGGGGGTGGGGTTAAGAATCACAGGTGAAGTTCACAGTCCCCAAGCACAAGCTCACTAAAAGACGGAGACCTAATCAGAGGACTACACAACAATTCTCTTCTCTATGCACCTTTCCACATTGCAAATGGCCTATTCAGAGCAGTTCCTTTTACCCAATAAATTGGGTCTGGCTATTAAAAAAAAATCACAAGACATACTAAAGAGTAAAAACAGTTTGAAGAGACAGAGAAAGCATCAAAAGCAGACTCAGATATGACTATGGCAGAGATGTTGGAATTAACATACAGAAAATTTACAACTTTGATTAAGATGCTAAGGGCTATCATGGATAAACTAGACTGCAGGCAAGAACAGAGAGATGGAAATTCTAAGGTAAGCAGAGAGATGGAAATTCTAAGAAATAATAAAAAAGAAATGTTAGAGATCAAAAACACTGTAAGAGGAATGTGGAATACCTTTTATGGGCTTAATGGTAGACTGAATGTGGCTGAGGAGGATCTCCAAGTTTTAGGATATCTCAATAGAAGTCTCCCCAAGTGAAAAGCAAAGAGAAAAACAACTAAATTAAAAGAACAGAATATCCAGGAAGTACAAAAGGTGCAACATATATGTAATGGAAATGTGAGAAGGATTAAAAAAGAGAGAGAAAAAAAATGAACAGAAGAAATACTTGGAAAAATGACTGAGAATTTCCCCTGAATTAATGTAAAACACCAAACCACAGATTCAGGAAGCTCAGAGAATACCAAACAAAATGAATGCCAGAAAAACAATACTTCAGCTCATCATTTTCAAACTACAGAAAGTCAAAAATAAAAAAATTCTGAAAGTAACTATGGCAGTCAAAAACAAATGACCTATAGAGAAGCAAAGATTAGAATTATATGACTTGTTAAAAAAAACATGTAAGCAAGAAGACAGTAGAGTGAAAAATTTTAAGTAATCAGAGAAAAAACAATAACCTAGAATTCTATACCCTGGAAAATTATCCTTCAAAAGTAAAGAAATAAGAACTTTTTCAGAAAAACACAATTTGAGTGAATTTGTTGCCAGTATACCTGCCTGGAGAGAAATGTTAAAAGAAATTCTTTAGGGAGATATACCTAATGCTAGATGACAAGTTAGTGGGTGCAGCGCACCAGCATGGCACATGTATACGTATGTAACTAACCTGCACATTGTGCACATGTACCCTAAAACTTAAAGTATAATAATAATAAATAAAATAAAATAAAATAAAGAAAGAAATTCTTTTGGGAAAAGGAAAATTGTCTAAGTCAGAGACTAGGATTTACAAAAAGAAAGGAAAAATATCACAGAAGGTAAAATAAAAACTTTTCTTTTTCTTATTTTTAATTGATCTAACAAATAACAGTTTCTTCAAAATAACAGCAACAATAGATTATATATGCACATGTAAATATATATATGTGTTTAAATGTAAGTGAAATGAATGATTGCAACAACACAAGGAATGGAAGGAAAAATTGAGATTGTGTTGTTATTATAACATACTCACATTACCTGTGCAGCAGTATAGTGTCATTTATTTATTTATTTTCTTTCAATACGTTTTTGGTGAATAGGTGGTGTTTGGTTATCTAGTGGTAATTTCTGAGATTTTGGTGCACTCATTGCTCGAGCAGTGTACACTGTACCCAATGTGTAGTCTTTTATCCCTTACCCCCTCCCACTCTTTCCCTCAAGTTTCCAAAGTCCATTGTATAATTCTTATGCCTTTGCATCCTCGTAGCTTAGCTCCCACTTATGAGTGAAAATATATGATGTTTGGTTTTCTATTCCTGAGTTACTTCACTTAGAATAATGATCCCCAATTTCATCCAGGTTGCTGTACATGCCATTATTTTGTTGCTTTTTATGGCTGAGTGGTATTCCATGGTGTGTGTGTATATATATATAAATATATATCTCACAGTTTTTCATCCAATCATTGATTGATGGGCATTTGGGCTGGTTCCATATTTTTGCAATCACAAATTGTGCTGCTATAAACATGCGTGTGCAAGTGTGTTTTTCATTTAACGATTTTTTTTTTCTTATGGATAGATACCCAGTAGTGGGATTGCTGGATCAAATGGTAGTTCTACTTTTAGTTTTTTAAGCAATCTCCACATTGTTTTCCATAATGGTTGTTTTCCATAATGGTTGTTTCCATAATGGTTGTTTCCATAATGGTTTTCCATAATGGTTGTACACTAATGCTTTCCATAATGGTTGTACTCCACATTGTTTTCCATAATGGTTGTACTGATGGGAATGTACTAGTTTACATTCCCATCAGCATTGTAAAAGTGTTCCATTTTCACCACATCCGTGCCAACATGTAAAGTTTCGCCCTTGTTGCCCAGGCTGAAGTGCAATGGCACGATCTCAGCTCACTGCAACCTCCACATCCCGGGTTCACATGATTCTCCTGCCTCAGCATCCCAAGTAGCTGGGATCACAGGCATGTGCCACCATGTCCAGATAATCCTGTATTTTTTTTTATTATACTTTAAGTTCTGGGATACAAGTGCAGAATGTGCAGGTTTGTTACATAGGTAAACACATGCCATGGTGGTTTGCTGCACCCATCAACCCATCATATTAGGTATTTCTCCTAATGCTATCCTTCCCTAGTCCCCCACCCCCCCGACAGGCCCTGGTGTGTGATGTTCTCCTACCTGTGTCCATGTGTTCTCATTGTTCAACTCTTACTTACGAGTGAGAACATGAGATGTTTGGTTTTCAGTTCCTGTGTTAGTTTGCTGAGAATGATGGTTTCCAGCTTCATCCATGTCTCTGCAAAAGACATGAACTCATCCTTTTCTATGGCCACATAGTATTCCATGATGTATATGTGCCATATTTTTTTATCCAGTCTATCACTGATGGGCATTTGGGTTGGTTCCAAGTCTTTGCTATTGTAAACAGTGCTACAATAAACATATGTGTGCAAGTGTCTTTATAGTAGAATGATTTATAATCCTTTGGGTGTGTACCCAGTAATGGGATTGCTGGGTCAAATGGTATTTCTGGTTCTAGATCCTTGAGGAATAGCCACACTGTCTTCCACAATAGTTGAACTAATTTACACTCTCACCAACAGTGTAACAGCATTCCTTTCTCTCCACATCCTCTTCAGCATCTGTTGTTTCCTGACTTTTTGATGATTGCCATTCTAATTGGCATGAGATGGTATCTCATTGTGGTTTTGATTTGCATACCTCTAATGACCAGTGATGATGAGCTTTTCTTCATATGTTTGTTGGCTGCATAAATGTCTTCTTTTGAGAAGTGTCTGTTCATATACTTTGCCCACTTTTTGATGGGGTTGCTTTTTTCTTGTAAATTTAAGTTCCTTGTAGATTCTGGATATTAGTTTAAGTTCCTTGTAGATTCTGGATATTAGCCCTTTGTCAGATGGATAGATTGCAAAAATTTTCTCCCATTCTGTAGGTTTTCTTTTCACTCTGATGATAGATTCTTTTGCTGTACCAAAGCTCTTTAGTTTAATTAGATCCCATTTGTCAATTTTGGCTTTTGTTGCCATTTCTTTTGGTGTTTTAGTCATGAAGTCTTTGCCCATGCCTACGTCCTGAATGGTATTGCCTAGGTTTTCTACTGGGGTTTTTATGGTTTTAGATCTCATGTTTAAATCTTTAATCCATCTTGCGTTAATTTTTGTATAAGGTATAAAGAAGGGATCCAGTTTCAGTTTTCTGCATATGGCTAGCCAGTATCCCCCACACCATTTATTAAATAGGGAACCCTTTCCCCGTTGCTTGTTTTTGTTAGGTTTGTCAAAGATCAGATGGTTGTTGATGTGTGGTGTTATTTCTGAGGCCTCTGTTCTGTTCCAGTGGTCTATATATCTGTTTGGTACCAGTACCATGCTGTTTTGGTTACCGTAGCCTTGTAGTATAGTTTAAAGTCAGGTAGCATTAAGCCTCCAGCTTTGTACTTTTTGCTTTGTTTTTGCTTATGATTGTCTTGACTATACAGGCTCTTTTTTGGTTCCATATGAAATTTAAAGTAGTTTTTTATAATTCTGTGAAGAATGTCAATGGTAACTTGATGGGGACAGCATTGAATCTATAAATTACTTTGGGTGGTATGGCCATTTTCACAATATTGATTCTTCCTATCCATGAGCATGGAATGTTTATCCACTTGTTTTTGTCCTCTCTTATTTCCTTGAGCAGTGGTTTGTAGTTCTCCTTGAAGAGGTCCTTCACATCCCTTGTAAGTTGTATTCCTAGGTATTTCATTCTCTTTGTAGCAATTGTAAATGGGAGTTCACTCATGATTTGGCTCTCTGTTTGTCTACTATTGGTGTATAGGCATGCTTGTGGTTTTTGCACTTGATTTTGCATCCTGAGACTTTGCTGAAGTTGCTTATCAGCTTAAGGAGATTTTGGGCTGAGATGATGGGGTTTTCTAAATATACGATCATGTCATCTGCAAACAGGGACAATTTGACTTCCTCTCTTCCTATTTGAATACACTTTATTTCTTTCTCTTGCCTGATTGCCCTGGCCAGAACTTCCAATAGTATGTTGAATAGGAGTGGTGAGAGAAGGAATCCTTGTCTTATGCCAGTTTTCAAAGGGAGTGCTTCCAGCTTTTGCCTATTCAGTATGATATTGGCTGTGGGTTTGTCATATATAGCTCTTATTATTTTGAGATACATTCCATCAATACCTAGTTTATTGAGAGTTTTTAGCATGAAGGGTTCTTGAATTTTATTGAAGGCTGCTTCTGCATATATTGAGATAATCATGTGGTTTTTATTATTGGTTCTGTTTATATGATGGATTACATTTATTGATTTGCATTTGTTGAACCAGCCTTGCATCCCAGGGATGGAGCCAATTTGATCATGGTGGATAAGCTTTTTGATGTGCTGCTGGATTTGCTTTGCCGGTATTTTACTGAGGATTTTCGCATCCATGCACGTTCATTAGAGATATTGGCTTGAAATTTTTTGTTGTTGTTGTGTCTCTGCCAGGTTTTGGTTTCAGGATGATGCTGGACTCATAAAATGAGTTAGGGAGGAGTCCCTCTTTTACTGTTGTTTGGAATAGTTTCACAAGGAATGGTACCAGCTCCTCCTTGTACCTCTGGTAGAATTTGGCTGTGAATCCATCTGGTCCTGAGCTTTTTGTGATGGGTGGGCTATTAATTACCACCTAATTTTCAGACCTTGTTACTGGTCTACTCAGGAATTTGACTTCTTCCTGGTTTAGTCTTCGGAGGGTGTATGTGTCCAGGAATTCATCCATTTCTTCAAGGTTTTCTAGTTTATTTGCGTAGAGATTTTTATAGGATTCTCTGACGGTGGTTTGTATTTCTGTGGGATCAGTGGTGATATCCCCTTTATCATTTTTAATTGTGTCTATTTGATTCTTCTCTCTTTTCTTCTCCAATAGTGTGGCTAGCAGTCTATCTATTTTGTTAATCTTTTCAAAAAACCAGCTCCTGGATTCATTGATTTTTGTGAAGGGTTATTCATGTCTCTATGTCCTTCAGTTCTGCTCTGATCTTAGTTATTTCATGTCTTCTGCTAGCTTTTGAATTTATTTGCTCTTGCTTTTCTAGTTCTTTTAATTATGATGTTAGGGTGTTGATTTTAGATCTTTCCCACTTTCCCCTGTGGGCATTTAGTGCTATAAATTTTTCTCTAAACACTGCTTTAGCTGTGTCCCAGAGATTCTGGTACATTGTGTCTTTGTTCTCATTGGTTTTAAAGAACTTACTTATTTCTCCCTTAATTTCATTATTTACCCAGTAGTCATTCAGGAGCAGGTTGTTCAGTTTCCATGCACTTGTATGGTTTTGAGTGAGTTTCTTAACCCTGAGTTCTAATTTGACTGTGCTGTGGTCTAAGAGGCTGTTTGTTATGATTTCCATTCTTTTGCATTTGCTGAGGAGTGTTTTACTTCCAATTATGTTGTCGATTTTAGAGTAAGTGCTGTCTGGTGCTAAGAAGAATGTGTATTCTGTTGATTTGGGGTAGAGTAGATGTCTACCAGGTCCACTTGGTCCAGAGCTGAGTTCAAGTCCTGAATATCCTTGTTAATTTTCTATCTCGTTGATCTGTCTAATGTTGACAGTGGGATGTTAAAGTCTCCTACTATTATTGTGTGGGAGTCTAAGCCTCTTTGTAGGTCTCTAAGAGCTTGCTTTATGAATCTCGGTGCTCCTGTATTGGGTGCATATATATTTAGCATAGTTAGCTCTTCTTGTTGCATTGATCCCTTTACCATTATGTAATGGCCTTCTTTGTCTCTTTTGATCTTTGTTGGTATAAAGTCTGTTTTATCAGCAACTAGGATTGCAACCCTTGCTTTTTTTTTGCTTTCCATTTTCTTGGTAAATCTTCCTCCATCCCTTTATTTTGAGCCTATGTGTGTCTTTGCAAATGAGATGGGTCTCCTGAATACAGCACACCGACGGGTCTTGACTCTTTATCCAATTTGCCAGCCTGTGTCTTTTCATTGGGGAATTTAGCCCATGTACATTTAAGGTTAATATTGTTAGGTGTGAATTTGATCCTGTCATTATGATGCCAGCTGGTTATTTTGCCCATTAGTTGATGCAGTTTCTTCTTAGTGTCGATGGTCTTTACATTTTGGTATGTTTTTGCAGTGGCTGATATTGGTTTTTCCTTTCCATATTTAGTGCTTCCTTCAGAAGCTGTTGTAAGGCAGTCCTGATGGGGACAAAATCTCTCAGCATTTGGTGGTCTGTATTTCTCCTTCACTTACGAAGGAGAAGGATTGTATTTCTCCTTTGCTTATGAAGCTTAGTTTGGCTGGGTATGAAATTCTGGGTTGAAAATTCTTTTCTTTAAGACTGTTGAATATTGGCCCCCCAGTCTCTTCTGGCTTGTAGGGTTTCTGCAGAGATATTTGCTGTTAGTCTGATGGGCTTCCCTTTGTGGGTAACCCAGCCTTTCTCTCTGGCTGCCCTTAACATTTTTTCCATCATTTCAACCTTGGTGAATCTGATGATTGTATGTCTTGGGGTTGCTCTTCTCGAGGAGTATCTTTTTGGTGTTCTCGGTATTTCCTGAATTTGAATGTTGGCCTGCCTTGCTAGGTTGTGGAAGTTCTGCTGGATCAAATCCTGAAGACTGTTTTCCAACTTGGTTCCATTCTCCCCCTCACTTTCAGGTACACTAATCAAATGTAGGTTTGGTCTTTTCACATAGTTCCATATTTCTTGGAGGCTTTGTTCGTTCCTTTTCATTCTTCTTTTTTTCTAATCTTGTCTTCATGCTTTATTTTATTAAGTTGATCTTCAATCACAGACATCCTTTCTTCCTGTTGATCAATTCAGCTATTGATACTTACGTATGCTTCATGAAGTTTTCATGCTGTGTTTTTCAGCTCCATCAGGTCATTTATGTTCTTCTCTAAACTGGTTATTCTAGTTAGCCATTTTTCTAACCTTTTTTTAAAGGTTCTTAGCTTCCTTGAATTGAATTAGAACATGCTCCTTTAGCTCAGAGGAATTTGTTATTACCTACCTTCTGAAGCCTACTTCTGTCAATTTGTCAAACTCATTCTCCATCCAGTTTTGTTTCCAACTGGCAAGGAGTTGTGATCCTTTGGAGGAGAAGAGGCATCCTAGTTTTTGGCATTTTCAGCCTTTTTGCGCTGGTTTTTCCTCATCTCCATGGATTTATCTACCTTTGTTCTTTGATGTTGGTAACCTTCAGATGGAGTTTTGTGTGGACATCCTTTTTTTGATGTTGATGCTATTGCTTTCTGTTTGTTAGTTTTCCTTCTAACAGTCAGGCCTCTCTGCTACAGGTCTGCTGGAGTTTGCTGGAGGTCCACTCCAGACCCTGTTTACCTAGGTGTCACCAGCAGAGGCTGCAGAACAGCAAAGATGGCTGCCTGTTCCTTCCTCTGGAAGCTTTGTCCCAGAGGGGCACCCGCCAGATGTCAGCCAGAGCTCTCCTGTATGAGGTGTCTGTCGACCTCTGCTGTGAGGTTTCTCCCAGTCAGGAGGCACAGGGGTCAGGGACCCACTTGAAGAGGCAGTCTGTCCCTTAGCAGAGCTCAAGAGCTGTGTTGGGAGATCCACTGCTCTCTTCAGAGCCAGCAGGCAGGAACGTTGAAGTCTGCTGAAGCTGCGCACACAGCTGCCCCTTCCCCCAGGTGTTCTGTCCCAAGGAGATGGAAGTTTTATCTATAAGCCCCTGACTGGGGCTGCTGCCTTTCTTTCAGAGATGCCCTGCCCAGAAAGAAGAATCTGGAGAGGCAGTCTGGCTACAGTGACTTTCCAGAGCTGCAGTGGGCTCCACCCAGTTCAAACTTCCCAGCAGCTTTGTTTACACTGTGAGGGGAAAACCACCTACTCAAGCCTCAGTAATAGCAGCTGCCCCTCCCTCCACCAAGCTCGAGCATCCCAGGTCAACTGCAAGCTGCTGTGCTGGCAGTGAAAATTTCTATCCAGTGGATCTTAGCTTGCTGGGTTCCATGGGGGTGGGATCCACTGAGCTAGACCACTTGGCTCCCTAGCTTCAGCCCCCTTTCCAGGGGACTGAATGGTTCTGTCTCATTGGCATTCCAGGTGCCACTGGGGTATGAAAAATAACTCATGCAGCTAGCTGGGTGTCTGCCCAAACAGCCGCCCAGTTTTGTGCTTGAAGCCCAGGGCCCTGGTGGTACAGGCACCTGAGGGAATCTCCTGGTCTGTGAGTTGAAAGGACCACAGGAAAAGAATAGTCTCTGGGCCAGAATGCACTGTTCCTAATGGCATAGTCCCTCACAGCTTCCCTTGGCTAGGGGAGGGAGTTCCCCAACCCCTTACACTTCCCAGGTGAGGTGATGCCACACCCTGCTTTGGCTCACCCTCTGTGGGCTGCACCCACTGTCTAACCACTCCCAATGAGATGAGCCTGGTACCTCACTTGAAATGCAGAAATCACCCACCTTCTGTTTTGATCTCGCTGGGAGCTGCAGACTGGAGCTCTTCCTATTCAGCCATCTTCCCAGCCACTAATTTTGCATTTTTAGTAGAGATGGTGTTTCACTTTGTTGGTCAGGCTGGTCTCAAACTCCTGACCTCAGGTGATCCACTTACCTTGGCCTTCCAAAGTGCTAAGATTACTGGCATGAGCCACTGCGCCTGGCCTATTTTTTGATCATGGCCATTCTTGCAAGAGTAAGATGGTACCACATTGTGATTTTGATTTGCATGTCCCTGGTCATTAGTGATGTTGAGCATTTCTTCATATGTTTGTTAGCCATTTGTATATCTTCTTCTGAGAATTGTCTATACATGTCCTTAGCTCACTTCTTGATGGGATTGTTTGTTTTTATCTTGCTGATTTCTTTGAGTTCCTTGTAGATTCTGGATATTAGTCCTTCGTTGGATGTAGAGATTGCCAAGATATTCTCCCAGTCTGTGAGTTGTCTGTTTACTCTGCTGATTGGTCCTTTTGCTGTACAGAAGTTTTCAGTTTTATTAAGTCCCATCTATTTATCTTTTGGTTGCATTTGCTTTTGTGTTCTTGGTCATCAACTCCTTGCCTAAGCCAATGTCTAGAAGGGTTTTTCTGATGTCATTTTCTAGAATTTTTATGGTTTCAGGTCTTAGATTTAAGTCTTTGATCCATCTTGGGTTGATTTTTGTATAAGGTGAGAGATGATCCAGTTTCATTCTTCTACATGTGGCTTGCCAATTATCCCAGCACCATATGTTGAATAGAATGTCCTATCCCCACTTTATGTTTTTGTTTGCTTTGTCAAAGATCAGTTAGCTATAAGTATTTGGCTTTATATCTGGGTTCTCTATTCTGTTCCATTGGTCTACGTGCTTATTTTTACACCAATATCATGCTGTTTTGGTGACTATGGCCTTATGGTATAGTTTGAGGTTGGGTAATGTGACGCCTCCAGATTTCTTTCTTTCTTTTTTTTTTTTTTTTTTTTTTTTTTGCTCTGTCTTGCTTTGGCTATGCAGGCTCTTTTTGGGTTTCATATGAATTTTAGGATTTTTTTTCTAGTTCTCTGAAGAATGATGATAGTATTTTGGTAGAAATAGCATTGAATTTGTAGATAGCTTTTGGCAGTATGATTATTTTTACAATATTGATTCTACGCATCCATTAGCATGGGATGTGTTTCCATTTGTTTGTGACATCTATGATTTCTTTCAGCAGTGTTTTGTAGTTTACTTTGTAGAGATCTTTCACCTCCTTTGTTAGGTATATTCCTAAGTATTTTTTTTTTTTTTTGCAGATGTTGTAAAAGGGATTGAGTTCTTGATTTGATTCTCAGCTTGGTCATTGTTCGTGTATAGCAGAGCTACTAATTTGTGGACATTAATTTTGTATCCTGAAACTTTGCTGAATTCATTTATTTCTAGGAGCTTTATGGAGAAATCTTTAGGATTTTTTAGGTATACAATCATATCATCAGCAAACAGTGACAGTTTGACTTCCTCTCTACCAATTTGGATGCTCTTTATTCTTTCTCTTGTCTGATGGCTCTGGCTAGGACTTCCAGTACTATTATGAAGACAAGTGGTAGAAATGGGCATCCTCATCTTGTTCCAGTTCTCAGGGGGAATGCTTTCAACTTATCCCCATTCAGTATTATGTTGGCTGTGGGTTTGTCATAGATGGTTTTTACTACCTTGACATAGAAGGTATGTTTCTTCTATGTCAATTTTGCTAAGCGTTTTAACTATAAAGGGATGCTGGATTTAATCATAAAGGGATGCTGGGTTTTAATCATAAAGGGATGCTAGATGCATTTATTGAGATGATCATGTGATTTTGTTTTTAATTCTGTTTATGTGGTGTATTCCATTTACTGATTTCGTATGTTGAACCATTTCTTAATACCTGATAGGAAACCCACTTGATCATAGTTGATTATCCTTTTGATATGCTATTGGATTCAGGGTTTTTGTTTTTGTATTTTGTTGAAGATTTTGGTGTCTATATTTATCAGGGATATTGTTCTCTTTTTTTCTTTTTTTGTTATATCCTTTTTTGGTTTTGGTATCAGGGCGATACTGGCTTCATAGAATGACTTAGAAAGGATTCCCTCTTTCTCTATCTTTTGGAATAGTGTCAATAGGATTGCTACCAACTCTTCTTTGAATGTCTGATAGAATTCAGCTGTGAATTCATCTGGTCCTGGACTGTTTTTTGTTGCTGGCAATTTTATATTACCACTTCAATCTCGCCGTTTGTTATTGGTCTGTCTAAGGCAGGGAAATGGGGCCTGGAGACAGGGAACATAAGGCCAATCCACAATGAATTCCTAGAACTAAATCAAATGAAAGCACTTCAGCAATGACAGGAATATGAATGGCTTTGTAACTTCACTTCATCCTCTCCATTCATGCCATTTACACTTTGTAACTTCACATTCATCCTCTCCGTTTACATAGATCACACACACCAAATAACATCCTCTCAATTTATAATAGGACACATTCTGAGTAAATGATCTGTGACTTCACTTCATTCTCTTTGTTTATACAGAATATACACCAAGTAACCAATGGGAAATGTCTAGAGTATTGAAACCCCAGAAAATTCTGTAAGTGGGGCTCTTGAGCCCCCCTACACTCAGGTCACTCCCACACTGTGGAGTGTACTTTCATTCTCAATAAATCCCTGCTTTTGCTTTCCTCGTTTTTTTTCTGCATTTTGACCAATTCTTCATTGAGATGCCAAGAACCTGGACACCTTCTACCAGTAACATGTTCAGAGTTTCTATTTATTCTTGGTTTAATCTAGGATGGTTGTATATTTCCAGTAATTTATCCATCATTTCTAGGTTTTCTAGTTTATGCACCTAAATGCATTCATAGTAGCCTTGAATGATCTCTTGTATTTCTGTAGTATCAGTCGTAATATCTCCTGTTTTCTTTCTAATTGAGCTCATTTGGATCTTCTCTCTTCTTGGTTAATCTCACTAATGGTCTATCAATTTTATTTATCTTTTCAAAGAACCAGCTTTTTGTTAAATTTATCTTTCGTATTTTTTTTTGTTTCTGTTTCATTTAGTTCTGCTCTGATCATTGTTATTTCTTTTCTTCTGTTGGGTTTGGGTTTGGTTTATTCTTGTTTCTCTAGTTTCTTGAGGTGTGTCCTTAGATTGTCTATTTGTACTCTTTCAGACTTTTTGATGTAGGCATTTAAGGGTTTGAACTTTCCTCTTAGCACTGGCTTTGCTGTATTTCAGAGGTTTTGTTAAGTTCTGTCACAATTTACTTTCAGTTCAAATAATTTTTTAATTTCCATCTTAATTTCATTGTTGAGCCAATGATCATTCAGAAGCAGGTTATTTAATTTCCATGTATTTGCATAGTTTTAAGCATTTCCTTTGGAGTTGACTTCCAATTTTATTCCTCTATGGTCTGAGAGAGTACTTGATATAATTTCAATTTTCTTAAATTTGTTGAGACTTGTTTTGTAGCCTATCGTATAGTCTATCTTGAAGAATGTTGCATGTGTGGATGAATAGAATGTATACACCGCAGTTGTGGGGTAGAATGTTCTGAAACAAAAAATCCATTGTTTTGTTGTTGACTTTCTGTCTTGATGACCTGTCTACTGCCTCCAATGGAGTACTGAAGTCCCCCACTATTATTGTGTTTCTGTCTATCTTATTTCTTAAGTCTAGTAGTAATTGTTTTATAAATCTGGGAGCTCCAGTGTTAGGTACATATATATTTAGGATTGTGATATTTTCCTATTGGACAAGTCCTTTTATCATTATATAATGTCCCTCTTTGTGTTTTTTAACTGCTGTTGCTTTAAAGTTTGCTTTGTCTGATATATGAATAGCTACTCCTGCTCACTTCTGGCATCTACTTGCATGGAATATATTTTTCCACCCCTTTATCTTAAGTTAAGTGAGACATTACGTGTTAGATGAGTCTCTTGAAGGTAGCAGATACTTGGTTAGTGAATTCTTATCCGTTCTGCCATTCAGTATCTTTTAAGTTGAGCATTTAGGCCATTTACATTCAATGTTAGTATTCAGATGTGAATTACTATTCTATTCATCATGCTATTTGTTGCCTGAATACCTTGATTGTGTGTGTGTGTGTGTGTGTGTGTGTGTGTGTGTGTGTGTTTCTTTTATTGGCCCTGTGATATTTATGCTTTAAGAAGGTTCTATTTTGCTGTATTTCAAGGATTTGTGTCAAGATTTAGAGCTCCTTTTAGCAGTTCTTATAATGCTGACTTGGTTGTGGTAAATTCTCTTAGCATTTGTTTGTCTAAAAAATACTGTATCTTTCCTTCATTTATGAAGCTTAGTTTCACTGGATACAAAATTCTTGGCTGAAAATAGGAGGCTAAAGATAGGGCCCCAATCCCTTCTAGCTTGTAAGGTTTCTGCTGAGAAATTTGCTGTTAATCTGATGGGTTTTCCCTTATAGGTTACCTGGTGCCTTTACCTCCAAGCTCTTAAGATTCTTTCCTTCATCTTGACTTTAGATAACCTGATGACTATGTGCCTAGGTGATCTTTTTGTGATAAATTTCCCAGGTGTTCTCTGAGCTTCTTGTATTTTGATGTCTGGATATCTAGCAAGGTCAGGGAAGTTTTCCTCAATTATTTCCTCAAATATGTTTTCCAAACTTTTAGATTTCTCTTCTTCTTCAGGAACACCAATTATGCTTAGGTTTCATCATTTAACATATTCCCAGACTTCTTGGAGGCTTTGTTCTTTTTTTATTCTTTTTTCTTCAACTTTGTTGGATTGGGTTAATTTGAAAACCTTGTCTTTGAGCTCTGAAGTTCTTTCTTCTGCTTTTTCGATTCTATAAGTGAGACTTTCCAGTGTATTTTGCATTTCTCTAAGTGTGTCCTTCATTTCCAGAAGTTGTGATTGTTTTTATTTATTCTATTTATTTCACCGAAGATTTTTCCCTTCAGATCTTGTATCTTTTTTATTTCTTCTATTTATTTCACCAAAGATTTTTCCCTTCATATCTTGTATCTTTTTTTTATTTCATTAAATTGGACCACACCTTTCTCTGATGCTGCCTTGATTAGCTTAATAATTGACTTTCTGAATTCTTTTTCTCGCATTTAGGGATTTCTTCTTGGTTTGGATCCATTGCTGCTGACCTACTGTAATCTCTTGGGAGTGTTAAAGAACCTTGCTTTGTAATATTACCAGAATTTCTCTTCTTGTTCCTTCTCATTTGAACAGACTATTTCAGAAGGAAGATCTGGGGCTCAAGGCTGCTGTTCAGATTCTTTTGTCCCACGTGGTGCTCCCTTGATGTAGTTCTCTCTTCCTTCCCCTAGGGATGGGGCTTCCTGAGAGCCAAACTGCAGTGATTGTTATTTTTCTTCTGGATTTAGCCACCAAGCAGAGCTACTGGGCTCCAGGCTGGTACTGGGGAGTGTCTGCACAGAGTCCTGTGATGTGCACTGTCTTCAGATCTCTCAGCCACGGATACCAGCACCTGCTCCAGTGGAGGTGGTAGGGGACTGAAATGGAATCTGTGAAGGTCCTTAGTTGTAATTTTGTTTATTGCACTAGTTTTGCATTGGTTGGCCTCCAGCCAGGAGGTGGTGCTTTCAAGAGAGCATCAGCTGCTGTGATATAGGGAGAATCGGGTGATGGGCAGAGACCTAGAGCTCTGATGAGATTGTGTCCCTTGTTTTTGGCTACCATGGGAGATAGAGAAGGACCCTCAGGTCGAGGCAGGGTTATGAATATCTGAGCTCACTCTACTTGGGTGGAGCTTGTTGCAGCTGCTGTGGGGGATGTGGGTGTGTTCCTCAGGCCAATGTTATGTTCCCAGGGGGATTATGGCTGCCTTTGCTGTGTCATGCAGGTTGACAGGGAAATAGGGGGAGCCAGCAGTTACCAGCCTCATCTAGCTCCCACACAGCCCAAGAGGCTGGTCTCATTCCCACCATGCCCCACCAACAGCACCAAGTTTATGTCCAGGCAGCTAGTGAGCAGGGCTGAGAACTTGCCCCAGGCTACCAGCCTCCCAGCTGAGAAAGCAAGCAGGGCTGTCAGGTTTCAGGCCTCCCCTCCTGCCATGGCTTCTGTGCTATGTCTGCTCTCTTGATTCACCCTTTCCCCCAGTTTCTATCCAGGAAACTTCACATTCAATCAAAACTGTTACAAAGTTCAGCTGGAAGTTTCTCTCTGTGGTCTATTCCTAGTTCTTCTGGCAGCCCTCCCCAGTGACCTCTGTGAGACAAAGTCAGAAATGGCTTCCCTGGGGATGGCTCTTCCTGCTGCTTCTTCTACCCCTGTATTTCACTCGGCTCTCTAAAATTGTCTCAGCTCCAGGTAAGGTCAAATCCTTTTCTTGTGATCTGGATCTTCAGGTTCCCCAGTGAAGGTGTGAGCTCGGGGGTAGATAATCCCCCTTTCACTTTGAGAACTCACAGTTTTCGGGCTGTCTCCCAAGGCCTGCAGGAGCAACCTGCTTCCTTCAAAGGTCTGTGGATTCTCTCAGCTTTCCTGGTATGTTCCTGGGATAGTTCTTGGAAAAAAAGTTTACGATATGAGTCTCCACACATTGCTCTGTCCATCCAAGTGGGAGCTACAAGTTAGCCCTGCCTCCTGTCTGCCATTTTCCTTCTGTTTAGTATAGTGTTATTTAAAAGTGAACTTGGATTAGTTGTAAACAGATATTGTAAATTCTAGGGCAATCATTAAAAAAATGAAAAGAGAACTACACTGACATGCTAAAAAGAAAAAAATATTGGAATCATGTAAGATGCTCAATTAACCCTTTTCTTGTTTAGGAAAAAAAATGTGCAGCTCACTGCCAGCTCTCACTTTATTTTATATAAACATGCTCTTTGAGGCTGAAGCAAATATGACTGATTTTCAATGTGAAAATAAATTATAAAAACTGTTCTTGGAGTTATTTCTAAACAGAACTTACATCACATTGTCTAAATTATCAGAATCATCTATCTCAGAAAAATAACATTTGTCAAATGAATCTTTGGCCAATAATTGTTCAAGAACAATATTAACATCATGCATAGGAATGCTACATTTTCTAGAATCTGACATTGTCAACAATAGAGAATTACTATATTTTGTAAATGGAAATACCACTACTAAAACCAAAATGCTATAAATAGAATAATGTATTTTGTTTCCAAAGTTGATATACTACAGTGATGCAAAAATAATAATAAAAGTGAGATATTTCAAGGCAAGGTATCAGGTTAAATACTGCAGCCACAAGCACCACCAACAAGTATTCTCAGGGCAAATGGGAAAACGGTTAAAACCACAAAAGACGGGAAGACAGTGAAAGACAAAAATAAGAGTAAAGTAAGACACCAAATAGAAAACAGTAACAAATATGTTAGATATTAATCCAACTATATCAGTAATCACTTTGAACATCCATGGTCTAAATGCACCAATCAAAAGACAGAGATTGTCAGAGTGGATCAAAAAACAAGACCAAATTATATGTTGTCTACAAGAAACTCACTTGAAATATAAAGAAACATACAGATTAAAAGTAAATGGATGGCTGGGCACAGGGGCTCATGCCTGTAATCCCAACACTTTGGGAGGCTGAGACAGGAGAATTGCTTGAGCACAGGAATTTGAAAACAGCCTGGGAAACATGGCAAGACCTAGCCTCTACAAAAAATTAGCTGGGTGTGCTAGTGTGTGCCCGTGGTCCCAACTACTCTAAAGCCAGAGGCAGGAGGATCACTTGAACTCAGGAATTCAAGGCTGCAGTGATTGTTCTACTGTACTCCAGCTTGCATGACAGAGTAAGATGCTGTCTCAAAACAAAAAGAGAAAGAAAAAGTAAATAAATGAAGAAATACATACCATGCTAACACTAATCAGAAGAAAGCTATATTAATTTCAGACAGTGAACTTCAGAGCAAGGAAAATTATCAGGAATAAAAAGGGGCACTGCATAATGGTAAAGGGCCAATTATCCAAGAAGACACAACAATTCTTAACATGTATGACCTAACAACAGAACATCAAAATATGTGAGGCAAAACTGATAGAACTGCAAGAATAAAGAGATGAATCCATTATTATTAGAGATTTTAACACACCTGTATCAGGAATGGTCAGGATCAGGCACAGTGGCTCACACCTGTAATCCCAGCACTTTGGGGGGTCAAGGTGAGAAGACTGCTTGAGCCCAGGAGTTTGAGACCAGCTTAGGCAATATGGCAAGACCCCATCTCAACAAAAAATTTAAAACTTAGGTAGGCATGGTGGTGTGCACCTACAATCCCAGCTACTCAGTGGGCTGAGGTGGTGAGCTGTGATTGCACCACTGTACTCCAGTCTGGGTGACAGAGCAAGACCTTGTCACAAAAAAATTTAAAAAGGAAGTTGGGCGTGGTGGCTCATGCCTGTAGTCCCAGTACTTTGGGGGACTGAGGTGGGCAGATCACGAGGTCAGGAGTTCGAGACCAGCCTGGCCAACATGGTGAAACCCTATTTCTATTAAAAATACAAAAATTAGCCAGGCATGGTGGCACACACCTGTAATCTCAGCTATTCAGGAGGCTGAGGCAGGAGAATTGCTTGAACCTGAGAGGCGGAGATTGCAGTGAGCTGAGATCACACCACTGCACTCCAACCTGGACAACAGAGCAACACTCTGTATTGGGAAAAAAAAAAAAAACAGATTCAGCTGGTGAAAAATTAGTAAGGACATAGTTGAATTCAGCTACACCATCAGTCAGTAGGATATAATGGATATCTATAGACTATTTCATCCAACAACATCAGCAGCACATTCTTCCAAGTTCATATGGAACACTCATCAAGACAGACTATATTCTAGGTCATAAAGCACACTTTAACAAATTTAAAAAAATAAAAATTATGCAATGCCTGCCCTTTGACCACAATGGAATTGAATAAGAAATCAATAACAGAAAGGTATTTTAGAATGTAAAATACTAAATACTAAAATACTTGGAGATTAAATAACACACTTCTAAATAACACATGGGTCAAAGAAGAGATCTCAAGAGAAATTTAAAAATATTTTAACCAAATGAAAGCGAAAACATTTATCAAAATTTCTGAGATGTTGCAAAAGCAGTGCTTACAGAGAATTTATAGCATTGATTGCATATACAAAGAAGAGTAAAGATCTAAAATTAATCATTTAAGCTTCCACCTTAGGAAAGTACAAAGAAAGGTCAAATTAAATCTAAAGTAAGAGGAAGAAAAGAAATAATGAAAATTAGAGCATAAATCAATACAATTGAAAACAGGATTCCAATAGAAAAGAATCAACCAAACCAAAAGCTGTTTTTTTAAGATCAATAAAATTGATAAGCCTCTAGTCAGGCTGAGGAACTAAAAGAAAGAACAAAATTATTCATATCACAAATGAAAAAGGGACTTCACTACAGATTCTGTGGAAATTAAAAAGATATGCAAGGAATACTATGCACAACTCTATGCTCACAAATTTGATGGCCTAGATGAAATGAATCAATTCCTTGAAAAACACAATCTACCAAAACTCACACAAGAAGAAATAGACAATTCAAATAGGTCTATATCTACTAAATAAATTGAATCAAAAATTAATAAGCTTTCAAAACAGAAAGTACCAGGCCCAGATGTATTCACTTGTGAATCCTCCCAAACATTTAAGGAATATCTTATACCAATTATCTACAATATCTTCCAGAAGATAGAAACAAGAGGGAATTTTCCTAACTCATTTGATAGGGCCAGTATTACCATAATATCAAAACCAGAAAGGTATTATGAGAGAAAAAAAATATCAGACCAATATCTCTCATGAAAATAGATGCAATAATCCTCAACAAAATATTAGTAAATTAAATCTAACAATGTATAAAAAGAATTATACACCATGACCAAGTGGTATTTATCCCAAGTATGCAAAGCTGTTTCAGCATTCAAAAATCAATTAATGTACTCTATCACATGAATAGGCTAAAAATGAAAAGTCACATGAACATACAACTAAATGCAAAATAAAGCATTTCACAAAATCCAATATTCATCCATGATTAAAAAAAGAAACCCTCAGTAAACTAGGAACAGAGGAGAATTTCCTCAATTGATGAGGAGTATCTACAAAAATCCACAGTCAATTTCAAACTTAATGGAGAGAAACTGGAAGCTTCCCCACTAAGATAAAAAAAACAAGGCAGGGTTGTCCCCTGTCACTACTGATTTTCAACACTATACTGGAAGTACTAGAAAATGCAATAAGACAAGAAAAGAAAGCAAAGAGTATACAGATGAGGAAAAAAGAAAACGTCCTTTGTTCACAGATGACATGATTGTCTATGCAGAATAGCCTAAAGAACCAACAACAAAAAACCCCTGGAACTATAAGTGATTATAGTAAGGTTGCAGGATATGAGGTTAATATGCAAAGTCAATCACTTTTCTACATCCCAGCAATGAACAAGTGTGATTTAAAATTTAAAACATAATATCATTTACATTAGCACCCCCAAAATTGAAATACTTAGGTATAAATCTAACAAAATATAAACAATGTCTATATGAGGGAAACTATAAATCTCTGCTGAATTAAAGTAAACAAGAACTAAATAAATGGAAATATATTTCATGTTCATGGATAGGAAGACCCCATATTGTTGTATTAGTAAATTCAGACTACTATAACAAATTATCATAGACTGGGTGGCTAAAAAAAACATATAATGCTCACAGTTCTGGAGGCTGGGAAGTCCAAGATCAAGGTGTCAGCAGACTCAGTGTCTGATGAGAGCCCACTTTCTGGTTTGCAGATTGATGTCTTCTGGTTGTGTCCTTATATGCTGGAGAGCAGAGACAGGAAGCAATCATTCATGTCTTTTCTCATAAGGGCACTAATCCCACTTCTGAAGGCTCTACCCTAAGACCTAATTACCTCCCAAAGTCTCCACCTTCTAAAACTACCGCATTGGGGTTAGGATTTCAACATATGAATTCTGGGGGCACACAACCAAACCAAAAAAATTATCAAGATGTCTGTTCTTCCCAGCTTGATCTATAAATTCAATGCAATTCCAATCAAAATCCCAGTAAGTTATTTTGTGAATCTTGACAAACTGATTCTAAAGTTTATATGGAGAGGCAAAAAAAAGAAAGAAAAGAAAAAACAGAATAGCCACACAATATTGAAGAACAAAGTTGAAGAACTGAAACTACCCAACCTCAAGACTTATTGTAAAAGCAACAGTAATCAAGACAGTGCGGAACTGGTGGAAGAATAGGCAAATAGATCAATGGAACAAAATAGAGAGCCCATAAATAAGTCCACATAGTCAACTGATCTTTGACAAAGGGACAAAGGAAATAAAATAAAAAATATAATCTTTTCAACAAACTGTACTGCAACAAATGGACATCCACATGCAAAAAAAATTAATCTAGACACAGAGCTTACGTCCTTCACAAAAGTTAACTCAAAATAGATCATAGACTTAAATGTAAAACACAAAACTATAAAACCCCTAGAGGATAATGTACAAGATCCTTCACTGAGGCATTATTTATAATACTGAAATATTCAAGGCAAACTGAATGAACATAAGGATTGATAAAATACTGTACAATAATGAAAATCATGTTAATAATATTGAATGACATATTTAAATGCTTAAAATATATTGTTAAATGGAAAGTATACATTATAAAAGAATATTTATAGAATGTCCAATTTTAAAAAACAAATATCTATTATTTTTACAGACCTACTATCTTTGATCTTTGTAGGAGTCATGTTAGAGATTGCAAATGATTTTTATTTTTCTGTATTATCTAAATTTAGTAAAATATTATAAACTCTAATTATTTACATAGAAAATAATTACATAGGAGAAAATCTAGACATGACTTTGAGTTACACAGTAACTTGTTAGATACAACACCAAAAGCACAATCCATGAAAGAAAGAATTGATAAGCTGGACTTCATTAAAATTAAAAATGTTATGTGAAAGACACTGTTAAGAGAATGAGAAGACAACAGATAGGGAGAAAATATTTGCTAAACAAATACCTGATAAAGAACTATGATCCCAAATATACAAAGAACTCATAAAAATCAATAATAAGAACACAAACAACCCAATTTAAAAAATGGGCCAGAGACCTTAACAAACACCTCACCAAAGAAAATATACAGATGGCAAACAAGCATGTTGAAGAGAGGATTCACATCATATGTCATCATGGAAATGCAAATTAAAGCAACAATGACATACCACTCACACCTATTAAACTGGCAAAATCCGGAACACTGACAACACCAAATGCTGATGAGGATACAAATAAACTCACTTATTGCTGGTGGGAATGCAAAATAGTACAACCACCCTGGAAGACAGTTTGGCAGTTTCTAATAAGTAAATATACTCTTACCATATGATTCAGCAATGGTTCTCCTTGGTATTACCCAAAAGAATTGAAAACTTATGTCCACACAAAAACCTGCACATGAAGGTTTATGGCAGTTTTATTCATAAATGCCACAACTTGGAAGCAACCAAGATAGCCTTCAGTAGGAGAGTGGATGAATAAACCATGGTACTTCCAGACAATAAAATGTTATTCAGCACTAAAAAGAAATGACCTATCAAGCCATGAAAAGATCTGGAGTAAACTTAAACGCATATTATTAAGTGAAAGAAGCCAATCTGAAAAGGCTACACACTGTATGATTCCAACTATATAACATTGTAGAAAAGACAAAATTATGAAGACAATAAAATGATCAGTGGTTGCCAGGGGTCAGAAGTAGGGGAGAGGGAGGGGTGAACCGGCAGAACACAGAAAATTTTTAGGGAAGTGAAACTACTCTGTATGATACTATAATGGTGAAACATGTCATTACATATTTGTCCAAACCCATAGAATATACTGATACAGGATAGGTGAGCTTCAAATTGGGGCTTAGCCTACAAGGGTTCTTGGCTTTGCCTGGGAAAGAATTCAAGGGCAAGCTGGTGATAGGGTAGAAAAAAAAACGGCTTTATTGAAGCAGCAGTGTTACAGCTCTGGCAGTGTTACAGCTCTGTGGCTGCTCCTACAAAGCAGGGATATTCCATAGGCAGCTGCTACTGAGAGTAGCAGCTCGGGGCAGCTATGCAGTCATATTTATACTTACTTTTTAATTACATGTAGATTGAGAAATGGTTTATGCAGAAATTTCTGGGAAAAGGGTAATAACGTTTGGGTTGTCAGGTCATTGCCATGGAAAAGGGCAGTAACTCCCAGATGTTGCCATGGCAATGGTAAACTAATATGGCATACCAGTGAGCATGTCTTATGGAAAGCTGCTTTTGCCCAGTCTCTGTTTTAGCTAGTCCCCAATTTGGTCCAGTGTCCAATCCTCACCTCTGGAGTAAAGACCCAACTCCTAACTCGGTACAACACCAAGAATAAACCCTAATGTAAACTAAAAACTTTATGTGATAAAAATGTATCAATATGGGTCCTTCAGTTGTAGCAAATATACCACTCTGGTGGGGGCTGTCGGTAATGGGGGAAGCTGTGCATGTCAGTGGGGGCAGGGGGCATATGGGAAATGTCTGTACCCTCTGTTCAATTTTGCTATGAACCTAAAACTGCTCTAAAAAATAAAGCCTATTTTTTAAAAAGAGGCAGCGGGTGTGATGAAAGTGGATGTGGCTAGAAAAGAGCAACTGAGAGATTTATTTCCTTGTAGTGATTGACTGTACCATTGTCCATATCCTGGTTGTAATAGTGTACTGTATTTTTATAAGATGTACCTATTGGGGGAAACTCGGTAAAATGTACACAAGGGCCCTCTGTATTATTTCTTACAACAGTATATGAATCTAAAATTATGTCAAAATGAAAATTTTAACTTAGAAAATGGACTACTAATACTATTAATACTCTTAACAACATGAGTGAATCTCTAAATGATCATGGTGAGTGAAAGAAGCCTAGCACAAAAGAATACATATTGTAAGATACCAATTGCTGCTGCATTTCTACACATGATACTATTGTTAGAGCAGAATGATACTGTACCTAACACCTGGCATGCATTATTAATCCAACATATACTTTCAATCAAAACAAACAAAAGCAGAATCAGTTTGTTTTTGCATAGACATGCAATGTCTGCATATATATGCATGGTTTAAGTTTCTCACAGGGTAAGGCAAGTCTGCTTTCTTTCATAGTATGTTCTGGAGAGAATTTATTGTCTTGATATTATGCAGTGAATGAGAAAAAAAATGACTTTTTCTCACTAAACCTGATTTTGTTATTCTCTAATTCTGAGGTTACCAACAGAAGATATCAAATCTAAGCCCAGAGCAGAGGCAAACTTCCCCTGGATGGGGTCTACAAAACATTAGGTGGCAAGTAGATTACATTGGACCTCTTCCAACATGATCAAGATGAAGCAATTTATTCTCCAAAAAAAAAAAAGGTACATTTTAAAGATATAACTTTTCTTCTTCCACAGTTCTTCTGCTAGCATCATTTGTTGACTTAGAAAGTGACTCATTCCTTTAGTAGTCCACAGTGTCTATTATTCTCATATTGTGTCCATGTGTGCTCAGTGTTTAGCTCCCACTTAACACTGAGGTACGTGGGGGCTGGACATTGAGCACATACGGACATAATATGCTAAACTCAAGCTAAACTTGAGGTATTTGGTTTTCTGTTCCTGTGTTAATTCACTTAAGATTATGGCCACTAGCTACATCCATGCTGCTGCAAAGTTTATGTGTGGGAGGCTGGTGGGGAGGATGAGTTAGAAAACTACCTATCAGGTGCTATGCTCACTACCTGGGTGACAAGATCCATACTCCAAACCTCGGAATCATTTAACATTCCCATATAACAAACCTGCACATGTACTCCTTGTTTCGAAAATAAAAATGAAAATAAAAACAAAATTAAAAAAATAAATACCTGAAAAAAAAAAAAGAATACATACTGGATGATTCCATTTTCATAAAATGCAACTTGTTTTAGTTTAAGTTTCAGAAAATACAAACCATTTATAGTGACAAAAGAAAAAAAAAAGACAGTGGTTGTGTGGGCCCAGAGGTAAGGTGGGATGGAATGCAAAGAGGCAAAAAAAATGATGCAAGTGGCTTTTGTCTTGATCGTGATGCTGGTTTTATAAGTGCAAATAACTGACGAAACTCATTGAATTGTATGCTTTAAATAGATGTGGTTTATCTCACAGAAATTATTTCTCAACAAAGTTGATAAGCAAAATAAGTAACTTCACGGTCCTGAAACCAAGGTCTGCAGGTAATGACATTATATAAATGTAAAGCCCTCAGCCCAGCCAGGGAGGACTTGTTACGGCACACCAGTGTTTTAAGAGCAAAGGTACTAATTAATCAACAAATTTTTTTATTTCAATTTTTATTTTTAGTTCTGGGGTGCACATGCAGGACGTGCAGGTTTGTTACATAGTTAGACATGTGCCATGGTGGTTTGCTGTACCTATCAACCCATCAACTAGGTATTAAGACCAGCATGCGTTAGTTATTTTTCCTAATGCTCTCCCTCCCCACAATAGGCCCCAGTATGTGTTTTGTTCCCCTCCCTGTGTCTATGTATTCTCATCGTTCAGCTCCCACTTATAAGTGAGAACATGCAGTGTTTGGTTTTCTGTTCCTATATTAGTTTGCTGAGGATAATGGCTTCTAGCTTCATCCATGTCCATGCAAAGGACATGATCTCATTCGTTTTTATGGCTACATAGTATTCCATGGTATATATGTACCATATATTCTTTATCCAGTCTATCATTGATGGGCATTTGGGTTGGTTCCATGTCTTTGCTATTGTGAATAGTGCTGCAGTGAATATATGTGTGCACATATCTTTGTAATAGAATGATTTCTATTCTTTATATACTGTATTACCCAGTAATGGGATTGCTGGGTCAAATAGTACTTCTGGTTCTAGATCTTTGAGGAATCGCCACACTGTCTTCCACAATGATTGAACTAATTTACATTCCCACCGACAGTGTAAAAGCGTTCCTATTTCTCTGTGACAAACATTTAAAAATTCCCTTTACATACGAAAAACACACATGGACCTCTATACAGTAACCAATACAGCACAGTCCTTGAAGACATGGAAATCATCATCTGATTAGAGAGATGTAGCACACTTGAGGAATGGAGACTCTGCCAGGCAGGGAACAACTGTGAGCCCAAAACAACTCAGGGAGGAGAGAGAAGCAGGAGCAGGAGCCCAGAGGCAAGCCCAGTGAGGACAGAAGTGAGCTAGAGGTGGTTGCCTTTGCAGAGGTAGAAAAGGAAAAAGTGAAGAATCCTCCTTCCCATTAATGTGAGTATCACCACATGTGCTATCCTCACCTATACCTAAAACATCAGTCATGTTTGCTTCCTCCTTCAGCCCCTACCCAGTCATATAGGGACTCCTCGCAGATCGCCTCATTCTAATGTCTCTGGCACCTCTCTCATTCTTTCTCTTCTCACTGCCACTTCCCCAGGTCATAGCCTTATTGTGTGCCTGAACCATGGCAGAGCCTCCTACCCTGTCTCCTTAGCACTAGGTCCTCACATTTCTGTGCATAATAACTGTTTTAGGTTGGGCTTCCTAGAAGCAGAACCTAAGATGGGGCTTCTTGTTCAAGTGATTTACTGGGGAATGCCCTCAAAGAAGGGAGATAAGGAAAGAAGGGGTTGGGGGGAGAGGAAAAAAACTAAGCCAAAGTGTGGTCTGAGTTTGATCCCTCAGATAAGTTCAATGGCACTAATTGTACCAAAGCTGGTCCCGCTTTGAGACCAGGTAAATTACCTCCCTGTGACTATCAGCCATTGACTGGGTGGTGGGTTGGGGGTGAGACATGGCATTTAACAGGCAGGGCAGCTCAATCTGTCCAATTACATTTAAAAAAAAAAAAGGGTCGGGGGGCCAGGTGTGGTGGCTCATGCCTGTAATCCCAGCACTTTGGGAGGCCAAGGCGGGAGGATCACGAGGTCAGGAGATCGAGACCATCCTGGCTAACACGGTGAAACCCCGTCTCTACCAAAAATACACACACAAAAAAATTAACCGGGCACAGTGGCGGGCACCTGTAGTCCGAGCTACTTGGGAGGCTGAGGCAGGAGAATGGCGTGAACCCGGGAGGCGGAGCATGCAGTGAGCCGAGATAGTGCCACTGCACTCCGCCTGGGCGACAGAGTGAGACTCTATCTCAAAAAAAAAAAAAAAAAAAGGAGGGGGCGGCGGACACCTCTGAGCTATTTGCAGCAAAACTTCACAGCAGCTGGGAGATGGGGACACCAACATAAAAAAGGGATTTGGGAAGGGCATCAACAACATCTGCTACAGTGGCCTTCCCAACAAACATATCTGATTGCATCACATCTTTGATTAAAACTGTCAGATGATTCCAACTGCACTGAGCTGAGGTAGGAGGTGCATAGACCAAATTTTCTCCATCTAAATGTAAGACCACCACGACAATCAGATCCAAGTCAAATCAGCCTTCCTAATGTCTCTCTGCCCCTCCCACTTACTCTTCCTCTCCTTCTCATCCACAGGGATGAAGTAGGCTATTGAGTAGAAGCAATCACCCGGATAATTCCCTTTCCTAATTCATTTATTTTAGAGTGTTAGAGGTGGCATGCTCTAGATTGCCTGTTATGGGTTGATCAAACAAAGCTGACAAGAGCATCCCCTCCTCTGTCACTTTGGCTCTGAAGATGCTGTCACCGAGGCCCTGTTTTCTTGCCTCCAGCTCTGAGGGGCTTAGAGAAGGTGACCTAGCATGTGGGTAGACTGTCAGGCTGCCAAGCGTGACATCCCAGCCCAATGCTCTTTTATCCCACATGTTTAATTGGGCTTCTTCATGATCACAGTCTTCTTAGGAGGGCAAGAGTGAATGCAGTCTGTGGAAATTAGAAGGTGCTGTCAGCTCTGTCTCTGGGGGTTTCAGGACCATGTCAACATGCTAATCTCAGACAAAGACACAGCCTTACATGGGGATGTCAGACTAGAAGCAGAGACAAGTGTCAGCGAAGCAGAGCTACCATAAAGATGACAGCATGCTACACACAAAAGTGTCTGTGCCCTGTGTCAGGATGAAAGACCTATCCCCAGGAAGTGACAGAGTCCACTGGGAGGGTGGAAGAGAAAGGGGCTTCTTTGTGCAGCTTCAGGATAGAGAGAAGGAAGGCTAGGAGGGGCCACAGAGGGCAGACTGCACCTGGTGATATATTCATAGGGTGGAAGACACCAGAGCCAAACAGGTAGGATGGCTAGCAGAAAGAAATGCCAGGAGCCATGAGGTGGTGCCAGGTGGGAAGGGGCTTTGAAGGAAAGGCAAGAGTCTTTGATGGCATCCAGAATCTTTGAAGGGGGAGATATTTACCACTGCTCTTTTTCCATCACCTAGCACAGTACCTAGTATCCAGAAGACAGTGTAAATGAATAAATTCATAGAAAGTGCTGGAAATACAGATAAAGGCGTGGCTGCCATAAGTTATCCTGCTGATAGCCAACCCCACTTATTACACCACTTGCAGGAGAAAATTCTGCTCCAAACAAGGCAGAATCAGGCTGTCACTCCTCTAAACCATCAGGCCTGTTCTGAGTCAGAGCCTAGGCCAGCTGCTGGGGGTCCTGTAGGCTGACTCCTACCTCCCTTAATGAGGTGTGATTGCTAAAGGGAAGCAGCTAATTGCATAATGTTTTATTAATCCTTTCTCCATAAAATATTAATTGTGAGCCTTCACAAATACAAAGATCTGTCTGCTTTTTAATGGCGTGGGTTGTGGTCTCTCCAGATAAATAGTTGAAGGTTTTCTGTTGAGGGACCAAGATGACAAGCATGATAGCAGATCCTGTGAAAGAAAGAGCAGCTGACAGCCCAAAATACACCAGCACGTCAAAAATGCCTCCCTTAGTTAGCTGCTCTGCCCAGAAGCCAAGAATATAAACATCAAATGTTTTATTTTATCCAACTATACCTGTGATTCTCAAACTTTAATGTACTTATGAATCCCTAGGGGATTCTGTTCAAATGCAGATGCTGACTCAGCAGGTCTGGGCTGAGGGCAGAGATTCTGCTTTTCTGACAAGCCAAGGCTGCTGGTTTGCAGACCGCACTTGCAGTAGCAAGAAAGGCTCCTTTGTGGGATCTCCTGTTCTCCCTTGTGGCTCTGTAAACATGGTCTTTGTCCTATTCCATAACTTTCTAACACTGTCAGGTTCTACTCATTCAGGAAGTCAAAGCTTGTTCCTGTTCATTGTTGAAAAAACTTCATTCAAATTTTTGGAACAATTCTTTTTCTCCAGTGTAGGCTAGAGCTGCCTTTTAGATTAAGGAGGGAGGATGTAGTCTTGTCCTGAGATACAACCCTATCTAAAGTGCATCTCATCAGGGGTTTGGGGACAGGGAAGATAAAAACAATAGAAATAACACACTTTCTAGGATCAGCCTTTCTCAAATTGATAAAGGGAAAAAAAGTGGGTCTTAGGGAATGTTGAACTTGTCTAGGAGCCTTCCTGATGCCCAGTGCTTTCATCCTGTTCCTCCAGCAGAGGCTGTCCTGCATCAAACCCCCACAGAGCCACCAGGTGGTCACAAGGCTGTATTCTGCACAACTCTGGAGTACCATGGTCTGAATCAACATAGCAGCCCTGCTTCACCCTCCTGGAAGCCTGTGCTCTCCTAACACTCACCCTTGTAAAAACCAAAGAGCAAAATTAGTAACAGAATAAGAGCACTAAACCGTATTTCTCAGCTCAGGTTTTGCTCCCATAAAAAACAGCAGGCCCTTCAGCCTCCCTTCACAGCACCCACCAACGGTGTCTCACACATGTGCATGAATAGTGTTCTCGGCCACCAGAGTCAGTCGTGTTGTTCCTCTCTGTTCCTGTTCCCCATAGTGCTCCCTGTAAACACAGAACACAGCAGTTCCCCATGTTCAGTGGAACTGCATTGGAGGTTTTCACTGACACTGTAACCTGGGCACAGCCTGCCAGGAAGAGGGCAAAGGACAATCAAGATTGCAGATCCTGGGGTATTCCTCAATCACCTCAACCAGAAATTTCTTCTCAAAAGATGCATTGCTTATATCTCTATGTACCTACACAGTTGACCCGTGAACAACATCGGTTTGAACTGCATGGGCACACTTATACCCAAAATTTTTTCAATAAAAGTTACATTTGCGGGCCTGCCTCTCCTGCCTCCCCTTCCACTTCCTCCACCTCTTCCCTGTCTGCCACCACTGAGGCAGCAAGACTAAACCCTCCCGCTACCCTTTCTCCTCCATCTACTCAGCAAGAAGACAACACGGATAACAACCTTTATGATGAGCTACTTCCACTTAAAGAATAGTAAATATTCTTCTTTATGATTTTCTTAATAACATTTTATTCTCTCAAAATTATTTTATTGTAAGAATACATGTAATACAGTATATAATACATAACATACAAAATATGTGTTAATTGACTTTTTAGTTTTTTGCCATTGTGTTTTTGTTTTTGTTTTTGTTTTGAGACAGAGTCTCACTTTGTAACCCAGACTTGATCACAGTGGCATGATCTTGGCTCACTGCAACCTCCACCTCCCAGGTTCAAGCAGTTCTTCTGCTTCAACCTCCCAAGTAGCTAGGACTACAGGTGCACACCACCACTCCCAGCTAATTTTTGTATTTTTAGTAGAGACAGGGTTTCACCATGTTGGCCAGGCTGATCTTGGACTCCTAAGCTCAAGTGATCTACCCACCTTGGCCTCCCAAAGTGCTGGGATTACAGGCATGAGCCACCATGCCCAGCTGTTAATTGACTGTTGATGTTATCAGTAAGGCTTCTGGTCAACAGTAAGCTACTAGTAGTTAAGCTTTGGGGGAGTCAAAACTTATACACAGATTTTCAACTGTGCAGGGTATTGGTACCCCTAATCCCCACATAGTTCAAGGGTCAACTGTATACGTATGCCCACACAGACGTATATACATATATATTTGATTAATGTTCTTCTCCCCCACTAGATGGTAAACTCTAAAGGAGTGAGATTATTTTTCTTTGGTTCATTATTGTTATTCAGCACCAAGCACATTGCCTGACACACGGTAGGGTTTAACCAATTCTTGAGTGAATAAACAGATAAGTGAATTTGTTGACTAAGTAACTTTCCACATTCAGCAAGTCTCATCCACTCTGAACCTCCATTTCCTTATGTGGAAAGAGATCAGAGTTTCTATTTCAGATGGTTGCCAGGAAGCTAACCTCTGTCTATAAATGTGCCTAACATGGGACTTTGTACCGAGCAGACTTTCAAAAAATATTTGTTTTCCTGTTGTCTATATAATGATGGTAAAGTGAAATTAATTGCAAATCTTACATAGTGTTTATTAAATGCCAACTAGGACCTAAACAAGCACTTTTTTCTCTTAGTCTGCACAATTCAGCAAATGTCACCTCCTCTGTGATGCCTTCCCCAGCCAGAGCCCCATTCTCAGGCACCATTATTTTTACATCCTCAATGCTACCTGGGAGCTTGATGAACACCTCTGCTAGAGCACTTATCACATCCTCCTATACCCAGATCTTTATGACTGTGACCTCCCTGAGGACAGGGCCTTATCCTTTGTACCTCTGCAGGCCCGATAACTTGAGCAAATGAATGAATGACTAGATGAATAAAGAGTCCCATGTCTCTTCTCTGCTCTCTTTTCCACTAACTTTTCAGGCTGAGAAACATGCTTACTCATTTTGAGCAAGGGCTTTGATATCCTACAGTCCTGAACTTGAACCTAGGACCAAATCATTACTATTTAATGACTTTAGACAGTTTCTTAACCACTCTACACCACCACTTTCTTGTATGTAATGTGGGATGAATAACACCTCTCAGAGAGGTTTGGGAAATTCAGTTTGATAATGAGTAAGTGGTGAAAACCATGTTGGTCACTTATTAAAAACTCCATCATATGTAAAAACAGTATTATTTTTACCTCAAATACCAATGTATACTAAGATGTGAATGGTAAGGGAGTTGTCATTTTGCTTTCACTCCCAGAGTATTTATAAAATTCACCTGAGATATCCTGATGTGTTTATCCTGAATTAAATGTTTCCTTAGTCTTTACAAATAAATCAAGAATAGTGAAATTAAAGATACTTAAAGTATTTTGGAACCGTGGCCTTGGTGAAACATCCATGAATATCACTAACACTTTTTATGCTGGCAATAGTGTTAATGTACTCATCAACAAGTGTTGTCAAAGCCCATACTTCACCAGTAAAGAAGGAGTTGAGGGGGGTGAGGGATGGATACAAAGATTCAGGCAATGTGATTCTGGCCTTCAAGGAGGTTTAAGGGAAGATAGAAGACCAACACCAATAGATTCATTTCACATCTCAGGCATACTAACCCAGCCATTCACCCAGCCGCTTCCTCTTCTGAGCTCCCATAGTGCTAGTGTATATATCAATTACATCATATGTTTAAAATTAATTTTAAAATTTTATTAGCCAGCCTGGCACGGTGGCTCATGCCTGTAATCCCAGCACTTTGGGAGGCTGAGACAGGCAGATCACCTGAGGTCAGGAGTTTGAGACCAGCCTGACCAACATGGTAAAACCCCCCATCTCTACTAAAAATACAAAAATTAGCCCGGTGTGGTGGTGTGCCCCTAGTCCCAGCTACTCGGGAGGTTGAGGCAGGAGAATTGCTTGAACCCAGGAGGCAGAGGTTGCAGTGAGCCAAGATCATGCCATTGCACTCCAGCCTGGGCAACAACAGCGAAACTCCATCTCAAAAAAAGAGAAAACTGTATTAGCCTACACTTATCGTAGCACTTACCAGCTGCCAACCACTATTCTAAGCCCTTCAAATGTTTTAACTCTTTAACCTTCTCACCAACCCCTCTGAAATAAATATTATTAATATACTTCATTTTACAGATGGGGAAACTGCAGCACAGAGAGATTAAGTAGCTTCCCAAGACCACACAGCTAGCAAATAATATCGCCAGGATGCATGTGCTCACCACTGTACCATCCTGCCTTTGCCTACACAGCTGCCACTTCTGATAAATGTTGATGACAATGATGATGATGATATTAATAACACATGACAAACTCCTCATAGGCAACAAGTCTTAATGAAGACTTTTAGATGTTCTCAGCATTGAAAAGATAATGATGTCTCCATCTCTAGCCATCATTAAAATTAAAAATTACAGTACTTAATGAAAATATATCACAAAAATTTCATGTATACTGAAATTAAAATAGCTTTTCTCCAGATGTTATGATTGCAAAATTCTGGAGGACTTTATCCAAGCTGAATATTTTGCAACATTTTTTCCATGCTACTACCTGGCTAAGGACCTAAATACTTGTTTTGTCTAAGATGCCTCTCAACCCTGGGGACAGGAGTCCACTTTTTAGGGCCCAATAAAGGGCCTCACATGTTCCTTCTCTACAAAGATTTGTTGAATGAATGCTTAACTATTTCTTTCTCTATTTGGCTTACCAGATAAAATTCAGACTTCCTAATTAAATTAGACATTCAAATAAACAATGAATAATGTTTTAGTATGTGTCCTGTGTAATATTTAACTGGGTATCCTGTATTTTTATTAGCTAAATCTGGCAATCCTACCCTCTAAATATAAGAGGAATTCAGAGAAGGGAGAGAAAGTGTGGCTTGTAATAGAAAAAGAGGCTGTCATGGAAGACAGAGAAATTGAACCAACTCAAGAAGGGAACATAAAATACATGCTAATGCGCCCCCAGTTGCACAATTGCAGCAGATGAATGCCTAGCAGATGGCGGGCATTCATAGCAGGAAAGCCAGCATGAGTAAAGGCCTAGAGGCTGAAGTGAGGTGGCAGAGTAGAAGACAGTGAGAAGGACAGCTGCCCAGACGCATATAATCCAATATTTCCAAACATCTTCCAGTTCCACAATGGCCATGCCCCTCCATGCTCTCATGACCATTGAGCCTTTCTGCATGCAGGTCCCTCTGCCTGGAACTCCTTCCCCTCCTCTCTGTCTGGCTACCTCCTAGTGCACTAGAGTTCTGGTATGTCAGCTGACTCACCTCCACACCAAATCCTTATGTGTTGATCTTAACAAACCTTTAAATGCTTGTGTGTCTTTCCTATAACCTTCTAGCATGTCTCCACTGATAGTTAAAGGAAGTTGAAGATGAATTTGTGATAAATACATTTGGCCATCCTTTGGGGTTCTGCCCCCACCATGGGAAATACCCTAACTCCATGTCTGCCTTGTAGAGCTGTGGTCAGAAGTCATCTACTGGCAGGATATCTCTGTCCTCCAGACATGAAACAGGGCAATGGGCTTCAGTACCATCCTGGGAATTCTTCAAAAATGTCTCCTCCCATGTGGGTTTAATAAGCCCAAGATCTGATTCACCCTGGTAAATGCTATCCTGAAGCATTCTGACTGAGCTATTTTTAAATTCATGCCCACTTCCCTCAAGAGGCCCTTCGTACTACCCCACAGTCATGCCTTCCCTCCAAGCTGGTCTCTCTCAATCTCCTAGACCACCTCATCCCTTCTCTCCACCCACAACTTTATCACCTCCTCCCCATCCCCATGCTCAGATGAGGACCCAGCTGCTCACTTCACTGAGAAACGTAAAGCCATCAGAGGAGAACTCCTGCACTGCACACCCCAAAGCCACCCACCCACCTGCCCTCCTGTTGCAGGAATGAGCTATTCCTACTCCTGTCCACTGGCTGTGGGATTTCATGCCTCTCACCTGCTAAGGCCATCATCCCTGCAGTTGTCACTCCCACTGGCACCATTGCTTTCCCTCTCTACTAAATGATGCCCATAAACATGTTGCTTTTCTCTCATCTGGGAAATGTCCTCCCTTGACCCCACTTTCCCTACCAACTATAGGCTCATCTCTCTGCCCCTCTTTGTGGCACAACTCCATGGAAGAGGTGACTCCATAGCCATTCTCCACTTCCCTCCTCTCATCCTCTCTGGGCCCATCCTATCAGCCTTTGGACCCATCACTCCATCAAACCTACTGCGACAGGGTTATCAGTGACCTCTGGTCTTTGCACCATTGACCTCTCAGCAGCATTTGACAGAGGTGGTCATTTCCTCCTCTTTGAAATGCTTGCTTGGCTTCCAGGGCAGCACACACTGCTTATTTTTTCTACCTCTCTGGCTGCACCCTCCCAACCTCCTTTGCAGGATCCTTCTCATCTCCCCAACTTCTAAGCAAGGAGGCCCCCCAGCTTCATCCCTCAGCCCTTATCTATTCTATCTTTAGAGTCCCCCACTTGCTGATCAATCTGTCTCACGGCTTTAAATAACAACTCCCAAACACTCCCTTGAAATCCAGGCTTGTATGATGATCTGCCTACGTGAAATCTCCACTTGAATGATAGCCAGGCATAACAAACTTAACATATTTTTGCTCCCCAAAACCTGTTCTTTTTGAAGCTTTTCCCATCTCAATTAATGACAAATCTGTTTTATCAGTGACTTAGAACAAAATCCTTTCAGTGATCATTGACCCCTTTCTTCTCTCACACCCGCATCCAAGTCATCAGCAAACCTATCCATTCTATCTTGTATGTATATCCAGAATCCTGCCACTTCCCATGCTTCCACCATAGCAAGCCACCACCATCTCTTGCCTGAACCATTGCAATAGCCTCCTTATTGACCTCCTTCATTATTGATCTTGCCCCTCTACTGTCATATCTCGACACAGCAGCTCTTAAATGTAAACCTTGCCATGGGGACAGAAACTCCACAACTTTATCCACTTCTGCTCTCCTCCTTGAGCTCTCATCACCTGGCCTTTCTGCAGTTCCTTGAACACACCTAGCACACTTCTTCCAAGAAACCTTTGCTCTAGTTGTGCTCTTTGCCTAGAGTGCTGCTCCCCTCCCCAGAAAGCCACATCGCACTCTTTTCATCAGTTCTTGCTCAAATATCACCTCAGCAGAGAAACCCAGACCACCCTATTTAAAATAGTGTATACCCACACACACATACAAGAACACATATTCTATCACTTTACTCTGCTATTTTTTCCATAGCACCTAACATATTATCTATTTTTGTTTATTTATTTGTTCTCTGCCCATCCCTACTAGAATGCAAGCTCCATGACAGCAAGTGCTTTGCCTATTTGGCTTACAGCTGAATCCACACAGCGCAGAACACTGTTTGGATACTAGAACTTCCCAAGAAATATTTACTGATTGAACAAATATATTAATTTCTTGTGTATGCTGGTGGTGGCAGCCAAAGTCAGCCAAGAACCTTAAAGTGCCTGGCAGCTTCCCAGAGCAAACAGAGGTACCCTCAACAGGCTTGGGAAGGATAAAGAACATCTCCACTCATACTTCTGGTCTCAGTTTGTATGTCATTTCTTTTCTGATGCCCTCCTCCCCTCAATAATTTAAAGAAACCTCTCTGTTAGAAATAGAGGATGCTATGCTCATATTTATTGTAATTTCTTCTTAATTGTCCTCCTTATAAGGCTGTATATTTTCTGAGGATGCATATGGAATTCTCAATAAATACCTGTCGAATGAATAAATGAATGAAGTTGAGTGAGCCGTGCATGGCATGAAGCTGTAACTAGGGGGGCTGAGCTTGGCGTCAAGGAAGAGGATAAATTAAAAGGAGAAGGAAGGGGTCATAAGTTTATAATATTATTTTATAATAAGGAAGGAGGAAGAGGAAAGGGAGGAGGAAGCTTGGTTTTATCTCCCTGCCAAATCTTGGCAAACTAACTTTGGCCCTAGAAGTATCTGCACACACAACCTAGCTGGCACAATGTAGTCAAATGACTTTATTGGTGTAGCCTATAGGACCTGCCTGTCCAGCTTTATTGCGTTATTCACTTTTCACCTTCCTTGTGATGAGTTCCTATGGGAATTCTCTTCCTCTAGGCAAGGTGTCCCCAGAGGGGAATGAAATTGATATCAGATGGAGCCTGGAAGGGTGAAAAAGTACACAGCAAGAGGCTCTTGCCTGTTCTGTGGTTCTGCTAGCTACTTCCAAGCCTCTTTTCTTGTATTTATTCACTGCTTATCTAACCTCATTTTTCTCATGCAATATATACCCTACATTGGGAAATGTACCCTGTCCCACCTCTCTAAAGCCTTTCCACCAATAAGGCTCAACACAGGCCCGACTTCTATAGGGACTTTACTCCAGCCAGTACATATCTTTTCTTTCTCTAACCTTGTTGGCATTTATTTTAAAATACATTCTATGAATAATTTCTTAGTATATTCTATTGGTATGCATATAGTAAATGCTAGATAAACAATAGCTATTAGCATCAAAATCATGCTGTTAGTATTCTAACAAACAGTAGGCTCATCAAGAGTAGGAATCATAAGTTTTCTTCCTTTCATACACCCCAGAGAACTTACCCCAGGGCTGTGCAGATACTAAGTGTCCAGAAAACACTTCTCCAAATATGTACTGTCTATAAAAGTTATTGTTGTAGAGTGAAACCAAGGAGCCATAGAAATGGTTTCCCTGTTGTAACAGCTATCTCAAAGATGTCTTTAAAATGCTGTCCGTTGCCCTGGCCCTATCTGAGGAGCACATACTTTATTCCAGGAGAGATGCTGTAATGGATGGAAGGTATGTTTCTGCTGAGTTAAGGGTTATAATGTTCCCTGCATCGAGGCACCAGATTGATGGGATATGCCTCTATGATTTATAATACATTAATCTCACTGGAGAGTGAAGCACAATTAATCTTAGAATCTTGCAGCTTGCACTTAACAACTTTAGAACCTTCCCTACGTACTCAGCCTGCATAGCAAATGTCTGTGCCTCCCCCAGACACTAGGACAACTGGGCATTGAGAACACAAAAACACCCTTCTCTGCAGTAGAATGCTGTGGCAAATGTCTTCTTTACACTTTCTACAATATTTACGATAAAACAAATTATATAGTAGGAACATTTTATAGTCACAATGTTACAAGTCCAATAATATCATTAAGCACATATAAAATCAAAACTAAATACACATTTGATGTCTCAGAAATGTAAGTAATCAGCTTCCTTTCCTAATCAGAGTGCTGCTGAGATCCAAGAAGCAGCAGATTCCCAAGCAACTGAAACAGATATTACAAGGTCTGAGCACTGATTATCATCCTAATTGTGGGAGAGTCCCTCATGTTATGCCCAAAGTATATTTGCTTTTACTTTGTATATAATTCCAGCAATCTTTGTTGTCTAAATTCTGAGACTTCACTAAATTCAAAGGACTACAACAAGCAAACACATTAATAGCTATAATAAAGGGTGACTAAAGAAAACCTACTCAAAAAAAAGAGAGAAATAAAAAACTATGTATGACCAAAAAAGTGATGCTTTAGAGCCTCTTCATATGAAAGTCAACACCCTCCGCTCCATAAATGGAATAACCATATTTTAGTACAATACAGTCATAATAATCCCTATTCTCCAACTCCAACCATCCACACACGGTTTGTTCTTTTTTTTTTTTTTTTTTTTTGAGATGGAATCTTACTCTGTCACCCAGGCTGAAGTGCAGTGGTGCAATCTCGACTCACTGCAACCTCCGCCTCCTAGATTCAAGCAATTCTCCCGCCTCAGCCTCCCGAGTAGCTGGGACTACAGTCACGTGCCACCACACCTGGCTAATTTTTTGTATTTTTAGTAGAGATGGGGTTTCACCATGTTAGCCAGGATGTTCTTGATCTCCTGACCTCATGATCCGCCCTCCTCAGCCTCCCAAAGTGATTGAGCCACCATGCCCGGCTGGTTCATTCTTTAAGCACCAAGAAAGCAAGAAGTATGTTAATATTTAGGATTTTCTTCTAAAGTGGTTCAAATGGAAAGGTCTGGTGCTTAAAGTTTTAACTCAGAGCTAGCTAAAATAATTCTTTAACTTTCTGCATAGCCAAAGTCAGGTGCGGTTTGTTTGTTTTTGTAATCTGTAATCTATTTTACTATTAAGTGGGGTAAGAACTCTTCTAAGGACTCTCAAACCTTCACTGTTTCACAACAGTAAAAACCCAATATGATAGATAACCTTAAAATCATCTTAGGGGCTTCTGGTATGTACATGGCTGCACATATCAGCTTATTTATCCATTTTCTCTATAAAAAACACATAAAAGGAGTAAGAAGAAATGAAAAAGAATCCAGAAACTGCATTTTCAGTGAAACAAGAAGAAAAATATAGTCTGCAGCCTCCAAAATATGCTTAAGAGTTGATTAAAAAAAAAAAAAAAGCAACTGAAATCAGACAGAAACCACATAGGAAGAAAAAGAAAGGAAGTAAGACTGAGTTGCAAGAGAACTTAGTGATGGCAGAGCTGAAAAGCCGGGTTGGGCAGGGAACTCCTGAAGGCAAGTGGCTCACCCTGAAGTGCATAAATGACATATCCTATTTGCAACAAAGTGCAGGAGCTGAAGGAAACAATTCACAGGTGAAGCCCCTGAAGTTCAGAAAAACAGAGGAGGAAGAGCAACACAAAGAATGATACAGATGGGCCGGGTGCGGTGGCTCACACCAGTAATCCCAACACTTTGGGAGACCGAGGCAGGCGGATCAAGAGGTCAGGAGATCCAGACCATCCTGGCTAACACGGTGAAACCCCATCTCTACTAAAAATACAAAAAATTAGCCGGGCGTGGTGGCTGGCGCCTGTAGTCCTAGCTACTCAGGAGGGTGAGGCAGGAGAACGGTGTGAACCCAGGAGGCGGAGGTTGCAGTGAGCCGAGATCATGCCACTGCACGCACTCCAACCTGGGCGACAGAGTGATACTCCGTCTCAAAAAAAAAAAAAAAAAAAAAAGAATGATACAGATGAACCGTATTTCCAGCAACTAGTGTTTTTCATAAACAGCAGAGGAACAGAATGCTTTGAGTTGAGATGCACTCCATCAGAGACCATATTTAAATAGCTGGAACTAAAAACTTTAAGTTAATAATAAGTGATTTTTTTAGTGAACTAACATAGCATATATACAAAGTAACTATTAGTTGAAAATTCAAAAAGAGTTACAAAATTTACCAAAATACGAACAACATTCATCCAAAAAAAAATGCTGCTGAAAGCAAAAAAAAAAAAAAATTACACATTAACATTTCACCATGAATTTTTAAATGCCAGAATTCAGGGAATTTGTAGCAAGAAAATAGGAGGAAATGAACTATGAGCCAGCAGAACTCTAGCAAAAAGTAGAAAACCATCAGAGAAATAAAGACAAAATTGGAAAGTATATAAGGTAGACTAAACATTGTAGAAAGACAGTAATATTGAGGACAGATAAAGAAATACAATCAAAAGGAACTGAAATAAAGATAGAATTAAAGTGAATTAGAGAGAAAATGACAGCTACAATAGCAAAGGAGATCAAACATACTTATAATTAGAGAAGAAAACAGAAACCATTTTTTTTTCTTTTTGTTTTGTTTGTTTTGAGACAGGCTCCCTCTGTCACCCAAGCTGGAGTCCAGTGGCATGAGCTCACCTCACTGCAACCTCCACTTCTCGGGCTCAAGCAATTCTCCCACCTCAGCTGAGTAGCTGGGGCTATAGGCACGTGCCACAACATCCGGCTAATTTTTGTATTTTTTGATAGAGACAGGGTTTTGCCATGTTGCCCAGGCTGTTCTCAAACTCCTGGGCTCAACTGATCTGCCCTCCTTGACCTCCCAAAGTGCTGGGATTATAGGCGTGAGTCACCATGTCTAGTCAGCTCTACATATTAAAAGGGCACAACATGGGCCAGAGAAAATTGAGTCAGAATAGTCAACGAGACACATCCTGTGAAGCTGGAGACAAACAAAGAGAGAGAAAGCACAGGGAAGAGACAGAGTGAGTGTGCAAGGGATGAAAGAAGGGAGGGAGAGAAAGAATTCTCTCTGGGAATGGAAACCAGTGCAGTGGTGGCACATGCCTGTAAACCCAGCTAATTAGATGGATGAGGTGGGAGGATTGCCTGAGCCCAGGAGTTTGAGGCTCACGTGAACTGTGATGGTACCACTGCACTCCAGCCTGGGCAACAGAGCAAGACCCTGTCTCAGGAAAAGAAAGAAAGAGAGAGATAGAGAGAAAGAGAAAGAGAGAGAGAGAGAAAGAGAAAGAGAGAGAGAGAGAGAAAGAGAGAGGGAAAGGGAAAGGGAAAGGGAAGGAAAGGAAAGGAAAGAAGGAAGGAAGGAAGGAAGGAAGGAAGGAAGGAAGGAAGGAAGGAAGGAAGGAAGGAAAGAGTTTTCTCTGAACATCCAAACAAAGAAATAAGCCATTAAATAAGGAAAAGATTCAAACACATCTTATATTTTTCCAAAGCAACATTCAAAATAAGAAGATTATGTAATTTACATCTACAAGATAGCCAAAAAAAAAGGAGACTTGTGAGGCAAGGATTTTATAGCCAGCAAAAAAAATTCATCTCAAAAGCAAACTAACAATTGTGAAATGTTTGAGCTTAAGTAATATGGTCCCATGATCCTTTCCTGAAGAATCTATAAGAGGTCAAACAATCGCCAACCAGGAGATAATAGCGGAAACAAACTGTAGCAAAAAAAAGAGGTGGTGAGCACTGTATACCGCAACTGCAAGATTAAGATTAAACAAAGCTGGAGATTGGGACAACAGATAGAATGTAAAGGTTATATGCTCTGACAATGTATAAATGATACAACTAATGAAAAATGGAAGGGAGAAAAGGTAGGGAAGGTGAAAAGTCGAGTAGGTTTGCAGATTATTGAATTTGTAATAGTGGAAGCAAAAGAAAAGATTTGATTGAAAGCTGTCAAACCAAGTAAGAACTATATGTAAACATCTTTAAAAAGACAGTGGTAAACATTGAGGTAACTAGAATTGGGTGGTGGAAGAGAGAGGGGAGGTTAGCAAAATGAGGCACATTCGTTGTACAATTATTCATACAAAAGAATTAGCCAATACCATCTAGAAAAATAGAACACTAGCAATATTATACAAAGTTATATTGTCATGAGAACAAAAATATAAAACTTTCTAAATATCAGAAGTGCAATTGTTTTAAAAGGCAAAGAAAACTCATTATGTAAATAAAGACTTGCTAAAACACAGTAAAAGAGAAAACATTAAATATTATGCCATACTGAGATCAAATACATCTGTTATATTAATAAATGTAAATGGGCTTTACCTACGTATTATAAATATATTTCAGGTTAAATTACAAAGCAAAACTAAACCCTCAGTTATATAGAAGAGAAATGCAAAACAAAGTGATTCAGAAAAGTTGTAAATAAAAGTATGGGCAAAGATAACAGGAAAATACAAACAAATAGCAAAAAAAAAATAAGCAGAGGGCATTATCTAAATATCAGACAAGGTTACATTCAGGACATACAGCATTAAACAATACAAAGGGCAATTTTTACAAGGCTAAAGGGCGCAACTCTCAATGACTAGGAATAGTGCTAAATATCTATGCAATAAGACATAGAAGCAACAGTCAAAAAACAGTGATTATAGCAGTTATAAGGAAAAATAGGCTTTAATAAAAACAGACTGGCAGTAGGGAGATTTTAATTCCTCTCTCCCAATCTATGACAGATAAAGTAGATAAAATTATTAAGTCAGGGTATAGATTATCTAAATAACATAGACATGCAGCAGATCTTACTGATATCTGTTAAGCGCTGTACCCTGAAATGCTTTTGGAATATACATAAAAACAATAATTTAAGTCACAAAAGAAATTGCACCAGATTTTAACACATAGAAATGAACAAACAATATTCTCTGGTCACAATATGATAGAACTAGAAATAACAAAATCAGAAAACAAGAGATTGAGATTTTTTAAAATTAACTCTTAATCCCTAATTCAATGAGAGAATTAATGTTCTGAATGTTCTGAATTTCTAAAAAACAAAATGTAAAAAATCTTTACATATCAGCACCTATGGGACAGAACTAAAACAGTACTCAGAAGAATATACAAATATTTAAATACAATAAATATTAAAATATATATATTTGTATTTATAAAATATATGTATAATATATAAAATAAATATAAAAAACAAAAAGGTGAGATTAATAGAAATAAGCTAAAATTAAATTTATAAAGACGGCCGGGCACGGTGGCTTATGTGTGTAATCCCAGCATTTGGAAGGCCAAGGCAGGAGGATTGCTTGAGTCTTGGAGTTCAAAACCAGCCTGGGCAATATAGTAAGACTCTATTTCTATAAAAAATAAAATAATTTTTTTAAAAAATTAAAAAGAGAAAATCAGATCTAAGAAATGAATTCAAAAGCTATATATGTTGACACCTACTCACATTATATATTAAAATTCACTCAAAATGTGTTAAAGACTTACATACAAGGGCTAAAACTATTAAAGCATTTGAAGAAAACAAAGGAATAAATATTCATGACCTTGAATGATTTATTCATTATGACACCAAAAGCACAAGCAACAAAGAAAAGACAGATAAGTCAGACATCACCAAAATTTAAAACTTTTGTTCTTTAAAGAGCACTGTCAAGAAAGTGAAAAGACAGCTCATCGAATGGGAGAAAAGCTTTGCAAATCATATATCTGATAAGAGACTTGTATATAGAACACTTATATTCATATATATACTTAAAACTCAACAACAAAAATACAAATAACCCAATTTTAAAATGGGCAAAGGATATGAACAGACAGTTCTCTAAAGAAGATGTACTAATGGCCAATAAGCACAAGAAAATACACTCAACATCATTAGCCATCAGAGAAAGTCAAATCAGAACCACAATGAGATAACCACTTCGTACTCACTAAAATGGCTAAAATCAAAAGACAAATGATTACAAAGTGCTGATAAAGATATGGAGAAATTGGCCGGGCGCGGTGACTCACACCTGTAATCCCAGCACTTTGGGAGGCCTAGGCGGGCAGATCACGAGGTCAGGAGATCCAGACCATCCTGGCAAACACAGTGAAATCCCGTCTCTACTAAAAATACACAAAATTAGCCAAGCGTGGTGGCGGGCACCTGTAGTCCCAGCTACTCGGGAGGCTGAGGCAGGAGAATGGCGTGAACCCGGGAGGCGGAGCTTGCAGTGAGCCGAGATCGCGCCACTGCACTCCAGCCTGGGCGACAGAGCGAGACTCCGTCTCAAAAAAAAAAAAAAAAAAGATACGGAGAAATTAGAACCTCCTTACGTGGCTGGTGCAAATGTGAAATGATGCAACTACTTTGAAAAACAGTTAAAAGTTAAAGTTAAAGGTTTAGTCAGTTAAAAAGGTTAAAGCCACCACATGATCAGCAATTCCATTCCTAGGTATATAAGTACAAGAGAATAAAAAACATATGTTTGTATAAAAGCTTGTACACAAATATTCATTGCAGCTTTATTCATAATGGCCAAAAAGTGGAAATAACCAAACGTTTGTCAACTGATAAATGGATAAACAGAATGTGGTATAGCCATATAATGCGATAGTATTGGTCAATAAAAGGAAACTAATTCCAGTACTGATATATACTGATACACGGATGAACCTTGAAAACATTAAGCTAAAGTGAAAAAGCTAGTCGTGAAAGACCACATATTATGTGAGTCCCTTCATATGAAATGTCCAGAATAGACAAATCCATAGAGATAGAATGTAGATTTGTGGTTGCCTGGGGATGAGGGGCTTGGAGGGAAATGGGAAGTTACTGCTAATGGGAATGAGTTTGTTTTTGTGTGTCTGTGTGGTAAGAAATATGTTCTAAAATGGATTATCATGACAGTTGCACAACTCTGTGAATATACTGAAAATCCCGAGTTGTATACTTTGAACGAGTGATTTATTTGGTATATGAATTAAATCTCAATGAAGCTGCCACTAAAAATAACAATAGTATGGAGCCTGGAAGTGGGGATGCTGTAGCAGTATTTTCCAGCTCAATGAGACTACTTTTTTTTTTCTTTTCTTTGAGACAGAGTCTCACTCTGTTGCCCAGGCTGGAGTGATGTGGTGCAATCTCAGCTCACTGCAAGCTCCACCTCCTGGGTTCAAGCAATGCTTGTGCCTCAGCCTCCCGAGTAGCTAGGACTACAGGCATGCGCCACCACCACCGCCTAATTTTTTTGTATTTTAGTAGAGACAGGGTTTCACCATGTTGCCCAGGCTGGTCTTGAACTCCTGAGCTCAGGCAATCCTCCCGCCTCATACTCCCAAAGTGCTAGGATTACAGGCATGAGCCACCATGCCCAGCCTTCAATGAGACTACTTTTAGATGTTTTGTAAATTGTTTGAAGTCATCAAAACATTACAAAAATAGTGGAATCACTAACATTGGCTCACAAATCAACCAGAATAGAGGTTTAATAAAGAAATGTGAGAAGTCAGGGGAATGGGAACAACCTATTTTTAGCCTGATGCTGAACATGGGATATTGTTTTACTCTTACATTCTCAGTTACTTGACTCAAACTAATATTAAAATAATTTTGGCGCCCCATCACAGCAACTGGCCCAATGAGCGAGCTTAGATTTGACACTGTCTGGAGATAATCCTCAGACAATGTGATTGGAAATTCACTCAACAATCAAGTTAAAATCACTGGAGGATAAAGATGGAGTTTATTGACCAGTCAGGGGGTCTGGATGAGCCCACATCATGTATCGTTTTCAACAAATGACCTCCTTCGTGGAAAAGTTTTGTTAATCAAAGTTGGGAGAAAGAGGAAAAAAGAGAGAGGGAGAAGTGTAGAGAAAACCATCTGATCCAGAGATGTAGGTGTTCCAGCAAGACGGATGTAGGTGTTCCAGCAAGACGGGCAACATGGTATGTTTTCCTGTCTCTGACCTCCCCACTGTGCCCTACCCCAGCCCCAGCCCCTCTTCACTGCTCCCTTTCCCCTGCTTCTTCTGAATACTCACCTACTGGTTGGTGGCTGGAAAAAATAAAATAATGTCCCATCCTACACCATTTGTATTTTCCCAGATGTCTTTGAAAGACACCAAAGTTCTGGAGAGCCAGAGTAATGAATTCCCAATGTACATTTCCTAACCCCTTGGCCAGCAGTTGGGAAAAGAGGGTTCCTAAGCCTGTGTCTCATGCCCATAGAGATCACTCAGAGGCCCCATGCCCTCTGCCTTCTCCCTGGGCTGAGCGTAACAAATTCACAAAATATTTGCCCAGTGCTGTTTTCATGTCTGTTACCTGTTCCCTGAGGAAGAGGAACACATCTTTCATCTCTATATTCCTAGTGCCAAGAAAACAAGTCTTAACAATTGCCTTATAAATGAATGTGTTAGTTAACGCATGCAAGTTTTAGATCATTTGGGGGTTTTTTGTGCTTCATGCTCAAGAGACATCTATTGGATCTCAGGGAAGTATGGTAGGAAAAGTGCAGGGCAGTGCACTGCAGGCCATCCAGCCTGTTGATGAGATGGAGAAAGGCCTGGAGCCCAGCTCTCCTGATGTCCAGTGTAAAGCTTTTCTCATTTCACTATGCTGCTTGCCCAGATGACAAAGCTCAAATGAAATGTAGGAACAGGACACAGTGCAACAGGTCAGAGGGGGCCAAGAGATTCCTCCATGAGCCAACAACCTATGTAGGGAGCCAACGAGCACCTGCTTGAGCCCTGACCCCAGCCCTTTTTGAGGAACTCTCCCTTATGCAAGTCGCATCCCCTCCCTAAACCTCAGTTTCTCCATCTGTACAATGTGTGTATAGGACCAGAGGATCTCAGAGATTTCTGTCTGCTCTAATTGTTTCCAATACAGTGACTGACTAGAAAAAAGCAATTATAATCAACAGGACAACCTCTCATTAGCCCCTGTAGATAATCCAAAATGCTTGGTGCAAGCGGTTGGCTGGGTAAGATACTAGAGGGAACCTCCTTAGCAAAGAGAAGAGAGAAATGTGTCACTAGTTGGCACTGCCTGATGCCATGTCATTTTTGTCTCAAATGGAAAAGAAAAGGGAAAAAAGTTGCATTCAGTTACAGGATAGACTGCCCATCTATCCATTCCTGGGAGGTTTGCTGCAGAGGAGTTCACACCAGCACAGCAGACCAGGACCTTGGTGGTAATACAAATTCAGGGATTAATTCTGATCAGGGGTTCTTTGAGTACACGTCACCTGTCAAAACTGAGAAGCTGCCCTGTGGTCAGAAAAAGGGAAAAGGCCCTGAAAGCCTACTTGACTAACTCCTGGAGATACCATGGTCCACCAGAATCAGGAATTCCTCCATGATTTTTAGTGGAAATGGGCCACCAGACACTGAGTCATTCTACAGATCTCCTCCTAGCTCTGCCCAGGATCTCCACAGACAATTAAAGATGTTCCAGGCACAAGAACCCCAAATCCTTTGAGCCTATGGAGACAGACGGGGCCACATAAACAGGAATGCCTCAAAGTTCACTGGCTCCTGTTACCCCCAGCCTACTCACTCAGAAACTCCAAACCCCTGCAAAGTTACCCTTGAGTGGGTCTGGTGCTCTCAGGGGCTGTATTCTATGTGTTCCCCAACACCAGGTAGCCGGCTGTAGGCACATGTCACTGCTGCACTGCAGACATCCACCAGACACATGCCAGCTATCCACCAGCTAGCACAGCACAAGCAGGGAAACAAGGGTCCAGCTCATGCCTGGCTGCTTCTTTTCTTAGATAAATTCCTTCCAGCTAATTTCTCCATTATCCACGTGGTCAAAGGCTAACAAAGTGCAACCTGCAACAAATGGATCTCAACTAGATACTCTTCTCAAGCTCACATGTCATGGGATTCCACAGTCAGTCCTCTTCTAGTGCCAAGTCTGTCCAACCAGGGCTTTCATGATTTTGCTGTCCTCTTCCTATGTCTTATCCATTGGGAAATGGCAGAAGGGAAACAATAGGACAATGAGATGTAGACATCATGGATATGGCACTACGCAGGACTCCTGAGGCTTGCAGGACTTCAGGAGTATGTTCCTGGTGCTGACCCTCACATCCATTGACCTAGTGCCTCGCACCTCTCTGAACCTCTGCTTCCTTGTTGGTAAGTGAAAAATGATATCACATTGCATCTGCCCATTGTGAGGATGACATGAGATAATATATGTTAAGTCATCAGAAGACAGATTATGGAAAACCTCATGTCCTAGATGTGTGCTGACAATGGTAATATAATGTAAGCCACATACGTAATTTTAGATTTTCTTTTTTTTTTTTTTTTTTTTTTTTTTTTTGAGACAGAGTCTCACTCTGTCACCCAGGAGTGCAATGGCGCAATCTCAGCTCACTGCAACCTCTGCCTCCCGCGTTCAAGCGATTCTCCTGCCTCAGCCTCCCAAGTAGCTGGGACTACAGGCACATGCCACCACACCCAGCTAATTTTTTGTATTTTTAGTAGAGACAGGGTTTCACTGTGTTAGCCAAGATGGTCTCGATCTCCTGACTTCGTGATCCGCCCACCTCGGCCTCCCAAAGTGCTGGGTTACAGGCGTGAGCCACCACACCCAGCCAGTAATTCTAGATTTTCTGATAGCCATGTGTGGTGGTTAATTTTATGTGTCAACTTGGCTGGGTTAAGGGATAACCAGAAAGCTGCTGAAACATTATTTCTGGGAATGTCTGTGAGAGTGTTTCCAGAAGAGATTAGCAGTTGAATCAGTAGACTGAGTAAAAAGGATACATCCTCACCAACGTAGGCAGGCATCACCAATTCACTGAGGGCCCAGAGAGAACAAAAGAGGCAAAGGAAGAATTCACTCTCTCTTCTGGGGCTGGGACATCCACCTTCTCCTGCCCTCAGACATCAGAACTCCAGGCTAAGAGGCCTTCAGATACTGGAACTTACACCAGCAGCCCCCCAGTTTCTTAGGCCTTTGGCCTCAGATTGAGAGTTGCACTATCAACTCTCCTGCTTCCCGGGCCTTCAGATTCGGACCGAATTACCCCACCAGCTTCCCTGGTGCTTCAGCTTGCAGATGGCATGTCATGAGACTTCTTAGCCCCCATAATCATGTGAGACAATTCAAAAAATAAATCCTCCAATATATCTATATCTATCTATCGATCCTACTGATTCTATTTCTCTGGAAAACCTTTATATACCATGTTAAATTTTTAAGTAAAAAAAGTATTAATTTTAACAATATTTTCTTTAACCCAATATATAAATTATGATTTTGACATGCAATTAAATAAAATTAATGATTTTTTTTTATTTTGTGCTAGCTCTTAGAAATCCTGTATTTATTGTACACTTATCACACATCTTAATTTAGACTGGCCACATTTCAAACACTCAATAGCCACATGCGACCAGAGGCTGTGGTATTGGACAGCTTTAGACTGAAGTTAGACTTCATTCCATGAACAATGGAGAGCCATGATGGATTTTTCCCAGAGGAGTGAAATGCACAGCAAGCCAGTTTAAGGAGCATTCATCTGGCCTTGGGCTCTGGGCAGAGCTGTTCTGCCTCAGTGGTCCAGTCACTAGACCGAGAGACAGCAGCTCTATTTTCTGTCTCCCTGGCACCTACACAGGGTCTGACAGAGAGTCCTTGGTAATTTGATTGGATGAAACAATCAATCAACAAATCAGCAGGCACTGCCTGGATCTGTAAGGCAAGTTAAAGTGAAGGGTCAAGATAAGTCTGAAGGTCGGAGCCTGGGATAGAGGAAGAAAGACAGGGCAGGAGGATGAGAAATAAACAGGCTGAATGAGGAACTGAGAGTAGAGGGCTGGATGACTTTCAATTTAGACCTGTAGTGCTAAACATGGCAGGTGGCCACTGAGACTTAATGACTGGTTTAGGGAGAATGCAGAACTGGAGCTCAGAAGATGCAAGTCACTCAGCAATCTCCGGGTAGCTTGGAGGCACCAGGCATGCTCTGAGCCACAGAGAATGAAGCTGACATAGTGAAGAAATGAGATGACAGTGGTTTAAATGGATGTGACAGCTAGAGAAAAAAAATTCAAATTTACATGGACACTCCAGGTCTCAGACACTTGGACTGGCTGGGAGGGTGCAGCTGGAGATGGGGAAGACCATTTGGAGAAGCTGTGAGGAGCCAGGCTTTAAATGGCCCCATATTTGCTGAAGCAGGCAGGGCATCCTCGACCAGCAGAGCCCTGGTCAAAGAGTCTGCACTTCATTATCCAATTGCATTCTCGGGGGATCTGAGGGTGCGACTGCTCTGCAAAAGCAGCTGCTTTCACTTTAAACAGTTTTAGCTCAAAGCCTGAGGCATACAAGTTCTCTGTGTGACACTGTTAATGAAGAAGAAAGTCTCCCAGGAGCTCAAGAAAATAAAAATAATGAAAATAAAAGGCTTTGACACTCATCCAAAAAAAGCTTTGCTCCTCAATATTTGCAACATCTATGAGAAAAAGTGTCAAGGACAGGAAAGGTCAGGGTAATGAGTGAAAGGAGCACACATTCCAGGATTTGAGCATGCTCAGAGAACCACCCATGACAGGCACCATGGCCTTCCAACCCAAACTAACAATTTCCTAAATTATGCAGCCCAGTTGCTCATGCTAACTCCAGAAATCCTCCTTGGGGAAAAGCAGAAGTAAACTGCATATTGCTGACTAAGAGATAAAAGGTGCACATTGTCATGATCACAAAGATGGACCTCAAAGAAGTTCTGTGGACATTCTCTCCTTCGAGTCTCATAAGAACACCTTAAATCACACAGGTTAAACATCACTAACCAGATTGGACAGATGAGAAAATTGAGGCTCAGAGGGAGTTAAATAACTTGCTCAATATATTTGTTCTGCTGCAAGTGAAGTAAACCAAGCCCCCAAAAAGAAGAAATAGATTAACAGGCATAATCAGGAAGGGAAGGGAAAACTGGGCTTAAGAGCAACTGAACCCAGGGATTCTACCACCATCAGGACTCCCTCATTCTCTGCCTCTTGTTTCTGCTTTTCTGGCTTTGTTATCTCAGGCCAGCTGCCTCAGAAGCTCCAAGCCAAAACCCTTTGTATTAGTCTGTTTTCACATGGCTATAAAGAAATACCCTAGACTGGGTAATTTATAAAGAAAAAAGGTTTAATTGATTTGCAATTCTGCATGGCTAGGGAGGCCTCAGGAAACTTAAAACCATGGTAGAAGGGGAAGCAGGCACCTCTTACATGGTGGCAGGTGAGAGAGAGAAGCCCAGGGGAAACTGCCATTTATTAAACCATCAGATCTCCTGAGAACTCACTCACTAGCATGAGAACATCATGGGGGAAACTGCCCCCATAATCCAATCACCTCCCTCCCTTGACATGTGGGGATTACAATTTAAGATGAGATTTGGGTGAAGACACAGAACCAAACCCTATCACCCTTATAGCCTCACAAATAACAAGAAAAGAAAGTCTTTCTGCCAGCTCCAAGTAGCAGAACCTTGGAGAGCATTCTAGTTGACCAGACTGGACCACCACTGTGGCTATAGGCATGGGAAACTATCACTGGCCCTGGATGTGTTTCTAGACCAAGTAAGGGGGATGGGGACCAGGCAACCAAAAACAGTAGCCTCTATAGTCACTGTTAGGAAGGCCACAACAAACAGACCAGGAGGCAGACCTTCCAACCTGGACCTCATCCATTGTTACTGACTCAATGAGTGCATGTATATTGCAGTAGATACCTAGCAAGGACCAAAACAGATGTGGTCCCTGCCCTTATGTCACAAAATCTAATGAGAGAGGCAGAAGATAAACAGGTAAAGAGACAGAACAGTAACTGCTAATTGTAACAAGTGCCATGAAGGAAGGCAACAGGGTGAAGTGAAAAAATTAGGCAGCTGTTCAAATGAGATGTTTAGAAAAGCTCAGAAGAGGGGCCATTTGAGTTGTGATCTAAGACTTAAAAGAAGCCAGCCAAAGAGAGTGAGGGGAAAACTGTTCCAGCCTCAGTGAAGGAGCTCTGTGTGCAGAGGCCTTGAAACAGGAAAGACCCTGGCCCCACGCTGGGAAATAAATAGAAAAACAGGATGCAACATACCTGTGAGAGGAGAGTGGAAAGATCTGCACCTGGGGAGCAGGCAAGATCCAATCACATAGTGCATGGCATGCCTCGGAAAGGAGTTGATATTTTACTCTAAGGCAATGCAAAGCCACTTGAAGATCTTTAAGCCTCAGAGTACAATGAAATTATTTGTACTTTTAAAAATTTATATGTGAAGAATAATTTGGAGGGGAGCAAGGGTGGAAAGAGAGGGACTGGATAAGAGGCTGTGATTGCTGTAATCCAGCAAGAGTTGATGTGGCTGAAACTACAGTAGTGGCTGTGGAAGTGGAAAGACTGAGAAGATGAGAAGTACACTTAGCAGGAGCAAAGAGACAGGGCTTGTAGAATCAGATGCTTGGTTTGAGGGAGAAAAAAGAATAAGAGAGGACTCTCTGTACTGAGCAGGTGGCTGAATGGTGAGGTCATTTCCTGAGAGAGAGAAAACTGAAGTTAAACAGTTTGAATAGGGAAGAGATGGAGATCTCAGCCTGCGATAACTAATTTTGAGTTGAATGTGAGATATGAAAGTGGTGAGGAGGCATTTACATATTTAAGTTTGGAGTTCATCCGAAACTTGAGCTGGAGATGGAAATTTAGAAGATATCAAAATATAAATGATAATCAAAGCTGAAGGCATCAATGAGATTACTTATGGAGTGACTATGGAGAGAAATAAGAGTAAGACCTAAGACTGAATTATAAGAAACTGCAAAACATAAAGGTAAAAGAGGAGATCCAATAGAAGAGACTGAAGATGATCAAAGAGATAGGAGGGAAAGTGAGAATGATTCCATGGAGATCAAAGAGGAGCGTGTCTCACTGAAGAGGAAATAGCTGTGTCAAAGTTTCTGAGAGGTCAAGAACAACGAGAACAGAAGAGCGCCATTGAACTTGTCAACACAGAGGTCCTTGAGAGCAGTTTTGATGGAGGATAGGAATGACACCCAGACAGAAGTGGGTTGGAGAAGGAGCGAGGAGTGTAGAGAATAAAGACAGCATGTGACACGCCCTTCCCAGTTTTGTGAGAGAAGTGAGAAGTGAAATGGTAGTTGGAAAAAGATTGGGGATTGAGAAAATTTTGTAAAGAACTAGAGGTAGTTACAAAGAAGCCGTTACTGTGTCTGCTATATAAATTGGATGACTGTTAAACAGTTCTCAGTTAAAAGCTCTCAGTTAAACAGTGTTCCCAGGCTTTAAAATGTTCATTCTGTGGAACTAGATGTTCCCCAAGGTTCCTTCCATATCTGTCCTTCTAAAATTCTACAAGTACTCCTTTTTCAAAAGTCATAAAGAAAATATCCAGGACTGATATTCAAGCAGCTCCTCCTCATTTTCTTCTCAATTCATTTGATCATTAATTTATTCATTCATTTCCCTAGAAGGTGAGTGCCACAAGGGCAGGATTTTTGTTCTTTGCAGATGGGCACGTAATAGGTGGTCAATAAATATTTGCTTAATGAATTAACAAATGCATAGATTCAATCAGCAGGCATAGAGTACCTACACATGTGGAGCTCACTCAAAACCACTCAACAAACATTCAGCACCCAACAAATGCCAGGCTCTATGCTAAACACAACTCAGTCAGCCTCTTCTTAAAGTGGAAAAAATTAGGATCTGTTCTACCTGCTTCACAAGGCCATTATGAGAATCAAATGGGAAATACAGGCTCTGAAGAAAACTTTGCAATAAACAGGGGGTGTAAAAAAGACTTTGCAAATACCATAGTACCTTAGAAAGATCAAATGTTATTAATAAACATGGCTCTGCCCTCAAGAAGTTTGTAGTGAAATTAAAGAAATGAGAAAAACATATGAGAGAGATGTAATCACTGTTTTGTGGGTACCTAAGTGTGCCTCAGGCAGTAGAATGCTTTACATGCCTTCTCTCGCCCCACCATTGTACCCACACCTGAGATGGGTATCAATACCTTCAGCATGTAGATGCAGAGACCAACGTCTGACAGGTTAAATCACTCAGCTAGTAGGAGACAAAATGGATGAAAAGCTAGGTCTGTTTCTTTTTCTAAAATATTTTCTTTCACACAAAAGTAAATCTTAGGAAGCATTTGAAACCATTGTCCCTGAATACTAGCAATGAGTAGGTGAGGGAGGCGGGAACTATCATTTACTGCATGCTTACTTGACGCTGAACTCTCTATATAGATATCATTTAACTCTTATTTGTGACATAAGGCTTACATCCATTTGGTACACGAACACAAATTTCAACTGAGGTCTCCAATTCACTGATAATAACTAAAGTAGGCTTAAGCAGCACCTGTTATTTTGTGGAAAACCCAATGCTATTTTCAAGGTTTTGGAAAATTCCCAGGGATTTCATGTCTTGAGGTAAATTCTAGTTCCAAACACACTTACCTCAACACATGCTGTGCCCACAGCTGATCTCCCCCTTCTGCTGGGCACCAGTGCAGACCTGAGATGCAGAGCCTTTGATTTCACGCAGAGATCACTCTCGCAAAGCATTAAAAAGCATATGGTAGGCTTTGCGTTATGTTTTGGGAGACAGAATAGCTTTACATCCTAGCAAAGTAAACAGCGTAAGATTGACTAGCAGACAACCTTGCCCATCATATCCTTTGTTCAGGTGACTCTAGGAGTTTCTCACTGTTAATTTTTCTGCAGACACTCCAGCCTTCCCCTGAAGACACTCCTCACATGTGATTCCCCTTGTGAACACCTACGGAATTGCCTATGTAGAAGCACTTATTTTAAATCCTGCCCCTTATCCATCTGTAATAATCCTGGGGGTTTACACGGTTCTTACATTACCCCAGTGACTGGTCAAGTTGTGGCCATCTATTCCATGTTCAGCCAATGAGGCCCCTCCCTGGGCATTTTGGAATCGGGACCAGAGAAGCAATTGGGTCAGCCCCTCTCTGACGGCATCCAGCACCTCTAGTGATTGATAAATTTCAGCATCAGCTTAAGCCAATGTAAGCTGCTGCTTAAGCATCAGCTGAAATGTATCAATCTCTAGAGGTGCTGAATGCCATGTTTCAGCAGAAAAAGAAAGCCAGTTTTCAGGGAGAGAATGAAGCATGTTTACAAAAAGGAGCCAAGAGGAGAAAAAACAAGATATGAAAAGAGAGATAGTCATGACAGTACCCAAGACACTCATTTTGGAGTTCCCAGAGCCCAGACACATCCGTGTTCTTCAGCTCCATCTCTTGGGCTGTCAGCTTCTAGCAACTGCTGGTGAATTTGAAATGTGATCCTCCTTTTCTCCTCCACCAATCTTTGTATGTAAATGAAAGCAGTAGAGAATTATCTCCCTCCACCATATGAATTATGCCAATCATGTTAGAAGATACAATCAGTTTACTCTTAGTGAAGAACTCAGCTAACACAGACAACCCCTGCCAGCTCTGACAGAAGCAAGGACACCCTATAATGCTTTCTACCAGGCATCCTACCCAGCCCCAGCAAGAGTCAGATGTCAGGGTTCTTCCCATCAACCTCATGCCCAGGTAGGATATGGCTTACACTGCTGACTTAGCTGGTGGGGTGGACACTGTCCAGGAAGCCTTGTCTGTCATCTCACAATGCACAAAAGGGAATGGAGTATCAAGGAATTTAAAGAACTTGCTAAAGTCAGAACAAGTAAGAAGAGGTAGAATTTGAAATTGGGTATGCTTGTGTGTCATTAACATGATGGTGGGACAGAAGTGCAGGCCCAAGTGCAGACCCAAGAAAGCAGGGCTGGGGGATGAGGATGGGAGAAACCCATCTACCAGGGGTCTATAGAGCTTTGCCTTTTCCATATTGTTATTTCTTTTCTCCTTCCTCCTTTATTCTTCTCCTACAATCGCTTCCTTCCTCTACCTTCTCCTCCAACCCTTCTGAGCCCCAGGACTCCAACTGGCATGGAGGAACACAAGTGGCTCCACTCTGACTACTGACCATCCCCCTGAGGCCAGTCAAGAGACCTTGAGCCCTCACCCTAGAAAACAAGACAATCTTGTGCAGAGGACACTGTGATCCACTAAGGACAAGGCACAGCAAAGAGAATTCCAAGTGAAAAAAAACAAAGGAGGCTGAAGAGAGGGCTACACATTGCTCACCACAGTCCTTGAATAGCCTTCCTTGGCTTTCTCTGGAATCCCCTCTCTTCTCATTCTCTGAAAAGGGAAGGCTAAGAAGGTATATCACAGTCTTCTATCTATCAAAGCAAAAGGGTTGTTCTTAGTCCTAAACAAGTTAATCCCAGCTTCTGTCCTGACTTCCACAGGAGCAATCTATGTGACCTTTGGAAAGTCATTTAAAAAAAAAAAGTCAAATCACTCTATGGAATATGATCCAAATCTCATAAAGTATGTGTATATAAATGGCTGCTTGCACAAAGGAAAAAAAGCAGAATGAAACACATCAAAATGTACTGTGGGGGAATTTTAAGAAATTTCTTCTTTATGCTCTTCTCTATTTACACTGTTTGTACAGTGAATATGTATTACTTTTATAATTATAAAATTCCTCACTGAATATCTCTGGGCTGTAGTTTCCAAGGGTATCGAATATTAAGTGTGGATTGCACCTGCTTTGCTTCTGTCATAGTGCTATTTTGGGAATAAATAATATAATGCCAAAAACTGCATGATCCGTATCACCAGCTGAGGTTACCAACACGAGCATGTTTCTTTCATTTTTTCCCATTAGTCACTTGAGCAGCTGCAAGCAGTTTAGTATCTACCACCTTGAGGTCTCACCCTTATAGCACTATAGAATGAGTTCCCCTGTAAACAACAGAAAACCCGATTCATAGTAGCTTACACAAATGGGCATGTGTTTCCCTTCCATAACAGGAAATCCAGAATTAGACAGCCCAGGGATGGAATGCTGCACAAGGATGCCATCAAAAATCCAGGCTCCTGTCTCACCATCCTTAGTATGTGATTCATTCTTGTGGTCACAGGAAGGCTGCTGCACCTCTAGACAGGAAGAAGAGGGAAAAGCAAAGGGCAAAGAGATTTTGCCTTTTAATTTGGCATGTGAATTCTGCCTACATCTATTGGCCAGAACCAGATCACATGACCAGCTCTGGTTGCAAGGGCAGCTGGGAAGTTGAGTAAGTTCATTTTCCACCCTCTATCACAGAGAAGCCAAGGAGGGAAGAACCTGTGAATGACTTTTGATTAACCAAGCACTTAGTCTACCACACCACTGGAGCTTATTTAACCTGAAGGGTTCAGTTCCACCTGAAGGCCAGGTGGAGTGTGAATTGGAAAGTCTGTTCTGTCCACAGGAAGACTCAGTTTTCATCTGTCATTGAATGTGTTGCTGCCTTCCAGGATTGCTGTTAACAACTAGTGCCAAACAATCAGCTGATTCCTTGTCCCCAGCAGAGGTGGTGCTCTTATTGCTCCTCTGTCCCTGTACAGGCCATAAGACTCTCACGGTTGGTTCATGTTGCAGTCATTTAAGTTACACTGTCATGCACAGCCATTATTCCTCAACCATAAATTTAGTGGAAAGGTGGGTGGGTCATAAAAGGCTTCTCACCTCAGCCTCATCTTGTATCAGAAATTGCTTCTCCGTGATCCCTTATCCCCTAATTTTGAGCCTGGGTTATCAGTCCAGACTTCCCAGAGAATGCCTCTTTTCTCACTGCAAGACTTCAGACTAGGTCATCCCAGTCCATTAGAGAAGGTCTACTACAGCTGAACTTCTAGATGATGGTAGTCAGACTCTCAATGCCTTCCCCACAGAAGACTCCTTGGCCCCTGTGAAAATTTGTATACCTTTTCTCCCAAACCATCTCAGATCACAAAAAGCATTTCTAGGACTTGTCTCCATCAGGCCACACAAGGCCCTATTATGCTCTTTCACCAATGGGGAATTTACACTTAAATAACCAAAAGGGCCCACTCCAACAGCTCTCCCTGAACATAAATGTACCCCAATGTAATTTGTTCTGAACACCTAGATGGAGAAACAACTATTCTAAAAATATGTTGTATTCCATAAGATGAGCCACCTGCTTTATGCATTTAAGATGCATTAAGATTTAAGATGGAAGAAAACCAAGGACTTCCAGGTCTGCAGTATGGCAGACTCTTGTGAGCTACCTTCAAGGAATGGGCAAGGGATGTGGGCAATCAAATCAAAAATTTTCTTTTACATCCTCAGCTGAACTCACAAAAAAGAATGGGAAATCTCCAGGGTCCAGAAATACAGAGGAACTAAAAACCAGAGAGGCAACTATGTCAACCATCTTATGGCTGCTCTGGTTTTTGTTTGTTTATTCATTTACTTTTTTATTGAGGTATAATTAGTATATAGTAAAATCCACAACAGTTAATGAATTTTTATATATACATACAACCATGTAACTGCCACCCAGCTCAGGATATAGAATATTTCCAGAACTGCACAAGGCTCCCTTATGCCACCCTTCAGTCAATAACTTCCCTCAAGAGTGACAACATTCCTGACTCAACATCAAAGATTAGTTTTGCCTATTTTAGAACTCCATAGAAATGGAATCACACAGTGGATATTCTTTTTGATGGATTATTTTACTATCTGTGACATTCAACCTGTTATTACATGTATTTGCAATTTGTTCTTTTTCATCACTGTGTAGTATTCCATTGTAAAATATATACCACTATTTATTTATCAGCTCCACTATTCAGGGGCATTTGGGTTGTTTCCAGTTTGGAACTATTATGAATAAAGCAGCTATGAACATTTCATATATGTTTTCTGGTGGATATATGAAAGGCATGGGTTTTCATGCTCAACTAGGGACATTGAGATGAGACCAGCCTAAGCAAAGCAGAGAAATGAAGCTTAAAATAATCCCACATGAAACCAGACCATCAAAGGACTGTACTCTTGGTAATAGTGTAGACTAGGAAAGAAATCCATAAGTACAGGGAGAAAAAGAAGACACCTATCCATCTCTGTCTGAGATCTGAGTGGGAAGAAAATTCTCCCTTGGAAATTTACAATCATAACCTCATACCTCACAGCTCTGGAGTTAAAATTTACACAATCAGCATGGTCCAGAAAACCCAAAGTGGATTAATTAACACAGAAACTTGCTACAAACCAAATGACAACCCGAGGCCCCTGACAGAAACAAACAAAAAACCATTGCAGGACACGATTTCATCCCCCATTGTGTATGAGCCCAACACATAAATGTCCACGGAAGCAAATGAGGAACCAATCCACCTTGAGTGAGAAGCAGAAAAATGAACAATTTAAACAGAAAAAAAAGGATGCTTACACTCACAAAAGTTTCAGATAATAGGACAACATAATAGGAATTGTTAATAACTATATTTAAAATAGTAACCCAAACTAAAGGAATTGAGACTTTAAGAGAAGGACAAGGCGCTATGGGGGGGGGAAGCAGACATTTTTTAAAAATTTAAAATTTAGCCATTTATGCCAAACACCATTAAATTGCACACTTTAAGGAGATAAACTATGGTATGTAATTACATCTCAATAAAGCTTATTTGAAAAATTCTGACATTCAAATAATATTTTAAAACTTAAAAGGTTTAGCAAAATAGTACTACACAAAGCAGAAAAGAAAAGTGATTAACTGGAAGATGGACTTGAGAAAATTCCAGAGATTCAACACAAAGAAAGAACGAGATGTGAAAATATGAAAGAACATTTATGAGAGCTGAGGATTAAATGCTAATGTCCACCTGTATGTAGTAGAATTTCCAGAGACAAGACAAATGAAGGAGGCAATATTTGAAGAAATAATGGCTGGTAATTTTCCAAAACTCATGAGAACATGGCTCTCAGGTTTAAAAAGAAAAATTTAAAAGAATGGATTTAAAAGAATTAATTGTATTCCAATGAATACAAAGAAAATAAATCTAAGCCTAGACACATCATAGAGAAAAACTGCAGCACACCCAAGACATAGAGAAGATCTTATAAGCAACTAGAGATAAAGGACAAATTTCCAACAAAATAATAACAATTACGCTGGTGCACACTGCACAATAACAGATTTTTTTACAAAATAGCAATTAGACTGTTATAAACTTCTCAACAGCATCAATGGTGGTCAGAAGACTATGGGAAAATATCTTCAGAATGCTGAGAGAATATGATTGTCAACTTATAACATTATAGTCACCTAAGCTTGTAGTTCACAGTGAGGTTATCTCAAGCAAATAAGGACTAAGGTTACTACTTCAGACCCAACTTGAAAAATTTTGAAAAACTACTACAGATGAAGGAAATTAAGCAAAGAATGAAGACACAAAAAGTAATTATGCTTATTTTTTCCCACATATTTATAATGTTTTATATTTAAGGTTAAGAGTGTGTGTGTGTGTGTGTGTGTGTGTGTGTACAGGAAGAGAAACAGAGAGTCTGTGTAACAGTGTTCTATACATGAAATATACAATGATTAATTAATACCCATTTGGGAAACCTGTCCCCTTCCAGGCCAGGCACTGATGATTAGATGCATAATGGTAAAGGGGTGTGGATTTGGAGACAACAAGAAGACACATGGGTGTGGTAGGGAAGAATCAGCATCAAGCTGAGTAATTCACGATGTGGAGAAAAAAAACAGGTAAGAATAGGGAAGAGCCAAGTACCCCTAAGAAGGAGCTGGGACATAGGGCAAAGGGGACAGGACCCAGGCAGACTGAGGCATAATTCATAATTCTCCCCTCTCACAGGATGAAGGTAACAAAGAAACCTACTACACCCAAGAGATAACAGGGTGTGTCAGGGACATAAATCGGGGATGAAGTTGATTGCTTGATGTTCTCACTGAGGCATCAAAATCAGCTGATGTTGTTACTGAGGCATCTGAGACTCTAACTGTTGGCTGAAAACCAGCCAAATCCTTGATATGCCAACCTGGTATCCTTTCCCAGATTCCAAAAGAGGTAAGGCAGCATACTGGAAGTTAAGAGCTTGCACTAGCGTGCTGGGATGAAACTAGGACAAGACAGATTCAAAAGACCAGAACTTATATCTCCATCTAATAAGAAAATCATGTCTAACTAAGAGAAAACTATGGAACCATCTCCTAGGATCCAGAAGCACTTTAAAAATTAAGACGCTATCTATAAAAGGAAATTGAATGTTCAAGTTGTTTATACAGAGAGGTTTTGGTTGGCTGATTGGTTAACAGAGGTGAAGGTGTAAGTACCTAATGGTTCATTTTGCCCACTGTCCAGATAGAGCCAATTTATCAAGACAGGTGAATTGCCACAGAAAAAGATTTTAACTCTCACAGACATGGCTAAACAAGAGACTGGAGTTTTATCACTGAAATCAATCTCCCCAAAAGTTCAGAGACTGGGATTTCTTAAGGATAATTTGGCAGGTAGGGGGCGAGGGAGTGGGAAGTACTGATTGGTTGGGCCTGAGATGAAATCACAGGTGGTCAAAGTGGTTCTTCTTGCTGTCTTCTGTTCCTGGGTGAGATCGCAGAACTGGCTGAGCCAGATTGTCAGTCTGGGTGATGTCAGCTGGTGCACCAGAATGCAGGGTCTGAAAAATATCTCCAGCACCAGTCATAGATTTTACAATAGTAATGTTATCCCTAGGAGTAACAGGGGAGGTTTGGAATCTTGTGACCTCTAGCTGCTTGATTCCTAACCCATAATTTCTAATTTTGTGTCTAATTTGTTAGTCTTAAAAAGACAGTCTGGTCCCCAGGCAAGAAAGGGCTTTCTTTCAGGAAAGGGCTGTTATCATCTTTGTTTCAAAGTTAAACTATAAGCTAAATTCCTCCGAAAGTTATTCTGGCCTACACGCAGGAATGAATAAGGGCAGTTTGGAGGTTAGAAGCAAGATGGAGTCAGGTCAGATCCCTTTCATTGTCATAATTTTCTCACTGTTACAATTTTTGCAAAGGTGGTTTCAAAGGTCCTAAGTAAGACCAGAGATAACCATGCTTTTCTGTGTATTTTGGAGCAAAATTTTTTGTGTTTGTTATTTTCATGTGTTACAGAGTTTCTCCTTATACATCTAAATGATAGCCGTTTATTTATAGAGATGTCTAAGTGTGAAAAAAAATTTTAATTGTGGAATATCATATATGTGATAAGATTACGAGATACTCATAGTTTATAAATTGTATTTATGAGTCATCATAAATTGAGCTGTTGAGATATTAACTCAAAATGAACTTTTTAAAATTATTTACCTGCCTCTCTGTGTTTTCCATAACATAAAATCCCTGTAGTCTTTCATTTGTGATTTTCCTTATACATTTCAATAAAATTAAAAGTGTTTTTATTATTTTCTAGATCTAGACACAATGTGGAGCTTTTAAAAATATTTCTGTTATGGTTTGGCTGTGTCCCCACCCAAATCTCATCTTAAATTTTAGCTCCCATAATTCCCACTTGTCATGGGAGGGACCCAGTGGGAGGTAATTAAATCGTGGATGCGGGTTTGACCATGCTGTTCTTGTAGTAGTGAATAAGTCTCACAAAATCTGATGGTTTTATAAAGGACAGTTCTCCTACACAAGCTCTCTTTTTGCCTGCCGCCATGTAAGACATGGTTTTGATTCTCCTTGCTTCCTGCTATGATTGTGAGGCCTCCCCAGCCATATGGAACTGTGATTCAATTAAACGTCTTTCCTTTATAAATTACCCAGTTTCAGCTATATCTTTATTAGCAGCATGAGAACAAACTAATACAATTTCATTCTTTTTACTATTATATTATCTGAATCAGGCTAGATTTGAATTTGTTAGCATAGCACTAGATCAAGCAACGTTAATGATCACTTCTTGTATAGCTACTCCATCTTGTGTGATGGGGCAAAGGTCATCAGTGGAAGGGAGTCCTCTAAGCATCTGGGTCAACTTTGTGTGAAGGTGGAAGCGGCAGAGAAGTTGCCAGGATGAGAAGCTTCTGCAGATACCCTTCAAACCTCTCCAAGTAACCTCTCTCTCCCACTGTTGATGGCTTTCTCTACACCAGGACATAAGTCTTTCCTTCTGCAATTAGAGAAGGCAGGTTACTTAAATTCATATGTTAAATTATTCATTGAGAGCAAGTTGTGATGGAAGCGTGGGAGGAAAAATTGAGTACTCCATTTGTACAGTCTCCAAATAAGGTACATGCATTCATTGCCTTTTTACAGTCTCACAAGCCTACGAGGTAGGAGTGTTGATGTTCCCATTTTACAGACAAAGACCCTAGAGCTTAGAAGTGCTGAGTGACTCCCTCTAGTTGCCATGGCTAATAGAGTAGGGATTTGAAGCCAAGCAGCATGAATTCAGTTGTAATGCTCTTAGCCACTGTGCTAGGAACTTGATAAATGGATTGGAAACCATGCCCTACGCAAATAGTAAATGCAATTTGGTCCAGTCCAGGCTGGGAGTGCATGTGCTGAAAAGGTGCAAGATAAGCATGCTGAGGCTGATTGATAGGGCTTTCTCAATTGCCTATTCCTACATTCTGTGTCTGCTTCCACACTGGTGACCCCCAACCCTGGGAAATGCTTTTCACACCTATTCATTAGAATATCATTCAAATTTACAACTACTGAGGTCACCTAGCAATTTACAATTGCTTTGTCTGCCTAGCTTGAGCCTGCTCAGAAACAGCTCTTCCTCATCCTACTCAGATGCCCTGTAAGGCCTCCTCCCTGCCCTACAGAGCAGAAAGTAATGAGGTTAGTGTATGCATTCTCCAAAATTCATATTTTTTGCTAACTCCCAAGGTGATGGTATTAGGAGATAGGGTGTCTTAGTTCATTTGGGGCTGCTATCACAGAATGCCTGAAACTGGATAATTGATAAAGAACAGAAATTTATCTCTCACAATTCTGGAGACTGAGATGTCCAAAACCCAGGGGACAGCAGATACTATGTCTGGTAAGGGCTTGCTCTTTGCTCCAAAGATGGCACCTTGTCACTGTACCCCCTCATGGCAGAAGGATGAACACTATACTCTCACAAGGCAGAAGGAATGAAAGGGCTAGGCAGCTCTCTGAAATCTTTACAAGGACATTAATTCCATTCACAAGGAAAGAGCCCTCATGACTTAATCACTTCCCCCAAAGGCCCCACCTCTCAATACCATCATCTTGGGGTTTAAGTTCCAATATATAAATTTTGGAGGGACACATACAATTCAACTCATAGCAACTGGTATTATCCACTTCACATCCACTAGGATAATTGTAATAAGAACATCATATAATAACGAGTGTTGGATGTCGAGAAATCAGAATCTTCATTTGTTGCTACTGGAAACATAAAAATGACACAGCCACTTTGGAAAACAGTGTGGCAGTTTGCCAAAAGTTAAACATAGAGTTATCATTTGATTCAAAAATTCCCCTTCTAGGTATATTATATCCTAAAGAAATAAAAACATACATGTCCACAAAAAAGCTTGAATGCTTATGTTCAGGGCATTATTCATAATAGCTAAAAAGTGGGAACAATCCAAATGCCCATCAAGTGATGAGTGCATAAATGTGGTATATTCATAGGATGGAAATTTATTTTGTCATAAAAAAAGAATGAAATACTCATGCTACAACATGCATGAATCTTCAAAACATTATGCAAAGTGAAAGAAGACAGTCACATTTATGATTTCATTTACGTGAAATGTCCAGAAGAGGTAAATCTATAAAGATAGAAAGCAGAATAGTGCTTGCCGAGGGCTAGAGAGATTGGAAAGTGACAGCTACAGGGTACAGTGTTTCTTTGGGAAATGATTAGACTGTTGCAAAATTTATTGTGATGATGGTTGCATACTTCTGTGAATATACTAAAAACCACTGACTTGTACACTTTAAATGAATGAATTTTATGGTATGTAAATTATATTTCAATCAAGCCACTAATGAAAAAAAAAGGTGACATAATGGAAGACAACATCCAGGCAAAAACAAAAATGATTTCAGTGGATGGATTGATCTGGCCTGGAGCAGTGGTCTCATTCAGGGGTGTACCTGTTCCTGAGCACCATGAGATGGCCCCTGGGAGGTCCCAGTGCAGAGGATCCTGACCACACGTGGAGAAAACAGCCTTGCAGGTAGTCTGCTTTCAAGATCGGGGGACTGGACTCAGAGACTAAGAGGCAGGAGAATGTGAGGGAAGGAAGCTGAGCTTTAGCACCAGATGCACCCAGGCCTGATAGCTGGTGTGCATGGCAAGTCAGTTTCTTCTTTTGAGCTCCAGTTCTACTGTCTACACCCCTGTCACTTAAAGCGTGCTCCTGACCAACAAGATCAAGCTGGTAGACATGCAGAATCTTAGGCCACACCCCAGAACTACAGAATCAGAATCTGTATTTTATTGAAGTTTAGCAAGCACTGACTTACACAGTGGAAATAACAATACTTTTTTCAAAAGGACTTTGTGAAGATTCTTAACAGTAATTACTACCATTTACTTGATACTCACTATGTGCTAGATACTAGGATAATCTAGAGGAGGGGCCTAGCTTAGTGCCTGCACATAGTAAGTGCTGTGTCTGAATGTTTGTGTTCCTCCAAAATTCACCTGTTGAAACCTAAACCCCAAGGTGATGGAGGTGGGGCCTTTGGAAGGTAATTAAGTCATAAGATTGAAGCCTTATAAATGGGATTAGTGTCCCTATAAAACAGGCCCCAGAGAGCTGCCCATGCCTATCCACTATGTGAGGTCACAGCAAGCAGGCACCAACTATAAACCAACAAACAGGCACTCACCAGATATCAAGTCCAGCAGTGCCTTGACCTTGGACTTCCCAGCCTCCAGAACTACAAGAAATGAATTTCTGTGATGTTTATTTTTTATTTTTATTTTTTGTAGAGATAGGGGCTTGCTTTGTTGCCCAGGCTGGTCTTGAACTCCTGGCTTCAAGTTATCCTCCCACCTCAGCCTCCCAAAGTGCTGAGATTACAGGAATAAGGTACCATGCCTAGCCTAAACTTGTTATTTATAAGCTATCTAGCCTATGGAATTTTTTTATAGCAGCACAAATGGACTAAGACAATAAATCTTCAATATGTGGCAGCTACTGTTTAAAAGAGCCTGACTCAGGAGGAGGAAGGAGCCTGAATGTTGGAATCTGACACCACCAACCCTCACACTGTCTCTGCCGCTCTGAGACAATGAGAACTTGGGTAAGTTATTTAACCCCTCTGAGCCTTGACTCGCTGATCTGTAAACTGGGCTTACCTCACAGGGTGGTTGTGAAACTTCAGTGAGAAATCGTGTGTTCAGTGGCTGCCCTGCACCTGGCAACACAAAGGAGTCCAGCAGATATCTGGTCATTTTCTCTTCTCCCTACAACCAGACCTAGCAAGACTTTGTTGTGGAAGAGACCCAGACATCTTGAATCATTCTCAATCTTGCACCTAGCCCTACCTCTCTATATTATTCATTCACGTATCTACTGAGAAAATGCTTTCTGAGCATCTACTATGGGCCAAGCACAATGCTATGTGGACAGGCACTGCAGCTGTGGTCCCTGACTCATGAAACCCAACCTGGCCTTGTAGAGAGAATAAAATAGGCCTGTTTACCCACCTGCTTTGAGAGCTGTAAAAACAAAGCACATTGTCTCTCGGCAGCCATCTGAAACAATTAGTCTCAATTCTCAGCCCTAATGTGCTTCCATACTGTGAAAAAGTACTTTTTCAAGGGGGGAAGAAGACATAAATTAGTATAATAATGCAATTAAAATGCATTTTCCTTCCACTTATTTAAATTACTCTTTTTTACATCTTAAGAAAGTGCATCCTTTCTTGGAAGTATTTAAAAAGATTCAAAGAGATTGTTAAGATGAAGCAAGAAATGCCCCAAACACAAAACACAAACACCGTGCCCTGCAAACCAAGGAAAGCCACCCTCCCCGCAATGATGACTGCCCATGTCTACAAAAGACTCTGGACTTTGGGGCTCCACAAAGGCCCTTGGATGGAATTTCCCAGGACCAGGTCACTAGCCCTCTCGGTAAACACTTGTTTGTGTATTTGTTCATTCTCTCAAAATTTTCTTCTGTGCTGGCACTAGGAATCTCTGGGCCTGGCACTAGGAACACTGAGATGGATAGTGATATTGTTTGAATATTTGTGCTTCTCCAAATCTCATGTTGAAATGTAATCCCCGGTATTGGAGGTGGGGTCTAGTGGAGGTGTTTGGGTCATGAGGGCATATCCCTCATGAATGGCTTGGCATCATTCCCTTGGTGATGAGTGAGTTCATGCAAGATCTGGTTGTTTAAAAGTGTATGGCACCTCCTGCTCTCTTGCTCCTACTCTGGCCATGTGAGACACCTGTTCCCCCTTTGCCTTCCACCATGATCACAAGCTTCCTGAGGCCTTCCCAGAAGCAGGTATCAGTGCCACGCTTTCTGTACAGCCTGCAGAACTGTCAGTCAATTAAAACTGCTTTTCTTTATAAATTACCAAGCCTCTTCAATGAAATTCAACATCCATTCCTGTTAAAAACTGTCAATAAATTAGGTATTGAACGAACATACCTCAAAATTATAATAGTCATCTATGACAAACCTACAGCCAACATCATAATAAATGGGCAAATGCTGGAAACACTCCCCTTGAAAACTAGCACAAGACAAGGATGCCCTCTCTCACCAGTCCTATTGAACACGGTATTGGAAGTTCTGGCTAGGGCAATCAGGCAAGAGAAAGAAATAAAGAACATTCAAATAGGAAGAGAGGAAGTCAAACTATCCCTGTTTGCAGATGACATGATCCTATATCTAGAAAACCCCATCATCTCACCCAAAAGCTTCTTAAGCGATAAGCAACTTCAGCAAAGTCTCAGGATACAAAATTAATGTGTAAAAATCGCTAGCATTCCTAAACACCAAAAGACATCAAGCAGAAAGCCAAATCATGAATGAACTCCCATTCACAATTGCCATAAAAAGAATGAAATACCTAGGAATACAGCTAACGATGGAGGTGAAAGAGCTATACAAGAATAACTACAAACCAGTGCTCATAGAAATCAGACATGATACAAACAAATGAAAAAACATATCATGCTCATGGATAGGAAGAATTAACATCATTACAATGGCCATACTGCCCAAAGCAATTTATAGATTCAGTGCTATTCCCATTAAACTACCATTGACATTATTCACAGAACTAGAGAAAACTATTTTAAAATTAATATAGAACCAAAAAAGAACCCAAATAGCCAAGGCAATCCTAAGCAAAAAGAACAAAGCTGGAAGTATCACGCTATCTGATTTCAAACTATACTACAAGGCTACAGTAACCAAAACAACCTGGTACTGGAACAAGAACTAGACCAGTGGAATAGAATAGAGAACCCAGAAATAAACCTGTATACCTACAGCCATCTGATCTTCAACCAACCCGATGAAAGCAAGCAATGGGAAAAGGATTCCCTGTTCAATAAATAGTGCTGGGATAAATGGCTAGCCATATGCAGAAAATTGAAACTGAACCCTTTGCTTATACCATATGCAAAAATTAACTCAAGATGGGTTAAAGACTTAAATGTAAAACCCAAAACTATAAAAACCCTGGAAGGCAACCTAGGCAATATCGTTCAGGACATAGGCACGGGCAAAGATCTTATGATAAAGACGCCAAAAGCAAACACAACGAAAGCAAAAGTTGACAAATGGGATCTAATTAAACTTAAGAGCTCCTGCACAGCAAAAGAAACTATCAACAGAGTAAACAGACAATCTACAGAATGGGAGAAAAATTTTGCAAACTATGCATCTGACAAACATCTAATATCCAGCATCTATAAGGAATTTAAACAAATTTACAAGAAAGAAAAACCACTAAAAAATGGGCAAAGGACATGAACAGACACGTTTCAAAAAAAGACATACATGAGGCCAACAAGCATATGAAAAAATACTTAACATCTCTGATCATTAGAGAAATGCAAATCAAAACCACAATGAGATACCATCTCACGCCAATCAGAATGGCTATTGTTAAAAAGTCAAAAAATAACAGATTCTTGCAAGGTTTTGGAGAAAAAGGAACACTTATACACTGTTCATGGGAGTGTAAATTAGTTCAAACATTGTGGAAGACAGGGTGGCGATTCTTCAAAGACCTAAAGACAGAAATATCATTCGACCCAACAATGCCATTACTGGGTATATACCCAAAGGAATATAAATCATTCTATTATAAAGACACATGCATGTGTATGTTCGTTGCAGGACTATTCACAATAACAAAGACATGTAATCAACCTAAATGCCCATCAATGAGAGACTGGATAAAGAAAATGTGGTACATACACACCATGGAATACTATGCAGCCGTAAAAGAGAATGAGATCATGTCCTTTGCAGGGACATGGATGGAGCTGGAGGCCATTATCCTAAGAAAACTAACACAGGAAGAGAAAACAAAATACCACATGTTCTCACTTATAAGTGGGAGCTAAATGATGAGAAAACTTGGACACGTAGAAGAGAACAACACACACTGGGACCTATCGGAAGGTGGAAGGTGGGAGGAGGGAGAAAATCAGGAAAAATAACTAATGGGTACTAGGCTGAATACATGGGTGATAAAATAATCTGTACAACAAACCCCCATGACACCCACTTACGTATGTAACATGTACCCCTGAACTTAAAAGAAAAGTTAAAAATAAATTAATTAATTAATTAATTACCAAGCCTCAGGCATTTCTTTATAGCAATGCAAAAATGGCCTAACACAGAAAGGACACAGTCCCTGCCCTCAAGGGGAATGTCTAGTAGGAAGGCAGTCAAGCAAAAAAGAGTAGGACCCCAGGACCACCAGTGCTCTAACAGGGACACACACAGAGAAAGGGCCCCACACAGCCTGGCAGGGGGGCAGTGGCAGGGTGGGCTCCTCATAGGTGACCTTTTAGCTGAGTCCCCAAGGATGAAAAAGAATAGCCAGATGGGGGAGTGGATAAGGGGTTGTCCAGGCAGAGGGGCCAGCAGGGACAAAGCAATGGGTGTGTGGGAGAGTGTGGAGAGGAGAGGGGAATTAAGTCACCTGAGAAGATTAGTGGCAGGAAGTGAGACAGGGCTAGGGTGTAGGGACTTTGTCCTGAGGACTTTAAGAAACCGGAATGAGCCCCCAGGGAGCAGAAGTGGAGGGCCTAGTAGCCCAGAAATCACAAAATGAAGCCAGACACCCAACCTGCGAAGGACACAGTGGCAAGTCCCATTCCGTCCTCTGGAAAGCGCCGAGATTGGTATCCTGAATTATTGGTTTTGTGTCGCCACCTGCTGGCAAATTTTAAATTTGGTTCAATCAAATATTCAAAGAGAGAAACTTAAAAAAAAAAAAAAACAGAATAATTGCAGGCAACTTCCTTGAAGTTACAAAAGACCAAGTTAGAGTAAAACTTATTATAAAAAGAATATTATTTGAATTTAATTCAATAACAGGAGAGGAAAGCCTCACCTGAGATTACTGGGTTCAAAACCAAGCTCTACTACTTACCTGGTAAAATCACTTCACTTATCTTACCTTGACGTCCATAAAGTGAGATAATATTTTCTCAACTCACAGTTGTTGAGGGGAATAAAAGACATCAAGTGTGTAAAGAGCCTGGCACGTGGTGGAAATCCAACAGGATTTGGGGTTAGGGTGGTGGAAAACCGGCTTTGCACATGACCTATGGCCACCTCCTGCAACTCCTCCACTTCCTGTACTGGAAAGCTTCACTTAATCCTTTAGGTCTGAGACCTCAGGGAATGACATAGCCCCACACATGAACCACAGGCCAGGACAACTCCCTGCTCCCTTTTCCACTTTCTTACAGACCCCAGGAACTGAGGTGTCCCTTTCTGTGTTTCATGACCTGAACACTTGACCTGGCTGCCGTATGGGCAAAGGTTTTTCCATCATGCCTCTTCCCAAACCTCCTGTGAAGCCTGCTGATACCTGACTAGTTGATAATCCTAGAAAAACAGACAGGGAGCAGCAGAAAAGACAGATGGGGGAATGAATAACTAAGCTGAAGAAATCTTTTGTGTGTGTGTGGGTTCATACTACAGGTATATGTGTGTATGTATGTATCTCATGGGTTACATGAGATATTTTGATATAGGCAAATAATACAGGCATTTATTTTTTGTGTTACAATCTAATTATATTCTTTTAGTTATTTTTACATGTCCAATAAATGATTGTTGACTGTAGTCACCCCGTCGTGCTATTAAATACTATATCTTACTCATTCTAGCTATATTTTTGCACTCATTAACCATCCCCATTACCCTTCCCACTAGCCTTCTCAACCTCTTGTAACCTACCTTTTACTCTCTATTTCCATGAGTTCAATTGCTTTAATTTTTAGCTTCCACAAATAAGTGAGAACATGCAAAGTTTGTCTTTCTTTGCCTGGTTTGTATCACTTAACATAATGACCTTAGTTCCATCCATGTTGTTGCTAATGACAGGATCTTATTCTTTTTTATGGCTGAATAGTACTCCATTGTGTGTATGTACCACTTTTTCTTTAGTCATTCATCTGTTGATAGACACTTAGGATGCCTCCAAATCTTGGCTATTGTGAATAGTGCTGCAACAAAATGAGAATGCAGATATCCCTTTGATACACTGATTTCCTTTCCTTTGGGTATATACCTAGCAGTGGGATTGCTGGATCATATGGTAGCTCTATTTTTAGTTTTCTGAGGAATCTCCAAACTGTTCTCCCTAGTGGCTGCACTAATTTACATTCCCACCATCAGTTTATAAGGGTTCCCTTTTCTCCACATCTTCACCAGCAAGTGTTATTGCCGGTCTTTTGGAAAAAGGCCATTTTAACTGGGGTAAGATGATATCTCATTGTAGTTTTGATTTGCATTTCTCTGATAATTAGCGATGTTGAGCAACTTTACATATACCTCTTTGCCATTTGAATGCCTTGTTTTGAGAAACGTCTATTCATATATTTTGTCTATTTTTAATTTGATTATTATATTTTTTCCTACAGTGTTGTTCGAGCTCCTTATATATTCTGGTTATCAATCCATTGTTAGATGAGTAGTTTGCAAATATTTTCTTCAGTTCTGTGGGTTGCCTCTTCATTTTGTTGATTGTTTGCTGTGCAGAAGCTTTTTAACTTGAAGAGATCTCATTTGTCCATTTGTTGCTTTGGTTGTCTATGATTGTGGATATTACACAAGCAATCTTTGCCCAGTCCAGTGCTAGAGAGTTTCTCTAATGTTTTCTTTCCATGGTGTCATAATTTCAGGTCTTATATTTAAGTCTTTAGTACATTTTGATTTGATTTTTGTATATGGTGAGAGATAGAAGTCTAGTTTCATTCTTATGTATATGGATATCTGGCTTTCCCAGCACCATTTATTGAAGACACCGTCCTTTCCCCCAGTGTACGTTCTTGGCAACTTTGTTGAAAATGAGTCGATTGTAGATGTATGTATTTGTTTCTGGGTTATCTATTCTGTTCCATTGGTCTATGTGTCTATCTTTATGCCAATACCATGCTGTTTTGGTTACTACAGCTCTGTAGTATAATTTGAAGTCAGGTAATACGATTCCTACAGTTTTGTTCTTTTTGCTCAAGCTAGCTTTGGCTATTCTGGGTCTTTTGTGATTCTATATAAATTTTAAGATTATTTTTTCTATTTCGGTGAAGAATGTTACTGGTAGTTTGATCAGGATTGTGATGAATCTGTAGATTGCTTTGGGTAGTGTGGATATTTTAACAATATTGATTCTCCAAATCCATAAACATGGAATATCTTTCCATTTTTTTGTGTCCTCTTTGATTTCTTCAATCAATATTTTACATTTTTCATTGTAGAGATCTTTCACTTCTTTGGTTAATTCCTAGGCATTTTACAGTATTTGTAGGTATTGTGAATGGGATTACTTTCTTAATTTCTTTTTCAGCTTGCTTGGTGTTGACATATAGAACTGCTACTCATTTTTAGATGTAGATTTTGTATCCTGCAACTTTACTGAATTTATCAGTGCTGAGTTTTCTTGTGGAGTCTTTGGGTTTTTCCAAATATAAGATTATATTATCTACAAACAAGGATAATTTGTCTTCTTCCTTTCCAATTTGAATGTTCTTTATTTCTTTCTCTTGTCTAATTGCTCCAGCTAGGACGTCCAGTGCAATGTTGAATAACAGAGGTGAAAGTGAGCGTTCTTGTCTTCCTACAGATCTTAGAAGAAAGTCTTTCAGTTTTTCCCCATTCAGTATGATACTAGTTGTGGGTCTGTTTTATATGACTTTTATTGTGTTGAGATATGTTTCTTCTCTACCCAGATTTTTTAGGATTTTTATCATGAAAGGATGCTGAATATTATCAAATGCTTTTTCAGCATCAATTGAAGTGACTATATGATTTTTGTCCTTCATTCTGTTGATATGATGTGTCACATTGATTGATTTGTGTATGTTGAAGCATCTTTGCATCCCTGGAATAAATTCTACTTGGCCATGATGAGTGACCTTTTTAATGTGTTGTTGGTTTTGGTTTGCTAGTATTTTGCTAAGGATTTTTGCATTAATGTTCATCAGATATATTGGCCTGTAGTTTTCTCTGATGTGTCTTAATCTGGTTTTGGTATCACAGTAATACTGGCCTGGTAGAATGAGTTAGGAAGTATTCCTTCAAAATCTCTGATTTTAATTATTTGGGTTGTCTCTCTTTTTCTTTTAGTTTGCTTCCTCTGACTGTATATTGTCAAATAGGCTATCTCCGAGCTCACTAATTCTTTCTTCTGAAAGATTAAGTCTCTTGTTAAGAGACCCCGATGCATTCTTCCGTATGTCAGTTGCATTTTTCAACTCCAGAATTTCTGCTTGATTCATTTTAATTATTTCAATCTCTTTGATAATTTTATCTGAGAGAACCTTCAATTCCTTCTCTGTGTTATCTTGAATTTCATTGAGTTTCCTCAAAACAGCTATTTTGAATTCTCTGTCTAAAATGTTACATATCTCTGTCTCTGCAGGATTGGTCCCTGGTGCTTCATTTAGTTCATTAGGCGAGGTCATGTTTTCCTGGATGGTCTTGATGCTTGTGGATGTTCATCAGTGTCTGGACATTGAAGAGTTAGGTATTTATTGTAGTCTTCATTGTCTGGACTTGTTTGTACCCATCCTTCTTGTGAAGACTTCCCAGGTATTTGAAGAGACTTGAGTGTTTTAATTGGTTTTTGGTCACTGCAGCCATATCTGCATTAGGGTGCACCCCAAGACCAGTAATGCTGCGCCTCTTGAAGACTCATAGAGGTACTGCCTTGATGATCTTGGATAAGATCCAGAATTCTCTGGATTACCAAACAGGGACTCTTATTCTTTTTCCTTACTTTCTCCCAAACAAATGAAGTCTCTCTCTCTCTGTGCTGGGCTGCCTGGAGCTGGGAGAGGGGTAACACAGGTACCCCTCTGGCTACCACCACTGAGACTGTTCTGGGTCAGACCTGAAGCCCACATATCACTGGGTCTTGCCCAAGGCCTGTGGTAACCACTGCCTTGTTACTGCCTATGTTCATGTTCATTTAAGGCTATAGGGCACAAAAAATCAGCATGTGGCAAAGCCAGCCAAGCTTGTGTCCTTCCCTTAAGGGTGACAAGTTCCCCTGGCCCTAAGCAGGTCCAAAGATGCCATCCAGGATCCAGCATCTGGCATCAGAAACCTTAGGAATTTACCTGGTGCTCTATTCTATTGTAGTTGAGCTGGCACCCAAGCCATAATACAAAGTCCTTCCCATTCTTCCCTCCCCTTTCCATAAGCAGAGGATTCTCTCCGCGTGGCCACCACTGTCCCAGGCACATGAAGAGTACTGCCTGGCTAATGCCAATGTTCACTCAAGGCCTCAAAGGCTCTCCACTCAGCTTGTGGTAAATGCTGCCAGGCTTGGGACACTCTCTTCAAGGCAGTGGGCTTCCCTCTGTTCCAGGACAGGTCTAGAAATGCCATCCAAGAGCCAAGGCCTGGAATCAGGGACCCCCAAAGCCGGCTTATTGCTCTACCCCCACTGTGGCCGAGTTGGTATCTAAGCTGAAAGATAAAGTCCCCTTTACTCTTCCCTTTTCTTTTATGAAGCAGAAGGAGTCTCCCTGTATCCAGTACAGCTAGGAATGAACGGGTCACACCTGAAGCCAGCATATCTCTGAGTGTCACCCAAGGCCCATGGTAAGTAGTGCCTGGCTACCACTGCTGATTATTCAGGGCCCAAGGGCTCTTTAATCTGTAGGTGATGAATCCTGCCAGGACTGAGTCCTTCCCTTTAAGACAGTAGGTTCCATTCTGGCCCAGAGTGTGTCTAGAAATGTCACCTGGGAGCTAGGGCCTGGAATGGGATCCTCAGAACTGCCTAGTGCCCATGTTACTATGGCTGAATTGGTATCCAAGTTGCAAGACAAAGTCCTCTTTACTCTTCCCTCTCCTCTCCCAAAGCAGAAGGAAGGAGTTCTTCCTGGAGCTACAAGCTACACCGCCTGGGGTTGGGAGGAGGGGTGACACAAGCACTCCCTTGGCTGCCTCAGCTGGTGTATCATTAGGTTATGTGCTCTCCAAGTCCAGTGGTTCTGAGCCTAGCACAGTGTCAGGAGTTGCCCAGGAATGGTGGTCCCCATGACCTAGACTGCCTTTCAGGTTCATTTAGGACTCAAGGTATTTTAGCCCACAGTGGCTAGGCCTGCCAGAACTCAGATTCCAACCACTGGGATGGGCAATTCCCCTTTCTCTAGGGTTTATCTAAATACTCTCTCCATCGGCACTGGCTGAGTTCTCCCATTGCTTTCTGCAACAGGGCAGCACTGAGTTCCAATGCAAAGTCTCACAATCACTGGACTCTCCCTCCCCCAAGCACATAGATTATCTCTCCATGCTGCAAAGCCATTGCTGGGGGAAGAGGGAAGGGTGCTGTAGGTGATTTAAGACTGTATTTTCTACCCTTTTCAGTACCTTTTCCTTAATGTGATGTCAAAACCAGGTACTGTGATCACTTATCTGATTTTTGGTTCTTATGAAGGTGATTTTTTGTGTGTATAGTTGTTCATTTGGTATTTTTGCAGGAGGACAAAGGGTAGAGGCTTCTACTCAGGCATCTTGCTTGTGATTGAATAAATCTTTAATATTTTATCGAGGTGTTAATAAAAGACTATCTTCACTTCACTGAACCCCAATTTCCCCCTCCATGAAAAGGGAACAACATATGGCTCATGAGACAAGTCATGTGAAGTTGCCTGGCACAGTCCTAGCATGCAAAAGACCTGCATATATGGAAGTTACTACAGGAATTATGATAGATAACCTACCTTATTGCAAAACAGCTTCAAGCATTGGATTAGGGGAGGGGGGCATTATATACCATTTTGGTCTCTTCCAGCCTAAGACTCGGTTCCATTATTTTAAGTCATCTTGAAGATTTGGGAGTGGAGCACAAGACAGGTAAGGCTTTATATTGACAAGAAAAGAGTCAAATGTGGGTGGCCTTGCTAGGAGGGCCCATATAGAGATCTATAGCACTGGGGCCTCTGGAGAAAGAGGGGGAAGGGAAGAGAATCCTGAAAGGAGATGTAGAATGAAAGATGCTCCTATCAATCAACATCATTTCACTGAAACACACCAGCCACAGCCTCAATAATGGTACAACTACCATCTGCCTTCCTTATGTTTATCCCCGTGCTAAACACACTCTGCTTAATAAACCATTCTAATTTAATGTTCTCAACCACCTCATGAGTAATTACTATTACTCCCATTTTACAGATGAGAAACTGGGTTTAGAGAGGTGAAGTTGCTGGTCACCCTGCCTAGTAAGATATGGAGTCAGGATTTCAACCCCACCTACCTCCAGAGCCTGTATACTATCTACCATTTCACTGTGCTACAAAATTCCATTTATTCTTTCTTCAAAATGCCCCGAGGAGTTGTCTTTCCTCTGCACCTTCCGATGTTCTGAGCTCATCATGTAACAGTTGTATTTCAGCCTCCTGACTTATGATCCCGCCCCATAAATCCATACCACACCACCACACTGCTTTCTGCCTGCCACTGCCACTGCAGACTCCAGGTCAGCACTGTCGAATAGAACTTTCTGCAATTATGGAAATGTCCTAAATCTGTTCTGTCCAATATGCTAGCCACTAGCCACAAGAGGCTACTGAGCACTTGAAATGTGGCTATCGTGACTGAGTAACTGAATTTTTAATCCCATTCCTTTTAACTAATTTAAATTGAAATAGACACATGTAGAAAGTGGCTGCCATATTGGATAGTGTGGATGATGATAGACTACTGTAAACTTAACTACGGGGCAACCACATTTGTAGCTGCTGTGCCAGAGATGATATCTTTATTAGAACAAATGAACATAGCCTCTGGTACTTCAAATGCAACAATTGATCTATCCCCAGTAACAAAAATAATTAAATAACTTTACATTCACCTGGAGTGGATAGCAGTGCATATTCATAATCTTGCCCTTGGGCTAAAGAAATGTTCCTTCTATGTTACAATATTTGGAAGGAATCTTGACTTTCCAAATGTCAGGAATCCTGATACTCAAAGGTTAGTCCATAACGTTGATGACATCACATTAATTAGACGTAGAGACTAGGAAGTAGCAAGTACTTTGGACATGTTGGAAAGATGTATTCTTACCAGAGAGTGGGAAATAAACTCTAACAAATGTTCAGAGAACTGCCATGTTGGTTCTTAGGAACTGTCATCCAAGTTTCTAGGAGTCCATGGTCTGGGGTATGCCAAGATAATTTCTCCAGAGTAAAGAACAAATTATTGTACCTTGTGCCACCTACCACTAACAAGAAATACAATGCTTGCTTCAGGTTTGGGAGAGGGCATATACTGCACTAGAAAATACTTCTCTGACCCACTTCCAGATAACAAGGAAGGCCAAGAGAGAGCTTTGCAGCACATTTCAGGCTGCAGTAGGAGGCCCTACTGTTTGGGCCATATGGTTTGGCAGATCCAATGATGTTAGAGGCAAATGTGGTCATTAAGGACACTCTATTGTGTCTCTGGTAATCCCTTATAGGAGAGTTGCAGCCCAGACCCCTAAGGTTCTGAAGCAAGGCCAGGTTGCCTACAGCAGAGAACTATTTGCCACTTAAAAAAGCAGCTCTGGCACACTACTGGACCCTAGAAGAAACTGAGCATGACCATTGAATATCATAAGCTGGTATAATTCTCAGACCCACCAAATCATAAGTTCAGGCAGGCATAGTTGCAATCTGTTATGCAATAAAAATGGTACATTTGGGATCAGCCTCAAGCAAGTAGGAGAAAAGTTAAATTGTATGAACAGGTGGCCCAGACTCGTAGGTACTCTGCCTCTCTAGCACTGATGTCTCACCATCAGCTCATACTGAGAGGTGAAGCTGGCTGGGCTTCTGGGTCAGGTAGGGACTTGGAGAATTTTTCTGTCTAGCTAAAGGATTGTAAATGCACCAATCAGTGCTCTGTGTCTAGCTAAATGTTTGTAAACACACCAATCAGCACTCTGTGTCTAGCTAATCGGGTGGGGACTTGGAGAACTTTTCTGTCTAGCTAAAGGATTGTAAATGCACCAATCAGCACTCTGTGTCTAGCTGAAGGTTTGTAATCACACCAATCAGCACTCTGTAAAAATGCACCAATCAGTGCTCTGTGTCTAGCTAAATGTTTGTAAATGCACCAATCAGCACTCTATAAAAACAGACCAATCAGCACTCTGTAAAATGGGCCAATCAGCAACCTGTAAAATAGACCAATCAGCAGGATGAGGGCGGGGCCAAATAAGGGAATAAAAGCTGGCCACCCGAGCCAGCTGTGGCAGCCTGCTCAGGTCCCCTTCCACGCTGTGGATGCTTTGTTCTTTCACTCAATAAATCTTGCTGCTGCTCACTCTTTGGGTCCGCACTACCTTTATGAGCTGTAACACTCGCCACCGAGGTCTGCAGCTTCACTCCTGAAGCCAGCGAGACCATGAACCCACTGGGAGGAACAAACAACTCCAGACGTGCCACCTTTAAGAGCTGTAATGCTCACTGGGAAGGTCTGTGGCTTCACTCCTGAAGTCAGTGAGACCACGAACCCACCGGAAGGAAGAAACTCCAGACACATCTGAACATCTGAAGGAACAAACTCTGGACACACCATCTTTAAGAACTGTAACACTCACCACGAGGGTCCGCTGCTTCATTCTTAAAGTCAGCAAGACCAGGAACCCACTGGAAGGAACCAATTCTGGACACATTTTGTTGACCACGAAGGGACTATCGCCTATCACCAAGTGGTGAGTACCATCAGACCCCTTTCACTTGCTATTCTATCCTATTTTTCCTTCAAATTCAGGGGCTAAATACCAGGCACCTGTCGGCCAGTTAAAAGTGATTAGCACGACCACCAGACTAAAGACATGGGTGTCAGGCTTTCTGGGAAAGGGTTCTCTAACAACCCCCGACTCTTTGGAGTTGAGAGCATTGGTTTGCCTAGAACCAGCTTCCACTTTTCCTGTACTTCTGGGCTGAGCCAAGGGTTGACAGAGAGGAAAGCCATTCAGCTCTGGGGTCCCAACAACAAGTTGGTTGACCCTGCGGCCATGAGCGGAACTCTTAAAGTCATGTCACCCAAGCGAGACTAACCCATCTATCCTATCTATCCTGACCCTTGCCTCCTGGGTCCTAATGCCCATCAGACAAACTTCCTCTCACCTCTCTTCTCTGAGGCTAGTCCTGCTTCTAAAAACCACTCCCTATCTCTGGTGCTTTTCTAGTTTCTCCTGTAAGAATGATTTCTAGTATAAACTTCAGGACTCTGTTACCTTCTTTAGGCACCTGGGCTTACCAATCAGAAAGACATAATTTTTGTCCAAAGCCCCGTCAGGGCAGGGGACTATCTTATCTGGAATTTTAGGATCCCTCCTCAGACTAGCAGGTCTAACAAAAGCTATTCCAGAAGCTAGGATATGGGAAGCTTCAGAAATGATATCCTTCCTATTCATGTAAGTGAGGACAAAAAGGCATCACTCTTCCAACTCTAGAGATTCCTCCCCTCCCTCAGGGTATGGCCCTCCACTTCATTTTGGGGGCATAACATCTTTATAGGATGGGGTAAAGTCCCAGTACTAACAGGAGAATGCTTAGGACTCTAACAGGTTTTCGAGAATGCATCAGTAAGGGCCTCTAAATCTGATTTTCCTTGGTCCTCTTTGTGGTCTAGGAGGACAGGCAAGGGTGCAGGTTTTTGAGAATGCATGAGTAAGGGCTACTAAATCTGACATTCCTCAGTCCTTCTTGTGTTCTAGGAGGAAAACTAGTGTTTCTGCTGCTGCATCAGTGAGTGCAACTATTCCAATCAGCAAGGTCCAGGGACTGTTGCGGGTTCTTGGGCAGGGGGAGAAATAAACAAAGCAAAACCAAGGGTGGTTTTGTCTTTCAGATGGGAAACACTCAGGCATCAACAGGCTCACCCTTGAAATGCATCCTAAGCCATTGGGACCAATTTGACCCACAAACCCTGAAAAAGAGACAGCTCATTTTTTTCTGCACTACAGCTTGGCCCCAGTATGCTCTCTCTTATGGGGAAAAATGGCCACCTGAGGGAAGTATAAATTACAGTACTATCCTGCAGCTTGACCTTTTCTGTAAGAGGGAAAGCAAATGGAGTGAAATATCTTATGCCCAAGCTTTCTTTTCATTGAAGGAGAATCCACAACTATGCAAAGCTTGCAATTTACAACCCACAGGAAGACCTCTCAGCTTACCTCCATATCCTAGCCTCCCTATAGTTCCCCTTCCTATTAATGATAAGCCTCCTCTAATCTCCCCTGCCCAGAAGGAAACAAGCAAAGAAATCTCCAAAGGACCACAAAAACCCCCAGGCTATCAGTTATGTCCCCTTCAAGCTGTAGGGGGAGGGGAATTTGGCCCAACCTGGGTACATGTCCCTTTCCCCCTCTCTGATTTAAAGCAGATCAAGGTAGGTCTAGGGAAGTTTTCAGATGATCCTGATAGGTGCATAGATGTCCTACAGGGTCTAGGGCAAACCTTCTATCTCACTTGGAGAGATGTCATGCTATTGCTACATCAAACTCTGGCCTTTAATGCAAAGAATGCAGCTTTAGCTGCAGTCTGAGAGTTTGGAGATACCTGGTATCATAGTCAAGTAAATGATAGGATAACAGCTGAAGAAAGGGACAAATTCCCTACCAGTCAGCAAGCCATCCCCAGTGTGGATCCCTACTGGGAACTCAACTCAGATCATGGGGACTGGAGTCATAAACATCTGCTGACTTGTGTTCTAGAAGGATTAAGGAGAATTAGGAAAAAACCCACGAATTATTTAATGATATCCACCATTACTCAGGGAAAGGAAGAAAATCCTTCTGCCTTCCTTGAGTGGCTATGGGAGGCCTTAAGAAAATATACTCCCTTATCATCTGACTCACTTGAGGGTCAATTGATCCTAAAAGATAAGTTTATTACCCAATCAGCTGTGGATATCAGGAGAAAGCTCCAAAAGCAACCCCTGGGCCCTGAACAAAATCTGTAGGCATTATTAAACCTGGCAACCTCGGTGTTCTATTATAGGGACCAAGAGGAACAGGCCCAAAAGGAAAAGTGAGATCAGAGAAAGGCCACAGCCTTAGTCATGGTCCTCAGACAAACAAACTTTGGTGGTTCAGAGAGGACAGAAAATGGAGCAGGCCAATCACCTGGTAGGGCTTGTTATCAGTGTGGTTTGCAAGGACACCTTAAAAAATATTGTCCTATGAGAAACAAGCTGCCCCCTCGCCCATGTCCACTATGCCAAGGCAATCATTGGAAGGCACACTGCCCCAGAGGACAAAGGACAGAAGCCCCCAACCAGATGATCCAACAACAGGACTGAGGGTGCCTGGGGCAAGCGCCAGCTCATGTCATCACTCTCACTGAGCCCCAGGTATGTATAACCATAAAGGGCCAGGAAATTGACTTCCTCCTGGACACTGGCACAGCTTTCTCAGTGTTAATCTCCTGTCCTGGACAGCTGTCCTCAAGGTCCGTTACCATCAGAGGAATCCCGGAACAGCCTGTAACCAGGTAGTTCTCCCACCTCCTCAGTTGTAATTGGGAGAATTTGCTCTTTTCACATGCCTTTCTTGTTATGCCTGAAAGTCCCACACCCTTATTAGGGAGGGATATATTAGCCAAAGCTGGAGCTATTATCTACATGAATATGGGGAACAAGTTACCCATTTGTTGTCCCCTGCTTGAGGAGGCAATCAACCCTGAAGGCTGGGCATTGGAAGGAACAAACTCAAGCTCCAGTCTTAAGCCTTCCCACAGGAAAAAACTTTTCTTTATACATCACAGAGAGAGCAGGAATAGCTCTTGGGGTCCTTACTCAGACTCGTGGGACAATCCCACAACTAGTGGCATACGTAAGTATGTAGATAAGGAAATTGAAGTAGTAGCAAAGGGCTGGCCTCACTGTTTATGGGTAGTTGTGGTAGTGGCTCTCTTAGTGTCAGAGGCTATCAAAATAATACAAGGAAAGGATCTCACTATCTGGACTACTCATGATGTAAATGGCATACTAGGTGCCAAAGGAAGTTTATGGCTATCAGACAACTGCCTGCTTAGATACCAGGCACTACTCCTTGAGGGACCAGTGCTCAAGTGCATACATGTGTGGCCCTCAGCCCTGCCGCTTTTCTCCCAGAGGAAGGGGAGCCGGTCGAGCATGGCTGCCAACAGGTTGTAGTCCAGACTTATGCAGCCCAAGATGATCTCTTAGAAGTCCCCTTAGCTAATCCTGACCTTAACTTATATACCGATGGAAGTTCATTTGTGGAAAATGGGATACGAAGGGCAGGTTATGCCATAGTTAGTGATGTAACCATACTTGAAAGTAAGCCTCTTCCCCCAGGGACCAGCACCCAGTTAGGAGAACTAGTGGCACTTACCTGAGCCTTAGAACTGGGAAAGGGAAAAAGAATAAATGTGTAGACAGATAGCAAGTATGATTATCTAATCCTACATGCCCATGCTGCAGTATGGAAAGAAAGGGAGTTCCTAACCTCTGGGGGAACCCCCATTAAATACCACAAGGAAACCATGGAGTTATTGCACACACTGCAAAAACCCAAGGAGGTGGCAGTCTTACACTGCCAACCCATCAAAAGGAGAAGGAGAGGGGAGAACAGCAGCATAAGAGGCTGGCAGAGGCAGGGAAAAACCAGCAGAAAGGAGTCAAAGAGAGAGAAAGAGACAGAAAATCAGAGAGAGAGACAGAGAGGAAGAGAGAGATAGAGAGAGGAAGAGACAGACAAAAAGTCAAAGAGAGAAGGAAAGAGAGGAAGAGACAAAGGATCAAAGATAGAGATAGAAGTAGTAAAGAAAAAACAGTGTACCCTATTCCTTTAAAAGCCAGGGTAAATTTAAAACCTATAATTGATAATTGAAGGTCTTCTCTGTAACCTTATAACACTCCAATACCACCTTGTTGTCAGTGTAAACAAAGGCATAGCCCGAAAGCACTGAGGCCACTGTCAACCCGTAGCCTTCCTATCAAAAATCCTTAACCCAGCAGGTTTCCTAACATGGGATCTAAATCTGAAGGTCCGACCAGACATAGGAGGAACTCCCTTCAGGACAGGACAATAGATGGTTCCTCCCAGGTGATTAAGGAAAAAGACACAATGGGTATTCAGTAAGTGATAAGGAAACTCTTATAGAAGCAGAGTTAGGAAAATTGTCTAATAAATTGTCTGCTCAAATGTGTCAGCTGTTTGCACTCAGCCAAATCTTAAAGTACTTACGGAATCAGGAAGAAGCCATCTATACCAATTCTAAGTTAATATGGACTGAACAAGGTCTTATTAATAGCAAAGAATAATTGAAATCCCAAACTTACAAGGTTTTCAACAAAAGTAAAGTTTGCTAAAAGTTAACAGTGTAAACATATATTATCCTAACTTCTAATCTTGCGGAAATCAGACCCTATCAGTACCCCTCAAAGCTCAAGTCTGTCAGCACAGAGCCATACAACTAATACCCCTACTTATAGCGTTAGGAATGGCTACTGCTGCAGGAACTGGAATAGCCAGTTTATTCCTTCATTATCCTACTACTACACACTCTCAAAGGATTTCTCAGACAGTTTGCAAGAAATAACGAAATCTATCCTTACCCTACAATCCCAAATAGACTCTTTGGCAGCAGTGACGCTCCAAAACTGCCAAAGCCTAGACTTCCTCATTGCTGAGAAAGGAGGACTTTTGCGCCTTCTTAGGGGAAAAGTGTTTTTACACTAACTAGTCAGGGATAGTACAAGATGCCACCCAGAGTTTACAGGAAAAGGCTTCTAAAATCAGACAACGCCTTTCAAATTCTTATACCAACCTCTGGAGTTGGGCAACATGGCTTCTCCCCTTTCTAGGTCCTGTGGCAGCCATCTTGCTATTTCTTGCCTTTGGACCCTGTATTTTTAATCTCCTTGTCAAATTTGTTTCCTCTAGAATTGAGGCCATCAAGCTACAGATGGTCTTACAAATGGAACCCCAAATGAGCTCAACTAACAACTTCTACTGAGGACCCCAGACCAACCTGCTGGCCCTTTCACTGGCCTAAAGAGTTCCCCTCTGGAGGACACTACAACTGCAGGGCCCCTTCTTTGCCCCTATCCAGCAGGAAATAGCTAGAGCGGTCATCGGCCAATTCCCAACAACACTTGTGGTGTCCTGTTTAGAAGGAGGATTGAGAAGTGAAGCCAGCTGGACTTCTGGGTTGGGTGGGGACTTGGAGAACTTTTCTGCCTAGCTAAAGGATTGTAAATGCACCAATAAGCGCTCTGTGTCTAGCCAAAGGTTTGTAAATGCACCAATCAGCACTCTGTAAAAATGCACCAATTAGCACTCTGTGTCTAACTAAAGGTTTGTAAACGCACCAATCAGCACTCTGTAAAAACGGACCAATCAGCACTCTGTAAAATGGGGCAATCAGCACCCTGTAAAACGGACCAATCAGGAGGATGAGGGCGGGGCCAAATAAGGGAATAAAAGCTGGCCACCCGAGCCAGTGGCGGCAACCTTCTCAGGTCCCCTTCCACGCTGTGGAAGCTTTTTTCTTTCACTCTTCACAATAAATCTTGCTGCTGCTCACTCTTTGGGTCCACACTACCTTTATGAGCTGTAACACTCACTGCAAAGGTCTGCAGCTTCACTCCTGAAGCCAGTGAGACCACAAACCCACCGGGAGGAACAAACAACTCTGGACGCACCACCTTTAAGAGCTGTAATGCTCACTGTGAAGGTCTGTGGCTTCACTCCTGAAGTCAGCGAGACCACGAGCCCACCAGAAGGAAGAAACTCCTCCAGACACATCTGAACATCTGAAAACACAAACTCCGGACACACCATCTTTAAGAACTGCAACACTCACTGCGAGGGTCCATGGCTTCATTCTTGAAGTCAGCGAGACCAAGAACCCCTCGGAGAGAACCAATTCCAGACATAATACCTATGGCCCCTTGGGGATTTCTCCACAGACAGTTGACAGAATAGAAAAGGAGCAGGAAAAGGGCTTTATAAGGATTAGGCTAGCATGATATGCTGGCGTGAGCTAAAAATATGGACTGTTGCTGCACTAAAGACACACCCAAAATAACTCTGGGTGCCAATTCAAGTCCAGTGGTCATCTGCTTTGTGTCTGGAGAGAAGCGGCCAAAAGTAAGAATATACACAGACTTCTAGGTGGTGGAGAATGGCTTGGTTGCTTGGTCAAGGGCCTCAAGGGAACAACACTAGAGGATTGAAACCAAGCATGTCTGAGGAAGAGGCATGTGGCTGGAGCTATAAGAATGGGCACATAATGTGTTGATCTTTGTGTCTCACACTAGAGCCCACCAGAGAGCACGTGTGGCAGAAGAAGCACTGAATAAGCATATGGACAGGATGACTGGTCTAATGAATGCCTGTCAGCCCCTGTCCTCAGCCATCTCAATCCTTACAAAGGGCCCATAAATGAATGGATTAGTCGTGATGGCCTGAAATGATGGGCTCTCTCTCTCCAAGGCTGATCTAGCTACCACCACTACTGAATGCCTGACCATTAGCAACAGACACCAATGCTGAGTGCTTGATATGGTACAATCCCTTGAGGACATAAAGCAGCCACTCAGTGGCAAGCTTATTACCCAAGGTCTCTTCCACCCTGGAGGACACAACAATTCATCCTTACTAGAAATGAGAATGTCAACTTATAAACATAGAAGAAATGAAGGTATAAGAAAATCATTATTTTGAAACCATCATAATGATGGTTCATGCAGACAAAAATCAATAATGAATATGCATTTGTAAAAGTTTGATGAGGAGAAGGATATGTCCACCATTTCAAAGTACCTCCCCCAAATTACTTATTTATTACAGAAAGTAAAATAGTAACTTTACTATGTAGAAAACTACTGGACACCATCTTAACCAAGTGATCAAAGTTACAATCCCAAATCATCATCAGTTGACTCCTACCATTATGCACTGAGAAGCAAACAATATCACTTATGTAGTACTTTTACCAAAAAAAAAAAAAAAAAAAAATGCATAGGCCAAATCTGACCAGGGGAAACACGAGACAAATTCAAGATGAGCAACTTCTACAAAATAACTATCTGTAGTCTCTAAGATATAAACGTTGTGAAAGACCAAGGAAACCCTGAGGAACTATTCCAGATTGAAGGAAATCTAAGGGCTAAGAGTGATGATAACTAAAAGCAACATTCTTCTTGGACCAGAAGAAACAATGCTATGAAAAGCATTATTGAACAACTAGCAAAAGTGGAATGTGGACTATATGTCAAATTGTTTAATGCTTAAACATCGAGTTTCTTTAATTCATTAATTATACTGTGGTCATATAAAAGAGTTATCTTGTTGTTAGGAAATAAATACTGAATTACTAAGGTTTGAAGGAGCATAATGTCTCTAACTTATTCTCAAATGATTCAGGGGGAAAAGAAATAAATATACATGTGCGTGTGTCAAATATATATATTTCACGTGAAATATATATACATTTATATTACATATATTTTCATATATATGATATAAAGATGAATGATAAAGCAAATATAGCAAAATATTAACAATGGGTGAATCTGGTTAAAAGATATACATGAATTATTTAGTATGATTCTTATAATTTTTCTGTAAGTTTGAAATTACTTCAATATAAAAATGTAAATAAGCTTTAAGAATAAAGGATAAGAAAATATATTGTAGAGCCAGGTGCAGTGGCTTATGCCTGTAATCCCAGCACTTTGGGAGGCCAAGGCAGGAAGATTACTTGAGGTCAGGAGTTGGAAACCAGCCTGGCTAACATGGCGAAACCCCTTCTCTACTAAAAATACAAAAATTAGCCAGGCTTGGTGGCAGACACCTGTAATCCCAGCTACTCAGGAGGCTGAGGCAGGAGAATCCCTTGAACCTGTGAGGCAGAGGTTGCAGTGAGCCGAGATCATGCCATTGCACTCCCAGCCTGGCCACAGAGCGAGCATCCGTCTAAAAAAAAAAATTATAAGTGAACTCCCATTCACAATTGCTACAAAGAGGAAAAAAATGCCTAGGAATACAACTTACAAGGGATGTGAAGGACCTCTTCAAGGAGAACTACAAACCACTGCTCAAGGAAATAAGAGAGGATACAAAAAATTGGAAAAAAAATTCCATGCTCATGGATAGGAAAAATTGATATCGTGAAAATGGCCATACTACCCAAAGTAATTTACAGATTCAATGCTATCCCCATCAAGCTACCATTGATTTTCTTCACAGAATAAAACACTACTTTAAATTTCATATTGAACCAAAAAAGAACCCACATAGCCATGACAATCCTAAGCAAAAATAACAAAGCCTGAGGCCTCACACTACCTGATACAAGGCTCAGTAGCCAAAACAGCATGGTACTGGTACCAAAACAGATATATAGATCAATGGAACAGAACAGAGGCCTCAGAAATAATGCCACACATCTACAACCATCTGATCTTTGACAAACCTAACAAAAACAAGCAATGGGGAAAGGAGTCACTATTTAATAAATGGTGTTGGGAAAACTGGCTAGCCATATGCAGAAAGCTGAAACTGGATCCCTTCCTTACACCTTATACAAAAATTAACTCAAGATAGATTAAAGACTTAAATGTAAGACCTAAAACCATAAAAACTCTAGAAGAAAACCTAGACAATACCATTCAGGACATAGGCATGGGCAAGGTCTTAATGTCTAAAACACCAAAAGCAATGGCAACAAAAGCCAAAATTGGCAAATGGGATCTAATTAAACTAAAGAGCTTCTGCAGAGCAAAAGAAACTATCATCAGAATAAACAGGCAACTTACAGAATGGGAGAAAAATTTTGCAATCTATCCATTTGACAAAGGACTAATATCCAGAATCTACAAGGAACTTAAACAAATTTACAAGAAAAAATGAACAACCCCATCAAAAAGTGGGCAAAGGATATGAACAGACACTTCTCAAAAGAAGACATTTATGCAGCCAACAAACATATGAAGAAAAGCTCATTATCACTAGTCACTACAGAAATGCAAATCAAAACCACAATGAGATATCATCTCACACCAATTAGAATGGCGATCATTAAAAAGTCAGGAAACAACAGATGCTGGAGAGAATGTGGAGAAATAGGAACACTTTTACACTGTTGGTGGGACTGTAAATTAGTTCAACCATTGTGGAAGACAGTGTGGTGATTCCTCAAGGATCTAGAACTAGAAATACCATTTCACCCAGCAATCCCATTACTGGGTATATACTCAAAGGATTATAAATCATTCTACTATAAAGACAGATGCATACATATGTTTAATTGCAGCACTATTTATAATAGCAAAGACTTGGAGCCAACCCAAATGCCCATCAATGACAGACTGGATAAAGAAAATGTGGCACATACACACCATAGAATACTATGCACCCATGAAAAAGGATGAGTTTACATCGTTTGCAGGAACATGGATGAAGCTGGAGACCATCATTCTCAGCAAACTAACACAAGAACAGGAAATCAAACACATGTTCTCATTCATAAGTGGGAGTTGAACAATAAGAACACATGGGCACAGGGAGGGGAACATCACACACGGGGCCTGTCCAGGAGTGGGGGGCTAGGGGAGGGATAGCATTAGAGAAATACCTAATGTAGATAACGGGTTGATGGGTGCAGCAAACCGCCATGGCACGTGTATACCTATGTAACAAACCCGCACATTCTGCACATGTACCCCAGAACTTAAAGTATAATTAAAAAACACAAAGCTTATAGGATAAAAATATAAAGAAAAAAAATTAGCCGGGTGTGGTGGTGCATGCCTGTAGCCCCGGCTCCTTGGGAGGCTGAGGCAGAGAATTGCTTGAACACAGGGGATGGAGGTGGTAGTGAGCTGAGATTGCGCCACTGCACTCCAGCATGGGCAACAGAGTGAGACTCTGTCAAAAAGAAAGAAAGAAAGAAAGAAAGAAAGAAAGAAAGAAAGAAAGAAAGAAAGAAAGAAAGAAAGAAAGAAAGAAAGAAAGAGAAAGAGAGAGAGAGAGAAGGAAGGAAGGAAGGAAGGAAGGAAGGAAGGAAGGAAGGAAGGAAGGAAGGAAGGAAGAAAGGAAGGAAGGAAAAAGAGGGAGGGAGAGGGAGAGAAAGAAGAAGGGAAGGGAATATTGTGAACAATATTGTATCAGTAAATTTTAAAACATAAAAAATAGATATTCCCAGAAAAATCTAACTTGATAAAACTGCAATCACCTGATGGGTTCTTCTTGCATGCTGCACGGACAGGGCTAATTCATTGAAACAGTCATATCGCAGGAGTTTAATAATCACAGGGCTAGCCAAGAGGAAGAACAGGAGCTTATCACTCAAATCAGCCCTTCTTGAAAGTTCAGAGGCTAGGGTTTTCCAAGGATAGTTTGGCAGGCAGGGGGCTAGGAAATGGGGAATATGATTGGTTGGGTTAAAGCTCTTCTTGCACTGAGTCAGTTCCTGAGTGGGACCACAAGACCAGATGAGCCGGTTTATTGGTATACATTATCAGTCCACATAGCACATCAGCTGGTCCATCAGAATGCAGGGTCTAGAAAACACCAATCTTAGATTTTGACAATAATGATGTTATCTATAGAAGCAATTGAGGAAGTTACAAATCTTATGAACTCGAGAGCAGTAAATGAGTATAGAAAGGCAGGCTAGGGAATAAGGGCTTGTTATCATTTAACTACACTCATATTTTAGCAGATTCAGACCCCTCCCATAATCTTAATCTTGTGGCTTTTCACTGTTCTTACAAAGATGGTTTTGGTCCCTGAGCAAGGAGGGAGTTAGTTTCATTAAGGGACTGTTATCATCTTTATTTTAGAGTTAACAAAGGCAGTTAGCTTGTGAGGTTAGAAGCACAAAGGAGTCAGCTATATCAGATTTCTCACTGTCATAATTTTTACAAAGGTGGTTTCAAAATTACTCAGCAAAAAAACTTAAATAGATTTATAGTCATTAAAGAAATTGTGTTAAAAAGTTTAAAACATTTTAAAATCCTTTCCAAAAATTAAACATCAGGCTAAACAAGACAGATATGCAAGTGAGTTCTACCAAACTTTTAAGAAACAGATACTTCAAACTACCCACCTTTATTCTTTCAAGCTATCATAACCTTGATATCAAGCCATGAAAGGATAAAATAAGAAAAATTGCAGGCCAATCTCACTCATTAACATAGACACAAAAATCATAAAATATTGGCAAACTGAATCCAACAATCTGTGAAAAATATAATGTATTCATTACCAAGTCGAGTTTATCCTAGGAATTCAAAGTATGTTTACTGTAAAAAAATCCATTAATATAATTAATTTAACATATTAAAGAAAAAATATAATGCATATTTTCCTACATTTTTAAAAATAAAAGAACAATTTCTATATAACAAAGAATCCTGGCCAGGTGCAGTGGCTCTGATTTGGTTTGATTGTGTCCCCACCCAAATCTCATCTTGAATTCCCACGTGTTATAGGAGGGACCATGTGGGAAGTCGTTGAATAATGGGGCAGGTCTTTCCTGTGCTGTTCTCATGATAGTGAATAAGTCTCATGAGATCCGATGGTTTTTTTGTTTGTTTTTTTGTTTGTTTTGTTTCTTTGAGATGGAGTCTCACTCTGTTGTGCAGGCTGGAATGCAGTGGCACAATCTCGGCTCACTGCAGCCTCCACCTCCTGGGTTCAAGTGATTCTCTAGCCTCAGCCTCCCAAGTAGCTGGGATTATAGGTGTGTGCCACCATATCTTGCTAATTTTTGTATTTTTAGTAGAGATGGGGTTTCTCCATATTGGCCAGGCTGATCTTGAACTCCTGACCTCAGGTGATCCACCAACCTCTGCCTCCAAAAGTGCTGGGATTACCAGTGTGAGCCACTGTGCCTGGCCAGATCTGATGGTTTTAAAAAGGGGAGTTACCCTGTACAAGCTCTCTTCTCTTGTCTGCCACCATGTGAGACATGCCTTTCACCTTCCAACATAATTGTGAGGCCTCCCCAGCCATGGGGAACTGTAAGTCCAATAAACCTCTTTCTTTTGTAAATTGCTCAGTCTCAGGTATGTCTTTATCAGTAGTGTGAGAACAGACTAATACAGTAAGGTGGTACCAGTAGAGTGGGGTGCTGCTGAAAAGATACTCAAAAATGTGGAAGCAACTTTGGAATTGGGTAACAGGCAGAGGCTGGAACAGTTTGGAGGGCTCAGAAGCAGACAAAAAAATGTGGGAAAGTTTGGAACTTCCTAGGGGCTTGCTGAATGGCTTTGCCCAAAATGCTGATAGTGATATAAACAATAAAATCCAGGCTGAGATGGTCTCAGATGAAGATGAGAAACTTGTTGAGAACTAAAGCAAGGGTGACTCTTGTTATGTTTTAGCAAAGAGACTGGTGGCATTTCACCCCTGCTCTAGAGATTTGTGGAACTTTGAACTTGAGAGAGATGATTTAGGGTATGCAATAGAAAAGAAAATCCTATTTTCTGAGGAGAAATTGAAACCAGTTGCAGAAATTTGCATAAGTAACAAGGAGCCCAATGTTAATCCCCTGGACAATAGGGAAAATGTCTCCAGGGCATGTCAGAGGTCTTCACAGCAGCCCCTCCCATCACAGGCCTGGAAGCCTAGGAGGAAAAATTGGTTTTGTGAGATGGGCCCAGGGTCCCCTTGCTGTGTGCAGCCTAGGGACTTGGTGCCCTGCATCCCAGCTGCTCCAGTCATGGCTGAAAGGGGCCAACACAGAGCTTGGGCCATGGCTTTAGAGGGTGTAAGCCTCAAGCCTTGGCAGTTTCCATGTGGCACTGAGCCTGCCAGTGCACAGAAGTCAAAAATTGGGGTTTGGGAACCTCCACCTAGATTTCACAGGATGTATGGAAATGCCTATATGTTCAGGCAGAAGTTTGCTGCAGGGGTGGGGCCCTCATGGAGAACCTTTGCTAGGGCAGTGCAGAAGGGAAATGTGGGGTCAGAGTCCCAACACAGAGTCCCCACAGGGACACTGTCTAGTGGAGCTAAGAGATGAGGGCCACTGTCCTCTAGACCCCAGAATGGTAGATCCACTGAGAGCTTGCACCATGCACCTGGAAAAGCCACAGACACTCAATGCCAATCCGTGAAAGCAGCTGGGAGGGAGGCTGTACCCTGCAAAGCCATATGGTGGAGCTGTCCAAGACCATGGGAACCCATCTCTTGCATCAGTGTTACTTGGATGTGAGACATGGAGTCAAAGGAGATCATTTTGAAACTCTAAGATTTGACTACCCTGCTGGATTTCGGAATTGCATGGGGCCTGTAACCCCTTTGTTTTGGCCAATTTCTCTCATTTGGAATGGCTGTATTTACCCAATGCCTGTACCCCCATTGTATCTAGGAAGTAACTAACTTGCTTTTGATTTTACAGGCTCATAGGTGGAAGGGACTTGCCTTGTCTCAGATGAGACTTTGGACTGTGGACTTTTGAGTTAATGCTGAAATGAGTTAAGACTCTGGGGAACTGTTAGGAAGGCATGGTTGGTTTTGAAATGTAAGGACATGAGATTTGGGAGGGGCCGGGAGCAGAGTGATATGGTTTGGCTGTGTCTCCACCCAAATCTCACCTTGAATTCCCACGTGTTGTGGGAGGGACCCGGTGGGAGGTAATTGAATCATGGGAGCAGGTCTTTCCCATGCTGTTCTCAAGATAGTGAATAAGTCTCATGAGATCTGATGGTTTTAAAAAGGGGAGTTTCCCTGCACAAGCTCTCTTCTTTTGTCTGCTGCCTTGTGAGACATGCCTTTTACCTTCCACCATGATTGTGAGGCCTCCCCAGCCATGTGGAACTGTAAGTCCAATACACCTTTTTCTTTTGTAAATTGCCCAGTCTCAGGTATGTCTTTATCAGCAGCATGAGAACAGACTAATACAAGCTCACATCTGTAATTCCAGCACTTTGGGAGGCCGAGTTGGGAGGATCACTTGACCTCAGGAGTTCAAGATCAGCCTGAGCAACATGGTGAAACCCCATCTCTACAAAAATAGAAAAATTAGCTGAGCATGGTGGCATGCACCTGTAGTCCCAACTACTCAGGAGGCTGAGGTGGGAGGATCACTTGAACCTGGGAAGTGGAGGTTGCAGTAAGCCAAGATCTGACCACCTCACTCCAGCCTGGGCAACAGAGCAAGGCTCTGTCTCAAGAAAAAAAAAAAAAAGAGAGAGAGAGAGAAAAAGAATTCAGCTGGCCTTTGTCCCTGGTTCCTGAGAGGTAGCTTCTAAACCTTTAAAATTTCCAGAGTGGTAAGAGTATCTTTGTCATTTATAGTGTGTCCCCTGAGATCACCTCTGAGCTTGTGCTAATCAACTAACACATGGTGAGCCACTAGATAGTTTATGCTAATTTGGCTCAACATGGGGGCTAGCCATGCCAAAAGACCAACCATGTGATTAAAAGATTAACACTTTGAACCAGGTGATATCAGCCTGACCTCCAGGGAAGGGAAGAGGAAATAGAGATTAAGTTCGATTGCCTGGCCAATGATTCAATTAATCATGCCCACATAATGAAACCCCAAGAAAAACTCTGGACACAAACTCAGTTGTGCTTCCCTGACTGGCAATCCTCTGCGCGTGTTGTTACACATCAACGTGCTGGGAGGGTGACATCCTGACTCCACAAGCAAAGGACACTGGAAGCTTGGTATTTGGGACCCTTCCAGACTTTGCCCTGTGTGGCTCTTCTTTTGGCTATTTCTGATTTGTATCCTTTTTGCTGTAATAAAACTGTAATTGTAACTATAACACTTTCCTGAGTTCTGTGAGTCACTCTAGCAAATTATGAAACCTGAGGAGGTAGTGAGCACCCCTAAATTTGTAGCCAGTTGATCAGAAATGAGGGTGGCCCTGGGAACCTCATAGTCTGCGGCTGGTTTCTGAAGTAAAGAGAGCCTGGTGGAGGACTGTGCTTTTAATTGATAAAGCTTGACCTAACTCTGGGTAGGTAGTGTCAGAAATTACTGAAGCAATGAACAATCAAACCAAAAACTAATAATAAATGATCATATAAAAGAGGAGGAAGAGAACAGATGGGCCGGGACAAGGTCGAAGTTATACCTCTCTGAATGTACCTTGTTTTAGGGCTTGACTTTGAAATCATGAAATTGTTTTTACATAATTGAATCACAAAATTGAATCAAGATAAAAAAAATCCCTAAAAATTAAAAACTGAAACAAAGGAACCTAACTCTATATCAAGTTAGTACCATAACCATACATAAAATTATTTCAAGTGACTTAAAATACAGTATTTTGATTGTACATCCCTAGAAGGGATCATAAGGTCAAAACAAACCAAAAGGAATCAATACTATATTCAGGGGTCATGTGGCCGGTTGCAATACTGGTATTGTTATTTTGAAAAGGTGTGGAGGCAACAGGCACACCCCAGCCCCAAAATTATGCTTTCTAAAACCATTATTCTTTAAAGGAAACAAAAGCTCTTTGGACAAATGACTGGCCCCACGTACGAGGAAGGAAACATACAGGAACCTAGTACATCTTGTCATAACAGAAATCAAAGAGTTTATCAAAGACTACTGGGACCCATCAATAGCACATTGGAGCCAACTTGAAGGAGCACTCACTGGCCAAAGATGGGATCAAGTGAGCATCAAAAATAATGATAATTGTGACAGATTGAAACATACCAAATATGTACAAATATATTTTTAATACATACAATATATAAAAATTCACTGATTCATAATGATAATTTTCTAAAGCCATCAATGGATATCTTTGGGGTTGCTGGGGTACCAACTTATTCTGAAATGACATACAAAAGGAAAGAATCAAGCATTTATCCTGCCTTTCCTATTCAGACTATATTTTGGGGTAACCAAATAATTGATAAAAATTCTTTGTCAAAGAATCACACCTAATAAGTGTAAGAAGAGTGAATGATTTAGAAAAATCACTATTTTGCAACATCTAATGAAATCATAGATACAGATAATGATTGTCAATGGCTTCCAAAGCACTGGGTGAAAGACTTTATAATGGAAGGATCAGGCTGAAACCACCTGAACCACCTGATCAGCATTAAGATCATTGAAAGTTAAAAAAACAGATTTTATATGCTTCCTGATGTGATTCAATGGGAAATACACAGCACCACCCATACAGTAATTTTGCCAAATAAATAAATATTTAAAAATTTTATAGCTGGGTGCAGTGGCATGTGCCTGGAGTCCCAGCTACTTGGGAGGCTAAGGAGGAAGGATCACTTCAGCCCAGGCTTTTGAGGCCAATCTGAGCAAAATAGTGAGAAATACCTGTCTCAAAAAAAAGATTAATGAAAAACCTAAATCTAATCAAATCTACAGTTCTAATTGCTCATTTTCAGGAAAAAAAAGGTAATGGAATAATATGTAACATGTAAAATCACAGTTTAAAAATTAAGTCAAATATAAAAGGCAATTCTATAGTTCAAATGACTCCATTTCTCATCAAATAAGTAGCATTAATATTTCAGTATTAGATGATTATGAAATTATAAATAGGTATAATAGATTAATATTATTATTTGGGGGTGTTATCATGGTGTGATCATGGGTATTGTGGCTAAGCTTCTGAAAAGTCTATCTGTTAGAGGTACACACTACTATATTTACAGATTAAATAATAAAATGCCTGGAAATTACTTTCAAATACTCCAAAAAAAAAAAAAGCATGGGGAAGAGATGATACAAGAATGGCAGGAAATTGATAATTAGTGAAGTTGGGTGATGGGTCATGAGTATTCATTATAACATTCTCTCTAGTTTTGTGCATGTTTGAAAATCTCTGTAATAAAAAGTAAAAGATAAACAAGATCATCTTAATTGATGCAGAAAAATTCATTTGATCATGTTCAACCTTCATTCATAATTCATTCATAATTGCTATTCTCAGCAAACTGGGAATAGAAGGGAATTTATTTAATCTGATAAAGTGTGCTTTCAAGATCTACAGTAAACATTATAGTTAATAATGAAACAGAAGTTCCTTTTTTTGAATCAGGAATAAAACAAGGATATTTTGTCCATAATATTACTATTTCTCAGCTACACTGAATTAGGGGACTTAGTACAAGCCAAGAAAAAAGAAACAGGAGTAAGAAGGAAGAGTTCATTTTCTCAGATAAAATGATTGTCTATATAGAAAACCCAAAGTAACTGTAAAAAATTAGAATTGTTAGCACCAGCATACAGATCTGCTGCAACCTCAATTATTGCCTCCTCAGAAGAAAGAATTCGACCAAGAGGCATAAGGCAGAGGAAGAGACTAAAGCAAGTTTTCGAGCAGGAGTGAAAGTTTATTAAAAGGTTTTAGAGCAGGAATAAAAGGCAGTAAAGTACACTTGGAAGTGGGGCCCAGCGGGCATCCTGAGAGATTCAAGTGCTCTATTTGGCCTTTGACATGGCCTTCTCCCCTAATTCTTCCTTTGGGGTGGGCTGTCCGCAGGCACAGTGGTCTGCCAGCACTTGGGAGGGGCCACATGCACAGTGTTTTATTGAAGTTATACTCATGCTCACTTAAGGCTGTTTGTTTGTTTGTTTTGCCATCCCTTCTGCTGAGGGTACCCCATAGTAGGCATTGCACTTGGAGTTCTAGGGGATTGGGACAAGGTTTGGAGATGACAGTACTGATAGCAATGAGGGCAGCAACCAAAACAAGCAAGCAAGGAGGCCTATAAACAAAGAAACAAGAGGGCAGGGAAAGCCGGAGCCATGAAGACCACTTTTTTTTTAATCTATTCTATTTTCTCATTTCAATAGTTTTGGGGGAACAGGTGATGTTTGGTTGCATGGAAAAGTTCTTTAGTGGCGATTTCTGAGATTCTGGTATACCCATCACCCCAGCAGTGCACACTGTACCCAATATATAGTCTTTTATCTCTCAGCCACCTCCGACCCATCCCCCTGAGTCCCCAAAGTCCATTATATCATTCTTTATGCTTTTGAATCGTCATACCTTAGCTTCTATTTATAAGTGAGAATACACAATGTTTGGTTTTCCATTCCTGAGTTACTTCACTTGGAATAATGATGTCCAATTCCACCCAAGTTCCTGCCAGTGCCATTATTTCACTCCTTTTTATGGCTGAGTAGTATTCTATGGTGTATATATATATCATATTTCTTTATCCACTCATTGCTTGACGGGCATGTAGGCTGGTTCCATATTTTTGCAATTGCAAACTGTGCTGCTGTAAACATATGTATGCAAGTCTTTTTTTCATTTAATTATTTATTTTCCTCTGGGTAGATACCCAGTAGTGGGATTACTGGATCAAATGGTAGTTCTACTTTTAGTTCTTTAAGGAATCCCCACACTGATTTCCATAGTGCTTGTACTAGTTTACAGTCCCACAAGCAATGTAAACGTGTTCCTTTTTACTATATCCATGCCAACATTTTTTTTTTTAATTATGGCTATTCTTGCAGGGGTAAGGTGGTATCTCATCGTGGTTTTGATTTGCATTTCCCTGATAATTAGTGATGTTGAGCATTTTTTCATATGTCTGTTAGACGTTTGTATATCTTCTTTTGAGAATTGCCTATTCATCCCAGTGCAGTGGCTAACGCCTGTAATCCCAGCACTTTTGGGAGGCCAAGGTGGACAGATCACCTAAGGTCAGGAGTTCGAGACCAGCCTGGCCAACATGGTGAAGCCCTGTCTCTAATAAAAATACAAAAATTAGCTGGGCATGGTGGCATGTGCCTGTAATCCCACCTACTTGGGAGGCTGAGGCAGGAGAAATCACTTGAGCCCAGGAGGCGGAGGTTGCAGTGAGCCAAGATCATGCCATTGCACTCCAGCCTGGGCAATAAGAGTGAGACTCTGTCTCAAAAAGAGAGACAGGTCTGTTCATGTCTTTGCCTACTTTTTGATGAAATTATTTGCTTTTTTTCTTGCTGATTTGTTTGAGTTCTTGGTATATTCTGGATACTGGTCTTTTGTCGGATATATAGTTCGTGAATATTTTCTCCCACTCTGTGGGCTGTCTGTTCATTCTGCTGATTCTTTCTTTTGCTGTGCAGAAGCTTTTTAGTTTAATTAGGTGCCATCTATTTATCTTTGTTTTTGTTGTGTTTGCTTTTGGGCTCTTGGTTATGAACTCTTTGCCTAAACCAATGTTTAGAAGAGTTTTTATCTATGTTATCTTCTAGAATTTTTATGATTTCAGGTTTTAGATTTAATTATTTGATCCATCTTGAGTTGATTTTTGTATAAGGTGAGAGATGAGGACCCAGTTTCATTCTTCTACATGTGGCTTGCCAATTATACCACCACCATTTCTTGAATAGGATATTCTTTCCCCACTTTATGTATTTGCTTGGTTGAAGATCAGTTGGTTGTAAATATTTGGCTTTATTTCTGGATTCTCTATTCTGTTCCATTGGTCTATGTACCTATTTTTATACCAATATCATGCTCTCTTGATGGTGATAGGCTTGTAGCATAGTTTGAAGTCGGGTAATGTGATGCCTCCAGATTTGTTCTTTTTGCTTAGTCTTGTTTTGGCTATGTGGGCTCTTTTTTGGCTTCATGTGAATTTTAGGATTATTTTTTCTAGTTCTGTGAAGAATGATGATGGTATTTTTATGGGAATTGCATTGAATTTGTAGATTGCTTTTGGCAGTATGGTCATTTCTACAATATTGATTCTACCCATCCATGAGCATGGGATGTGTTTCCATTTGTTTGTGTCATCTATGATTTCTTTCAGCAGTGTTTTATAGTTGTCCTTGTAGAGATCTTTCACCTCGTTAGTTAGGTATATTCCTACATTTGTTTGTTTTTGTTTGTTTGTTTTTGTTTGTTGGTGGGTCGGTTTTTTGCAGCTATTATAAAAGGGTTTGAGTTCTTGATTTGATTCTCAGCTTGGTTGTTGGTGGTGTACAGCAGTGCTACGGATTTGTGTACATTGATTTTGTATCCTGAAACTTAACTGAATTCATTTATCAGATCTAGGAGCTTTTTGGATGGGTCTTTGGGGTTTTCTAGGTATACAATCCTATCATTGGTGAACAGAAACAGTTTGACTTCCCCTTTACCAATTTAGATGCCCTTTATTTCTTTTTTCTGGTTGCTCTGGCTAGGACTTCCAGTACACTGTTGAATAGCAGTGGTGAAAGTGGGCATCCTTGTCTTGTTCTAGTTCTCAGGGGGAATGCTTTCAACTTCTCCTCATTCAGTATAATGTTGGTTGTGGGTTTGTCATAGATGGCTTTTATTACCTTGAGGTATATCCCTTCCATGCCGATTTCACTGAGGGTTTTATTCATAAAGAGATACTGGATTTTTTCAAATGTTTTTTCTCCCTCTATTGAGATGCTCATATGATTTTACTTTTAATTCTGTTTATGTAATGTATCACATTTATTGACTTGTGTATGTTAAACCATACCTGTATCCTTGGTATGAAACCCACTGATCATGGTGTATTACCTTTTTGATATGCTGTTGGACTTGGTTACCTACTATTTTGTTGAGGATTTTTGCATCTATATTCATCAGGGATATTGGTCTGTAGTTTTCTCTTTTTTTTAATGTCCCTTCCTGGTTTCGGTATTAGGGTGATACTGGCTTCATAGAATGATTTAAGGAGGATTCTCTCTTTCCTCTATCTTTTGGAATAGTTTCAGTAAGATTGGTACCAATTCTTCCTTGAATGCCTGATAGAATTCAGTTGTGAATCCATCTGGTCCTGAACTTTTTTGTTGGTATTTTTTTTATCAGTGTTTCAGTCATTACTTCTATTTGGTCTGTTCACAGTTTCTATTTCTTCCTCATTTAATCTAGGAGGGTTTTATATTTCCAGGAATTTATCCATGTCCTCTAGACTTTCTAGTTTGTGCACGGAAAAGTGTTCATAGTAGCCTTGAATGATCTTTTGTATTTCTGTGTTATCAGTTGTAATATCTCTTGTTTTGTTTCTAATTGAGCATATTTGGATCTTCTCTCTTCTTTTCTTGGCTACTCTCACTAATGGTCAATCAATTTTGTTTATCTTTTTCAAAGAACCAGCTTTTTGTTTCTAAGTCTTTTGTATTTTTTTGTTTGAATTTCATTTTGTTTTGCTCTGATCTTTGTTTCTTCCTTTCTTTTCTTCTTTTCTGTTTGAATTTCATTTAGTTCTGCTCTGATCTTTGTTTCCTTCTTTTCTTCTGCTGGGTTTGGGTTTGTTTGTTCTTGTTTCTCTAGTTCCTTGAGGAGTGACCTTAGATTGTCTATTCATGCTCTTTCAGACTTTTTGATGTAGGCATTTAATGTTATGAACTTTCCTTTTAGCAATGCTTTGGCTGTATCTCAGAGATTTTGATAACTTGTGTCACTGTTATTCAGTTCAAAGAATGTTTTAATTTCTATCTTGATTTCATTGTTTACCCAAAGATCATTCAAGAGCAGATTATTTAATTTCCATGTGTTTTTATAGTTTTGAGGGTTCTTTTTGGAGTTGATTTCCAGTTTTATTCCACTGTGGTCTGAAAGCGTACTTGATATAATTCTGATTTTCTAAAATTTATTGAGATTTGTTTTGTGGCCTATCATATGGCCTATCTTGGAGAATGTTCCATGTGCTGATAAAAATAATGTATATGTTGGTTAGAATGCTCTGTAAACATCTGTTAAGTCCATTCGTTCTAGGGTATAGTTTAAGTCCATTGTTTCTTTGTTGGCTTTCTGTCTTGATGACCTGTTTAGTGCTGTAAGTGAAGTATTGAAGCCACCCACTATGATTGTGTTGCTGTCTATCTTGTTTCTTATGTCTAGTAATAATTGTTTTATAAATTTGGGAGCTCCAGTGTTAGGTGTATATATGTTTAGGATTGTGATATTTTCCTGTTGCACCGATCTTTCTATCATTATATAACCTCCCTCTTTGTCTTTTTTAATTGTTGTTACTTTAAAGTCTGTTTTGTCTGATATAGGAATAGCTACTCCTGCTCACTTTTGGTTTCCATTTGCATGGAATATCTTTTTCTACCCCTTTACCTCAAGTTTATGTGAGTCCTTATGTGTTAGGTGAAACTCTTGAAGATAGCAGATACTTGGTTGGTGAATTTTTATCCATTCTGACATTCTGTATATTTTAAGTTGAGCATTAAATGTTAGTATTGAGATATGAAGTACTATTTCATTCATCATCTAGTTGTTGCCAGATGGTTTTTCTTCGTTGCATTATCATTATTGTTTTTATTGTGAGATTTATGTGTCAAGAAGTTTCTATTTTGGTGTATTTTGAAGTTTTGTTTCAAGATTTAGAACTCCTTTTACCATTTCTTATAGTGCTGGCTTGGTAGTGGTGAATTCTCTTGGCATTTGTTTGTCTGAAAAAAACTTTATCTCTCCTCCATTGATGAAGCTTAGTTTTGCCGGATACAAAATTCTTGGCTGGACATTATTTTGTTTGAGGGGGCTAAAGATAGAACCCCTATCTCTTTGAGCTTGTAGGGTTTCTGCTGATAAATCTGCTGTTAATCTGATAGGTTTTCCTTCATAGGCTACCTGATGGTTTTGCCTCATAGCTCTTAAGATTGTTTCCTTAGTCTTTACTTTAAATAATCTGATGTCTATGTGCCTGCATGATGATCTTTATGCAATGAATTTCCCAGGTGTTCTTTGCCTGGGAAACACTTGTATTGGATGTCTTGTATTTGGATGTCTTGTATTTGGATGTCTAGATCTCTAGTGAGTCCAGGGAAGTTTTCCTCAATTATTCCCTCAAATATGTTTTCTGAACTTTTAGATTTCTCTCTTTCTCAGGGAAACCAATTATTCTTAGGTTTGGCCATTTAACATAATCCCAAATTTCTTGGAGGCTTTCTTCATTTTTTAATTCTTTTTTCTTTGTCTTTGTCTTTGAAAGCTTTGTCTTTGAGCTCTGAAGTTCTTTCTTCTACTTGTTCTAGTCTGTTGTTGACACTTTCCAGTGCATTTTGTATTTCTCTAAGTGTGTCTTTCATTTTCAGATATTGTGATTGTTTTTTCTTTATGGTATCTATTTCTCTGGAGAATTTTTCATCCATATCCTGTATTGTTTTCTGAATGTCTTTAAGTTGGTTTTCACCTTTCTCTGGTATCTCCTTAAGTAGCTTAATGATCAACCTTCTGAATTTTTTTTTCTGGCAATTCAGAGATTTCTTCTTGATTTGGATCAATTTCTGGTGAGCTAGTGTGATCTTTCGGCGGTGTTTTATAGAACCTTGTTTTGTCATATTACCAGAATTACTTTTCTGGTTCCTTCTCATTTGAGTACACCATTTCAGTGGAAAAATCTGGAACTCACGGCCTGATGTTCAGATTTTTTTGTCCCATGGGATGATCCCTTGATGTGGTGCTCTCCCCCTTCCCCTAGGGATGGGGCTTCCTGAGAGCCATAGTGCAGTGATTATTATTGCCCTTCACGGTCTAGCCACCCAGTGGGGCTACCAGGCTCTGGGCTGGTGCTGGGGAATGTCTGCAAAGAGTCCTGTGATGTCATGAATCTTCAGCTCTCTCAGCCGTGGATACCAGCACCTGCTCTGGTGAAGGTGGTGGGGGAATGAAGTAGACTCTTTGAGAGTCCTTGGTTGTAGATATGTTCAGCGTGCTGAATATATGCTGGTTATGCTAGCAATGAAATTGTCCCATGGACAGACTCGGGATCTCTGGTTAGCCAGGATGTTGCAGGCAATTGAATTAGCTATTATTTGCTCCTTCCTTGGAGCAGGGTTATTCTGTCATGAGTTGCTGTAATGTCCTGACTTGGTTGGCATCCATCCAAGAGATGGCACTTTCAAGAGTGCACCAGCTGCAATAGTAGAAGTGGGATATAAGCTTGCCCTAAGTTGGCCAGTGTAAGTATTCAGGTTTCTCAGGCAAGGGGCAGGGTCATAAAGCTCCCAAGAATTTATGTCTTTTGTGATTGGCTACCAGGGCAAGTAGAGAAAGACCATCAGGTGGGGAAAGAGTTAGGCAAGTCTGACTCAGACTCTCCTTGGGCAGGGCTTGCTGCAGCCACTGCAGAGAACTGGGGGAGGGAGGAGGCTCTTGGGCCAATGGGGTATGTTTCAGAGCGGATTATGGCTGCCTCTGTGGCCAAGGAAGTGGGGGAAAGCCGGTAGCAATAGGCCTCACCCAGCTGAGATGCTGTTGGCAAGGCCGGTCTCACTCTTGCCATGCCCTGCTAACAGTGGTGAGTGCAGGCAGCCTACACACCTTATAGCATTTTTCCCTTACTAGTTGAGTGTTCCTAAAGGAAGGTCATTTACCAGTTAAACTCCATCATTTTGCCTCTTAGTGCACGTGCTTGAGCCCACTTGCCCAACTCCTCAGATCTTATCAGGAAGCTGCTGATCTATCTATTGGGAGACTTTCCCTGGAGCCTTTCCCTGGACCTGGCTGTGACCAATTATTATTTTAGAAAGACAGTTTAACAACGACCTGACCATCACCTGATGGTTACCTGACATTCCTGGTTATGGGGTGAGGGCCTCTCCTGGCCTGCTCGTCTGCCTAACTTTCTTTCTAGAATCACTAGGAGTTTAGCAAAGGAATAATAAAGATAACTGTCAGAATGGATTTTTCCTCAGGGGTGGGGGTAGGAAGAGGATTCCAATGGGGTAGGACACTGGTAGTGTGGAGAAAGCTGTTTATTATTCCATATACCTTGTAGTGTGTGTGTGCGTGTGTGTGTGTGTGCGTGTGCTTTTGTTTGTATGATATACTAATTTTTAAAAGCAACTAAAAAATGATTATTTGTTTCTGGAATATCTAGAGCATAAAGCATATGGAAACATCTGTTTGGTATACTAAAGACATAATGCTTGCTTTGACTGGGAAAATCACAATAACTTGTTCTTGAATGTCACTTGCCATTTTCAAAAGTATCACCAAGTTGTTGGCAAATGGTAGTGTGAACTTGGGGTTGCCAAATATTCAGATCTTTACAAGAAAAGCTGGAAGTAAAAATTTTTCATGTATGCAACTAATTTAACTATTTGGAAACAGTAAATGAATCAATACGATGAAGGTCAAACAAAGCCATCCATGTGTATGTTGCCAGGCTATGACCTCTGTTCTAGACTCATAGTCTCTTAGAGGTAGTCTTAGTCCCCGAGTGAGTAGGGTCATTCCTTTTAGATAGGACATGAGCTCTTCAGTATACTCCACAACTCCCCATTCTTCTCACATCCTGCCATCTTCATTCTTCTATATTTTCTGCCTGGCCCCACGAGATGGCAGTTTGTAAACCAACTCCTCTTCCCTATTCTATGACATTGATAGGAATCTACCTGTATTTCTCTCAATCCACCATCAGAGGGCAGGCATGGGAAATAAAAGATGAAAAACCATAGATTTTGCAACTACTGGTACATTCAGAGAAAGGAATCCAGGGATCAACCACAAAAGTCATTTTGTGTTTTTCTGAGTTTAGAAGTATTCTGCAAACATAAAGTATGAGGGTGGGAGTGTTCATGCTTTGCAATAGCTGACCTCTATAGAGATTCTGCTCTAAGAATCAGAGCTTGGCATTGCTTAGGGGCCTAGCTCAGGACAACCAGGAACATGGCTTCTTTCAGAAAGTCTTACAAATAAGTAAGAGATTCCATATGCTCTCTCACAGTCACACTTTTCTGCTGAACACATCTGTCAAAGGTAATCTCCTTGATAATCATACATTCTTTGGGGAGAGACTATGGAGCAGAGTAGGGATAAGCCAGCCTCTCCCAGTGGGCAATGGGCAATCACAGTGTGCAGTAGCTGGGAAACGTTTGGCAATCAGCTCTCAAAACAAACAAACAAAACAGCTCTGACTTGTAGCATTTGCCAATTTTTATGGTGTACATACTCCTTCCTTGGCCAACTTTAAGCTTCTAACATGGTGTCATTGAACACACAGTTGGGAAGAGATGCACCCAATGGGCTTTTGCCACAACACGCCTGCTTTACCACACCACTGACTCCCAGCCCCCACCTCCATTTCAAAGTTACATCTTTACTGTAAAAGCAGGCCTATCCCTAATATTTTTAGAGTTTAGGATACAGGTACAAATGGAGGCCCACATACTATATGTCTAGATATTTAAGGTATAAATCAAACTAACAAATTGTTCACTAAAATATGTCTTATCCTGTCACCTTGACAAATATACCTTTATAACTACCTAGAAAGCCAGGTTTAAATTCAGAATTCTATGCCTGAACATGCTTACATAGAAGAAGCCATCTCTGGCCCTCCAGCTCAGGCTAACTCCCCTTCTCTTCCCACCCTCAGCACACACAAGCCCTAGCCCTTGCTGCCAAGCTCTAACCACACCCTCTGCAAACAGCTGCCCCTTGGCCATTTCTTAGGCCTGGGTGTGAGCACATTGACAGTGTAGTCTGTGCACAGGAGAATGGGATGAGGGAGGAGGCCACACTCACCTAAAAATGGACTGGTGGTTATTTGAGAAGGGAATTACAGGGCTTCAAGTGCCTGAAGCATGGAGGTGGGGGTTAGGCTCCAAGAGGGCATGTCCTCGTTGCTCTGGGGATTCCTTAATCTTTGGGCCCAGGACCAACATGGGCCTTTTAAAGTACAGGACTCAGGGCAGGGCACTTTCTCTCCCACTCCTGAGAGTGACTAGTGTGCAAAAGTCTCTCCTCTATCAGGATCTTCTGATGACCTTCCGTGTTAAACATCCCTCCCTCATTGAGGCTCCTGAAATTCCAATCACTCAGACAGAGTATGTACTGGGTACTACAATGTGCTGGCTCTGAGGACAGCAAAGGAAGGAAAAGATTCTTCCGCCTCAACATTTCTTTCTTTCTTTTTTTTTTTTTCCAGACAGAGTCTCTCTGTGTCACCAGGCTGGAGTGCAGTGGCACCATCTCAGCTCACTGCAACCTCTGCCTCCCAAATTCAAGCGATTCTCCTGCCTCAGCCTCATGAGTAGCTGGGATTACAGGTACCCACCACCACGCCCGGCTAATTTTTGTATTTTTGGTAGAGATGGGGTTTCACCATGTTGACCAGGCTGGTCTTGAACTCCTGACCTCAGGTGATCTGCCTGACTCAGCCTCCTAAAATGCTGGGATTACAAGTGTGAGCCACCATGCCCAGCCTCTGCCTCAACATCTCCGAAAGGTTAGTCCATTATATTTGGGTCTTCACTTGTACTTTAAAGCAGGGGTCAGCAAACCAAGACCCACAGGCCAAATCCTGCCCACCCATGTTTGTACAGCCCATGACCTTAGAATACATTTTGAAAGGGCTAATGAAAAAAAATCAAAAGAAGTATATTTCTGGATATGAGAAAATTATACAAATTCTAATTTCATTATCCATAAAGAAAATTGTACCAGAACACAGCCCTGTTGGTTTACATATTGTCTATGGCTACCATGGCTGTTGACTGGTTGTGATGGAGACTCATTGGTCCACAAAGCCTAAAATATTTACTCCCTAACCCTTAAGAAAGTTTCCCAACCTGTACTTTAGAGTTAAGTTTTTTCCTGTGTTTCTCCAAAGAAGATTGGTAGTACATAGAGTAAGAAGGATGTGAGCCCCTGAGAGTGAGAGACAGGACTAGCTGGATTTCCTAGGCCAACTAAGGATTCCTAAGCCTAGCTGGGGAAGGTGACCGCACCTACCTTTAAACACAGGGCTTGTAACTCAGCTCATACCCAACCAATCAGGTAGTAAAGACGGCTCACTAAAATATCAATTAGGCTAAAGACAGGAGGTAAACAAACAGTCAATCATCTATCACCTGAGAGCACAGGGGGAGGGACAATGATTGGGATATAAACACCAGGCATTCAAGCCAGAAGTGGGCAACTCCCTTTGGGTCCCCTCCCATTGTACGGGAGCTCTGTTTTCACTCTGTTAAATCTTGCAACTGCACACTCTTCTGGTCCATGTTTGTTACGGCTCTAGCTGAGCTTTCGCTCGCCATCCACCACTGCTGTTTGCCACTGTCGCAGACCCACCGCTGACTTCCACCCTTCCAGATCCAGCAGAGTGTCCACTGTGCTCCTGATCCAGTGAGGCGCCCATTGCTGCTCCCAATCAGGCTAAAGGCTCACCATTGTTCCTGCATGGCTAAGTGCCCGGGTTCATCCTAATCGAGCTGAACACTAGTCGCTGGATTCCATGGTTCTCTTCCATGACCCATGGCCTCTAATAGAGCTATAACACTCACTGCACGGCCTGAGGTTCCATTCCTTGGAATCCATGAGGCCAAGAACCCCAGGTCAGGGAACAAAAGGCTTGCCGCCATCTTGGGAGCAGCCTGCCACCATCTTGGGAGCTCTAAGAACAAAGACCCGCCAGTAATAAGAGGGAAGGGCTAGGAGAGGACAAAAAGGTGGAGACCAGAATTTGGGGCTGGACAGATTGCAGAACTTCACCTCCTGAGAAAAGGGCCTGGGTACATAAGGACAGAAAGTGGAAGGAAAAATGGGCATGGGAGCCTGTCATGCTTCATCAACACACAGGCCAGTCTTTGCCTTAGTTTCCCCCATTAATCCCATATATGGTCTCCATTTAATTGGAACTTTAAATCTCCACCGTGGAACTCACCATAGTGCCTTGCTGTGCAATTAATTAACTTTGGGGTTGAATGGCATTGAGGGCTCATCATTAAAACATCTAGAGCAGCTCTGTCTAGTGTAAAGATAATGAGAGCCAGCTATATATGTCTAAATTTTCTAATAGCTTCACTTTCAAAAGTAAAAAGAAACTGGCAATATAAATGAAGTATTTTACTTACACCAATATATCCAAAATATTATGATTTCAATATGTAATCAGTATAAAAATTACTGAGATGTTCTATATTCTTTTTTTACACTAAGTCTTTAAATCTGGTAAATATTTTATTCTTACAGCACATCTCAGTTTGAAAAATCTCATGCTAAATTTCACCAGTAATACTTAATCTGTATTTATATTTCATAAAATTAATGGTTGAGAAAGTAGATTACGGACCCTTTTCATGAGATGGCGCTGAAAGCAAAGAAGGAAGCTGCTGCTGCTCCTAAAGGAGAAGCCAAAACAAAGGCTTTGAAGGCCAAGAAGGCAGTGTTGAAAGGTGTCCACAGCCACAAAAAAAAGATCTGCACGTCACCCACCTTCCAGCGGCCCTAGACACTGTGACTCCGGAGGCAGCCCAAATGTCCTCAGAAGAGTGCCCCCAGGAGAAACAAGCTTGACCACTATGCCGTCAAGATTCCCCTGACCACTGAGTCTGCCATGAAGAAGATAGACGACAACACACTTGTGTTCATTTGGTTGTTAAAAACAACAAGCACCAGATCAAACAGGCTGTGTGACATTGATGTGGCCAAGGTCAACACCCTGATTCACCCTGATGGAGAGAAGAAGGCATATGTTCGACTGGCTCCGGATTACAATGCTTTGGATGTTGCCATGTTGCCAACAAAATTGGGATCATCTAAACTGAGTCCATCTGGCTAATTCTAAATATATGTATATCTTTTCACCAGAAAAAAAAGTAGATTACATACTCAAAGTATTCGAAACATGCTTAAATATTTTCTAATATTAAATGAAGTTTCAATTGTTAAATGTAAATTTAAATTCATTAATATTAAATAAAATTTAAAATTCAGGTCTTTAGTTGTTATAGCCACATTTCACAGGCTCTATAGCCACATGTGGTTAGTGACTACCATATTAGACAAGAGTGGCTCTAGATAAATTCATGGTAACTGAACTTCCAAGCATGTTCTCTTTTATTGGTTTCTGTCAACAATAGGATGACAATTAATATTTACAGAGCACTTATTCTGTGCCTTTAAGCTCTTCAAGTCACAGGGAACTGTCATAAGAACAGACATATACAGTCATGTGTTGCTTAACAATAAGAATCCCTTCTGAGAAATGTGTTGTTAGGTGATTTTTGTCATTGTGGAAACATCATAGAGTATATTTACACAAACCTAGATAGTATAGCCTACTAAATACCTAGGCTATATGGTATAACCTATTGTTCCAGGGCTACAAACCTCCACAGCAAGTTACTCTACTGAATACTGTAGGCAATTGTAATACAATGATAAGCATTTGTGTATATAAACATATCTAAACTTGGAAAAGATACAGAAAAAATACAGTATAAAAGATTTAAAAAGTGTGACACCTGGATAGGGCACTTAACCATGAATGGAATTTGTAGGACTGGAGTTCCTCTGGGTGAGTCAGTGAGTGAGTGGTGAGTGAATGTGAAGGCCTAGGACATTACTGTATATTATTTTAGAGCCTATAAAGACTGTACACTTAGGCTATTCCAAATTTATTAAAAATATTTTTCTTTCTTCAATAATAAATTAACCTTAGCTTACTGTACTGTTTTATTTTATAAACTTTTTAATTTTTTTAACTTTTTGACTCTGTTGTAATAACACTTAATTTAAAACACAAACACGTTGTATAGCCATACAAAAATATGTTCATTCTTTATATCTTTATAAGCATTTTTTTTTTTTACTTTTTAACCTTTTTGTTAAAAAATAAGACACAAACAAACACATTAGTCTGGGCTTACAGAAGGTTAGGATCATCAATACCGTTGTCTTCCACCTCCACATCTTGTCCCACAGGAAGGTGTTCAGGGACAACAACATGCATGGAGCTGTCATCTATAAGAATGCCTTCTCACACCTGTAATCCCAGCATTTTGGGAGGCTGAGGAAGCCAGATCACTTGAGGTCAGGAGTTTGAGACCAGCCTGGCCAACATGGTAAAACCCTGTCTCTACTAAAAATACAAAAAAAATAGCTAGGCTCAGTGGTGCATGCCTGTAATCCCGGATACTCTGGAGACTGAGGTGGGAGAATCACTTGAATTCAGGAGGTGGAGGTTGCAGTGAACTGAGATCGGCACCACTGCACTCCAGCCTGGGCGACCGAGTGAGACTCAAAAAAAAAAAAAAAATGCCTTCTTCCATAATATCTCCTGAAGGACCTGCATAAGGTTGTTTTACATTTTTTATAAGTAGAAAAAGCACATTCTAAAGTAACAGTAAAAATTAGAGTACAGTAAATACATAACCCAGTAACATAGCCATTTATTATCATTATCAAGTATTATTTCCTGTACATAATTGTATGTACTATACTTTTATAGGACTGGCAGAGCTGTGCATTTGTTTACACCAGCATCACCACAAACATGTGAGTAGTTCATCGTGCTACAGCGTTAGGATGGCTACAGGGTCAATAGGCAATAGGAAAGTTTCAGCTCCATTATAATCTTATGGAACCACCATGGTATGTATGGTCCATATTTGACTGAAACATCATTATGTAGCACATGACTTATATACTCCACCGAGGTGAGAAATTTACATTTTAATCTAAGAACAATGGGAACTCATTGATGAGTTTTAAATTACCAGAATCAGGTAAATGGTTTATGCTTTAAAAGGATCACTCTGGGTGGAGTAAAGAAGAGAGTGAGACAAGAGTGAAAGCAGAGAGACTGGTTAAGTGGCTCTGGCAGTCATCCAGGCTGGAGATGAGGGAGCCTGGGCTATGGTGGAGACAGTGGAGATGGTGAGAACTGGGTCTCTAAAATCTACTTGGGAAGTGGAGAACATAGTACTTGCATATAGAAGCAGAAGTGAGAGAAAAATCAAAGATGACTCTTAGGTCTTTTCCATAAGGCAGTGGTAGTTCCACTTACAAAGATAAGGAAGACAGAGGCAAGCAGGCTGGAGTGGGAGCAGGAGGAAATCAAAAGTTCAGTTTAAAGAATGTCAAGTTTGAGGCACTAAATGGTCATCTCTGATAGGCAGCTGGATATTCAAACCTGAGGCTCAGCCAGGAGGTTGAGGTTGGAGATGTCAGTTTGGGAGTTTGAGGGCCAATTTTATAAGTCAAGTTGCCTGGGCTAGAGTCCCCAGTTAATCAAATATTAATCTAGGTGTTACTGTGAAAATATTTTATTGCTGTGACTAAAGCTCATAATCAGTTGAATTTAAGTTAAGGGAGATTATCCTGATTCAATCAATTGCAAGACCTTAAAAGTAGAACTGAGGCTTCCCTGAGAAAGAAGAAGTTTTGCCTATGAACAGCAGTTCACCCCATGCCCAAGAGCTGCTCTTCCTGACAGCCTGTGCTATGTAAGAATCATATAAGAAATGCCTTGCAATAAATCTTTTAATATATATTCTTACTTGCCCTCTTTTTCTGGTTGAATCCTGTCCGATATAGGAGTCCTCAAACAAATACATGACACAGATGATATCTTATGCCAAGGCTTGTCCAACTTGCAGTCTGAGGGTCACATGCCACAGAGAACGGCTTTGAATGCGGCCCAAAACAAATTTATAAATTTTCTTAAAACATTATGAGATTTTTTGTGATTTTTTTTTTAGCTCATCAGCTATTGCCAGTGTTAGTGTATTCTATTTGTGGCCCAAGACTATTCTTCTTCCAATGTGTTCCAGGGAAGCCAAAAGATTGGACACCCCTGTCTTAAACCATAAGACTGTGTGAGGTCTCCCAGAAAAAGAAAAGAGAAGGACCAAGGACAGAGCCCAGAGTACACCAACATTTAGAGGTCAGTTAAAAGAGAAAAAGAAACTGAGAAGGAATAGCCAATGGCGTAGTTTTCCCTTCTTAGTGTTTATTAGGTTTGGCAATACAGAAGTCATTGGCAAACTTAGTAAGAGTGACCATTTTTGTAGAATAGCGAGACCAGAAGCCATATGCCTCATGTGCCTTCATCTTGAATCTTCACAGCAACCCTTAAAGCTAAGCATCATTAACCTCCCGTATTATTCAATATTATGCACGGTGTTGAAGACTGAAGCTCTTGAGCCTGAGTGCCTGAGTTCAAATCCTGTCCCCTCTGCCTACTGACTGTGTTACCTGGCACATTATTTAACCAGTTGAACCTCAGTTTTCTCACCTGTAAAATGAAGTTACTGATAAACCCTCCTTCATATCATTGCTTTGGGAACTGTATGACTTATATGTAAAGCCCAGAGAAAGCTCCCTACGTAGTAACTACCTACCTTATCACTCCCCTTGTACAGATGAAGGAACTGAGGCTCTCAGAGCTATCTGTAGATCCCAAAATCAATAGCAAGGGCAGAAAGATGTCAGCCCTGTTGTTGTCTAGGACTTTACGCCCTGAGATAAAATTTGAAGGATGATTCCCACTCAGGGCAGCAGCTCAGATTCAGGTTTCTTTGAGAGGGAGAGGTTTCTTTCAGAGGACAAGTAAGCCAAGCGAGCAGCAGGACCCAGTAAACAAAGTAAATGTTTGATTAACTGGTACTCTCGGTCCCTCATGTGCCCAGAGACTGAGCTGGTCATTTGCAGATAATATGCACATGCCTTAACTGTATATAACATGAGCATCACTTCAAGTAGACAAAACACTATACACTTACATACAGTAACTTGGAGTTTTGTCTCATGTTTCTGAACATTGTTATCATCTTCTCAACCTATTCATTCAACTTCTCTCAGTTCTCACTGTTAATCTAAGCAAGAGAGAGGCTCTCAAAACAAGAGGTATTTATTTGGGAACAGAGAATTGCAATAGGAATATGCATGGCATGGTAAACTATGCATGTATTCAGGCAGGGAAAGGAAGACAAAGATTTTTAAAGAAAAAATGAGAAAGATTATATAATTGTTCTGAAATAATTATCTTTGGCTACGAATATCAATAACAAGAGTGAGAACAGTCAGGTTGGACAGGCAGTTGCTGGGCAGATGTCTTCACAGATGTAGTTTTCATGAAATGGCCTTTGTGCAAGGTTGTGGTTTTTGTAATCTTTTGTGACAGTTTCTGTTATAGACATACATGCATGAAAACCCTCACTTCATGACTTTCCCCAGCTTTGTTAGAGTTTTCTTAACTGACTCCATTTTGATTCTGAAAACTTTCATACCACATTCCTCTTCAGCCTGGCAATTTCTTACCTCTAGCAAGGTTATTCATTCTTTGTGAATGTTCCAATTATTTCCAGGATACTAGAAAACAAATTACAGTAGGCAAACATAATTACTATGAATAAACTCTTTAGGAAAGCAATAGGATGTTCTATATCCAGAATCAAAATTATGTTTGCCCATCATATTTACATCAAGCTAAATCATGTTTACCTTTTACCTATCAAATTCCATGTCTGGGAATTTATTGTGAGAAAATAATTCAAGAGAAGGAAAGGAAGTAATAGGCATGAAGATATGTTATTCAGTTAGATTTTCATATCTCTGTAGCAATTTGAAAATTATTTTCTCTCTAATGTAAAATTTTTTTAATCTAAAACTATGTCTGCACTCATCACATAACAGAAACTACACAAAAATTATGTATGCAAGGTAAAAGGAAATAACAAAGAACATTGTTTTGGGCCATCTTCTCTCAACGGTAGCTTTATTATCTTAGACAAGAACTTCATCCCTCTAAGACCCAGTTTTCTCACCTGTAATATGAATATAATAATAATCAATATCCATTAAGCATTTTCTATGTGCCAGGCACTGTGTGTGCTAAATGCTTTACAGCCCTTGCCTCATTTAATCCTTCAGTGATCCTGTAAACTACTGTTATCTTCTTTTTCCAGATATGGAAATTGAAGCTCAGAGACATGAAGTGACATATCCAAGATCACATAATAAAGAGGAGAGATGGAGAGACGGGAATTGTTTTTTTATTGTTGTTGTTTTTTGGTTTTTGGTTTTTTTTCCTGTTAAAAGCACTTCCCATAAGAGATGGCATTTGATTTCTTCCCAGATGATCTGTGAACCAGGGCTCATAATCACCTGGCTATAGCTGATGGTAATTGTGAAAATTAAAGTTAGGCTGGGCACAGTGGCTCACACCTATAATCCCAGCACTTTGGGAGGACAAGGTGGGCGGATCACCTGAGATCAAGAGTTCGAGACCAGCCTGGCCAATATGGTGAAACACCATCTCTACTAAAAATACAAAAAATTAGCTGGACATAGTGGCAAGTGCCTGTAATCCTGGCTACTTGGGAGACTGAGGTAGGAGAATCACTTGAATCCGGGAGGCGGAGGTTGCAGTGAGCCGAGATCATGCCACTGCATTCCACCCTAGGCGCGATAGAGTAAGACTCCATCTCGAAAAAAAATAATAATAATAAAGTTAATATGTAAAAATCTTTTAGCATATTGTAACTGCTAGATACATATATCTGTTTGCCTTATAGGTAACTGGGTAATTCAAAACACTAGGAATCAGGAGAGAGGATCCCAGAAGGTGCCCAGACGCAGAGGCAGACCAGAAGTTTGGGACCCAGAGAAGAATAATGATAATTAATTTATATTAAGTGCTGACTATGTACTAGACACTGTTCTCATTGTTAACTCATTTAATACTTGTAACAACTCTATGAAGTAGGCAGTATTATTCTCATTTTATAAGTCAGAAAACTAAAGCACAGACAGACTAAGAAACTTGCATGAGATTACATAGTTCATGCAATAAGCTATGTCTGGGAGAAAAATCCTAGGCAATCATGGCTCTAGAGCTCACCTGCTTTGTCACTTTGCTTTAGCTGACTCTGAAAGATTGCACCAACATTCTGCCCCACAATGTGGTCATTTCATAACTCTTTAAAGATTGTGGGTGAATATTTTCCTGCATTTCTTTGGAAGGTCAATGAATGTTGCCACCATAGTGTTTATACGATATCTTTTTTTTTTTTTTTTTGAGATGGAGTTGCTCTTGTCAACTAGGTTGAGTGCAGTGGTGTGATCTCGGCTCACTGCAACCTCCGCCTCCTGGGTTCAGGTGATTCTCCTGTCTCAGCCTCCTGAGTAGCCAGGATTACAGGTGCCCGCCACCACACCCAGCTAAGTTTTGTACTTTTAGTAGAGATGGGGTTTCGCCATGTTGGCCAGGCTGACCTCCTGACCTCAGGTGATCTGTCCGCCTCGGCCTCCCAAAGTGCTGGGATTACAGGTGTGAGCCACTGTGTCCGGCCTGATTTCTTTGAAGAATAAACAAGTTTTAATGAGCAAAGGACTTGAACAGACATTTCTCCAAAAAAAAAAATATATATATATATATATATATACATATATACAAATGGCCAATAATCACATGAGAAGATGCCCAATGTTACTAATCATTAGGAAAATGCAAATCAAAATCACCATGAGATACCACCTCACACACATTAGGATATCTATTATTTAAAAGGAAATGCCAAGAGTTGGTGAACATGTGGAAAAATTGGAACTTTGTGTGCATTGCTGGTGGGAATGTAAAATGTTACAGCCACTGTAGAAAACAGTATGCTAGTTTTTCACCAAAATTAAACATAGAAGTACTATATAATCTGGCAATTCTATTATGGGGTATATATCAAAAAATATGAAAGCAGGAATTTTTTTTCCTTTTTTTATTTTCCAATACAGGGTCTTGCTTGTTGCTTAGGCTGGAGTGCAGTGGGACCATCACGGCTGACTGCAGCCTCCACTTCCTGGGCTCAAGCAGTCCTTCTACTTCAGACTCCTGAGTAGCTGGGACCACAAGTGTGAGCCACCACAACCAGCTAGTTTTTTATATTTTGTAGAAACAAGGTCTAACTATGTTGATCAGACTGGTCTTGAACGCCTGCACTCAAGCAATCCTCCTCCCTCAGCCATCTGGGATTACAGGTGTGAGCCACAATGCCTGGCTTTTTTTAAACAACACCCTCTTGTGCAGGAAAGCAAGTACTTGAATAAATACAGGTACACTATGTTCATATCAGCGTTATCACAATAAAGGTGGAAGCAACCTAATATGGGCTGAATCCTCCCAACAAAATTCATATGTTGAAGTCCTAACACCCAGTTCTTCAAAATGTGGCTGTATTTGGAGATAAAGGAATAATTAAGGCTAAGTGAGATTATTAGGGTAGCCCTAATTCAATATGACTAGTGTTCTTATGAGAAGAGGAAATTAGAACAGACACACAGGGGGAAACCTGTGAAGACACGGAAAAGTTGGCCATCAACAAGCCAAAGAGAAAGGCCTATAAGAAATGAATCCTGTGACACAGATCTGGGACTTCCAATCTCCAGAATTGTGAGAAAACAAATTTCTGTTATTTAAGCCACCCACTCTGTGATACTTTGTTATGACAACCCAAGCAAAGTAAGGCATAACTCAAGTGTCCATTGACAGATGAATAGATAAACAAAAAAGTGGTATATATGTACAATGGAGCATTCTTCAGCCTTATAAAGGACATTCTGATACATGCTACCACATGGATGGACCTTGAAGACATTGGGCTAAGTGAAATAAGCCACTCACAAAAGGACAAATATTTTATGATTCTACTTATATAAGGTACCTAGAGTAGTCAAATCCACGGAAACAAAGTAGAATGGTGGTTACCAGGGCCCAGGGGAAAGGGGACATACAGGTGCGCGCCTGTAGTCCCGTGCGCCGAGATCGCACCACTGCACTTCAGCTTGGGTGACAGAGCGAGACCCTGTCTCAAAAATAAATAAATAAATAAAATAACCATATTAGGTTTCAATTAGGAAAACATAAATCACTCTAGATATTTTAAACAAAGAGAAATTAATACCAGGAATTGGTTATAAAGGTGTTGGAAGGAGAAAAAGAAAAAAAGTCTCCAAAAGATTACCAATTGCAGAAAGTGACTACTAACCCTGGGACTGAAGAAGAGGGAAAATTGTGTCATCCGGGGCCCAGAAACATTGTGCCTCTGAGGCTACCATACCCAGACGTCCGCCCCCGTTGGTGACAGCCTTTGCCTGTACAACCTCTTCTCTCCCCACCCTCCTCAAGAGTCCTCACCCCGACCCTGTGACTCCCAAAGGCATTACCAGAAATGGGGAATAAATGGCTGCTTGCTTTCTCTCACTTTCCAGTCTCCTGCCAGTGCCTCCTGTTGGAAGATCCTAACAGAATAAGCTGAAAAGGATTCTGGGAAATGTAGTTTTCAGGCTTCCAGCCTAGGGGAGAATAGAAGGGCAGGCTGATTGAGGATAGACATTATCCAATCCATAGGCCTTTAAACAAAGTGATCAGGAAAAAAAAAAAAAAAGGAGCAGCAATGTGGGGGGAAAAAATGAAGTTTTAAAACTCACAGGATTACTGTGGACATTTATTACCTTCTATCCAGTCTTTGGTTGAACTGCCCATTACTAATCCATGGGATTATGTGGGGCTATATCACCTCCTATTCCACAGGGGTGGACAAACCACCCAAACACATCAATCCCTGTTTCCTGTCCCCTTGAGCAGTGATTGGGTCACAGGCAGGTATGTGATCCAAGCAGGACTATTCACAGCCAGTTTTAGGAAATGCTGGGGGTAAAAAATATTTCTTACTTTAAGAGATCATGAGCCATAAGGATCCCGTAAGCCTGAAGCTGCTGGATCATATTCCTGCCATGGAAAGAGTGCCTAATTGGGAATATAATGTCAGCTTTTTTAGCCACTGTGTCAACTATGGGTTAGTGTTGGACCTCAAATAAATTTAAAACCCTGAAACAGCTGCTTCTGCTTCTCTCTAAAATTTTATCTTCAAAGCTTTCTCATGTGAAATGTTGCTAATGCAGTTCTCCTCACTCTCACCCGACACAGTGGAATTTTTCTTCACCCTAAATGCAGATTTAACAAGTTCAGTGATTTCCTTGTATAACCTTCTAGAGTTTCACTCAAGAGCTCCCCTCACAATATGGGTCCCTGTACTGTGACCCTATAATTATGTGCCTTGGGAACATCTGTAAATAATTACTTTGGATGGGGTCCAAGCAACTTTCTGCTGAGTTCAGTTGTATACAGAAAGGTGTCTCTGTGACCTGCCAGTATGTTTGTTTCCTTAGCTGCTTAGTGATAACAGGGGTCACCAAAGCCTAAACAAACCGAGAAACCACAGCCTCTCACCCAACCACTAGGTGAAAATTAGAACACCTTGTATGCAACCAAATATTGATGGAGTATCCTATGTCTGCAGTTATCGCTATGGTTTTATATAACTGGAACTCTTTCTGTTGCAGGTAACAAAAACCCAAATCAACCCAGCTGAAGCACAAACGGGAATTTGTTATTTTTTGTAAATGAACATTTTAGGGAAATCCTCAAGTGTGATTAGATCCAGGTGGTCAACTGCCCCTAGCAGGAGTCTCTCTCTCTCTCTCTCTCTCTCTCTCTCCCTCCCTCTCTCATCTCTTAGAAGCCCCTATCTCCTTTATTACTGAGGTTACCATGTTGCAATTCTGTTCAAGCATCTCAGGCAAACACAGTTCTGGTACTTGGTGAGAGCACATCTACAGAGTGATGTGCCATTCAGGAAGTTATTCTTCGAGCAAGAGGTGAAAAAAACTCAAAGGACATAGGTGGTGGCCTACCAAGGATGGAGCCATAGGAGCCATCTGCCTCAGCAGGAAGGAAACTTTTATCCAGTGCTTGATTGTTTAGAGTCACTTGCACTGATGATAATAAAGGGCAGGCTGACTTTTACTTAGGTTTATTATTTTTTAAAGTTACCTACAGACAATGCTCCCTTAATTTCTGCATTAAGTTCGTTGCTCCTACTACCCTGTCTTTGGCTGCACCACTATATATAGTAGTCCCTCCTCTCCCTCAGTACCCCTACTGGAAGAGATTATCAACAACCACAGCTTCACCTACCACCTACTGGCTAGTGCTTCTGAATCTCTCTCTCTCTTCCTTGGTGGGATCATCCAGCTGCCTAAAGCACGTTTCCACTTAAACATCCCACTGTGTCTGATACTGGACTCTACCTCGGCTTCTCCCACTGCAATTCAGATCTCAGAAGATGCATTTATATAACAAGCCATTAAAAGCTGTCAGGAATGTGTGAGATGCATCCTCATCTTTAAGACAAGTCACTAAGGGCCTCCCTCAAACTGCTCCTCTTGGGGGCTTCTCAGAGACAAGGCTCTCTGCTAAACATTCTGTGGGGCTGACTCAATGTGACCTGACATTGACATCAAGTTATTTATTCACAAAACCCCTTTGCAAATATCCAAGACACATGGAGCTTAAGGTTTCCCCCACTGCTTCTCTGACAAGAAAAGGAACACAGCGCAAGTCACGTTCCTCACTTCTCGCCCTTTGTTCCTGCCCGGACTCCTGCCTTCCTGCGAATACATGATGTCCAGGCCTGGAAGATTCATTAAAGAATGCCTGCATAGCTTCCCTAGTGGCCTCCTATGTATAGCTGGGAGGCCCTGAGGCCCACCTGGGGCAGTTGAGGCAGGGCTTGGAGGTAAGGGAGCACCACGGTGTTCAATCATATCTGAAATCTATCTCCATCCTGACCCCTAGACACCAGAATTTCAAGAGAATTATTTAGATTTGTTTCCACGATGCCCCACCTCCAACCCCCAACCCTGACAAAAGTGGTTTGTGCATGATATTAATTAAAATATCTCCCAAATGCCCAACCGTTTCTTTTATATTTACACACTCGCCTATTCTTTCCAACCACCCTTTGAGGGTTGGAAGTTATTTCCCCCACTTTAGAGAAGAGGAAATAAGTCTCAAATAGATTCATAAGACTTGGATGAGATCCCACAGCTGGTGACTGGGGGAACCAGGACAGAAATGTGGATCTGGCACTCCAAGATCTCATGCTATCCTCATGGGCAAGGAGCACTGTCACCACCCTGCATGCGGCTACTCCATTCACAAACGCCTCCCACACTGGCCTGTCCCAGTAATCAAATTACCACCCCTGGAGAGCCATCGCTTTGAGTAACAGTTGCGTTATTATACACTGGCTTGTATAAATTCATTTATCAGATTACCTCCTGAGACTACAGAACCAGGGATGTGGGCCTCTTGCTGGGAAGAAAAGGAAGGCACAGGCAGCCAGCCCTGCATGGAAAGAGGAGGCTTGCAAGGAACGCCCCAATGAGGTCTGAGCCCCTTAGGGCATGGGAATTCCTGGAACAGTATAAGGACCAGCAACAAGACAGTATGTTTGCCTTCTGGCTTGTCTAGAATCTCTATCCTCAAAGAGAGTCAAAATTAGGTGCAGGCATCACCCCCTACCCCTGCTCTGTCTGCATTTACCTGCCTGCAATCTTAAGGCCAACTCTGCTCAGCAGAAGGACAAACTTAAGGAAGGACAAAAGAGATCATATACGAGATTGTAACTTACACTGGTGTTCTTCCCTAAAGCCAATGGCCCATCTGATTCTGTCATGGTTCTAGAGAAGCATCAGTTCTAACCATGTTTTTGGCCATTCATGTATTCATCTGTTTACTCAAACGACATTCCCTGAGCACTCCATGCTGGCTTCACCATCCACACCCTCCAGGCCATCACTGACTTCCCAGCTCCGGTTCCCTAGTGCTCAGCCAGCCCTAGCCTCTTCCTAAAATACCAAACTCCTTGGTTAACTTGACCATAGATTAAAGTTTCTTAACCTAGGACTCATTGACTCTTGGAAGCAATCAATGGAACATTTGCACATTTTTATTTATGACTATGAGGTTTTCTGGGAAACAGCACCTTCGTTGGTTTCATCAATTACCCACAAAGTGACCAATTGCTTAGGTCATTACCACAGCAGTGTTGCAATGTTATTCTTCTGAAGGGGCTTCCAAAAATACAGAATGTACTACAGAATGCAACCCTTCAAGTTTGCAATGATGGGTACTATAAAAGGAATGGGTGCACAAATGAACCAATCGTGTAGTTTTGACTTTATAATAAGTTCATTTTTAAAATGAGGATTAATTTTATTCACATTTGGTAACAAGAAGCTAGAGCTGTCAACACAGACATTTATACATGTCACAAAAACCCTAAAATAGCCCTTGTAGCCAGCCACTAGCTTCCATAAAGCTGATGCCTTAATGGAACCATTCTTCCCTTATTGCAAAAATAGCCTCCACATTGATAAACATGTTGTCAACTGTGGCAAAGAAATGTAGGTTTGGGTTTTTTTTAAATAGTAATACTGCTGTTTTGTAGGAAGAACTGTTTACATTATATTTTCAGATTAATATTAGATTGGTATATTTTAAGTAGAATTTTGAAGGGTGAGAGCGGGTTTTCCTCTGTAGAAGTAAGATTAATTCACACTCTTTTAAAGAAATGAATCCAATCTGGTGTGATAGCTTTCCTGCTGTTTGCTAGCTGCATTGAGGGTTTTAGCAGTTAATTTGGAATCCCAACAAAATCATAGCAAGCAAAATAACATTCAACACTTTATATGCAGAGAAATTTGTGATATTATCTGTACTTAACTACTTTGCCCCTCTCCCTTCACTTTTCTTTCTTCCCTGATAATTTTCTGAGCTCAGAGCAGGGAATCTACTCTCAGCCAGCTTAAAATGCTTGATATCCTGAATAACCATAAAGTAATTATTGAGTGACTACTGTATGCCTTGAGTTGCACTGGGCTTTATTGGAGGTACTTTAGGAAAGGCAGTACTTCTCTCTAGGGAATTGGTGCCACATATGAGATAAATAGAAAGCAATGTAATTTAATATCTAATTAAGTACTAAATTGTGAAGTGTTGACTCAAAGTGCTATTCAAATTTAGAGAACAGAGATGGTTTGATTCTTGGGACAGATTTGAAGTAAAGGTAAAAATTAGGTTAGATCTTGAAAGAAGATGGTAGTGATAATACTAAAACCAGTACCATTAATAGAAAATAAAGTACCAATTTTTACAACCTACTATATGTCAGCAACCACTTTGTATGAGTAATCTCATTTAATCTTCAGAACTACCCATTTCACAGATGAAGGAACAAGCTCAGAGAGGTTAACAACCTTCGCCAGTGAGGAATCAGGTTTGTCTGCAACCTAAACACATCATGTTCTTTCCAGCACACTCCACATACCACCTCCCCAAGATGTGGACAACAGCACTCTTCCTCTTCTCTTAATGAAAATTGTCTTTTAATGATTTGGAATTGTAAAACTAAATAAAATTCAAGAAGAGCCATCCCCTGGCTGCACCTAGACTGTCAAATGGTAGACTTGGTTTCTTAGCTGACTTGGGGAAGCTTTGGTCATTCATTTGGTTCAAAGTGTGCCCTAAATCCCTGAAGGAGTGGAGTGAGAAGTAGGGGACTAGAAAGAAAACTAGGAACTAGAAACTAAAGTTGGGAGGCCAAAAGGAAAGTCCTCACTCCCAAAGTAGGAGGAGGCAAGCAAATGTTTAGCTTTCTAAGAGACTTGACCTTATGCTAAGGAACTCCAGGTAAAGAAAAGGGACCCCAATGAAGTCACATGGATGCCTGGGAAGCCAAGTCTACATGCTGTTATACCTAGAATCACAGGTCATGCAATTTAGTTTCACTGTAGGGTATGTGATACCCAGCCTCCAAGATGGCCCCAGTGACCCCACTTCCTGGATTCAGACTTTTAGGTTATAAAAGACTTCTAAGGCTCTTCTCTGTCTCTCTCTGTCCCTCTCTCTGTATCTCTCTCTTTCTCTCTCTCCCCTCCCCTCCCTTTCCCTCTTCTCTTCTTCTCTTCTCTTTTCTCTTCTCTTCTCTCTTCTCTTCTCTCTCTCTCTCCCCTCCCCTGCCTTTTCCTCTTCTCTTCTCTTCTCTTTCTTTCTCTCTCTCTTCCCTCCCCTCCCTTTCCCTCTTCACTTTTCTTTCTCTCTCTCCCCTCCCCTCCCTTTCCCTCTCCTCTTCTCTTCTCTTTCCTCTCCTCTCCTCTCCTTTCTCTCTCTCTCATCTCTCACATTAGCAGAAGCCAGTTACCATGTTATGAGCAGCCCTATGGAGAAGCCATGTGGTAAGAAACTGAAGCTTCTCAACAACCACATGTGGGAGCTTGGAAGCAGATTCTGCAACCTGAGTTAATCCTTAAGACAACTGGCCCAGGTTACACCTTGAATGCAACCTCATGAGAGATCCTGAGCCAGAACAACCCAGCTAAGGTGTGCCTGGATTTCTGACTTCAGAAATAATAGAGATAATAAGTATTTGTTGTGTTAAGCTGCTAAATTTTTTATTAGATCTTAGTAAGCTAATACAGGGTAGGATGGGCCTTAACAATCAGATAGGAGAGCTGCTCTTGACAAATATAGCTCAATGGAAGAAAATGAGCTCTGTGAGTCTCTTTCTCATGCTCCTGTTTCATGCTTCTATAGAGGCTATTCCTTCTGTCTGGGGCATCTTCCTCTACCTGTCTACCTGTCTGCCTTGCAGGTGTGGCCTCAAATATTACATCCTATAGAAGTCTCCTCTGATCTCTCCTCAGCTGGATAGTTCCTCTGTCTTCTAGGATCCCTCTGCTTCTCCCCACACCAGGCTTTCTTTTATCACAGCCACGATTTGTTAGGACTCATTTACCTGTCTGTCCACCCCACAAAAATGTGAGCAACATGAGGGCAGGGCTAATCCCAGCATCTAGCTAGATACCTGGCATGTAGTGGGTGCCCAGAAAAGTATGGGTGGATTTCCAGGAGCTCAGAGCCAAGGAAAGAACCTGGAGAAGAAAAGCAACTGCAAAGCAAAGGATGACTGGCTTGAAGAGTAAGAAGAGGATTTTGGGGCTACACAGAAAAGGAACTTCCCCTCAGAAAAGCCACGGTCCAGCACGGGGGTCAAGGCACACAGGCCACCTGCCTCAGGACAGAAACACAATTCACACTGGGCTGAGGAGGGTGACTTGGGGCCCATAGCTAGACATGAGATCAGAAATTAGCTCTGGACAAGACGCAGCACCCAGCCAGGCCTTGATGTTATGCCAACCCAATCGACCTTGACCTAAAAGCCAAGCTATATTTAATTAGGAGCCAGACAGAGCTGCCATCAGGGAAAGGAGCCCAGGGCCAGGTGTGTGATCAGCAGGGTCAGCTAGTCTAACCTGGGACTAGGCTTTGGTTAATCATAAACTAGGTTTCTAGAAGACGCTCAGGTGTAAGGCAAGGGTGGAGGGGATCAGCATGCAGGCGTTTTCCATTTGTTTCCTTTTTAAGATTTAATTTGGGAAAACTTGGTTCAAACTCAGAGAAAAAGGATATTTTTCACATCTTCATCAAGACACATGGAGAGGGAAGGAGAGGATTGAAATTATCTTGGATTCCAGTACCTCCGTATTTAACCTGGAACTGCACAAATACCCTAAAAAATCCAGGTATGTCAGGTCATTATCACCAACAGCAGCCGCAGCAGCAGAACACTAGTAGTCCGAAATCAAAGTTTGATGGTGAGTTTATTATGGTTGCATCTCTTAGTCCCAGGTAGGGAGACTGTCCAAATGGGATATGCTCTGTTATTATCAATCACTTCCTCCAGCAAGTCAACCCCCACACGATTAACCCAGCCCAACTCCAATCACCACCTTCAAACCTCAGAACTTATGTACATTTATATCCCTCACCAGGCTCTGTTTTGAGAAAATGGGTTTGTATTTACACTCTGTTTTAGCTAGAGAACTTTAGGAACAAGAGAAACCCAGTTGTAAATGTTTTCCTGTTTGCCACTTGTTTTTACTTTGCACATGGTATTTTTTTGCCATTCAGAAAATTTTCATTTCTATTATCAGATTAATTAATCTTTTCTTTTATGCTATCTAGGTTTTGTGCCATGTTTAAACATGCCTTCCTCATCCTAAAGTTATATATTTTTTAGAGTCTCACATGTTTTCTTCTAAATTTTTTATGGTTTCATTTTTTAAATCAACTTTATTGAGGTATAAATTACATACGATAAAATGCACCTGTTTCAAGTATACACTCCAGTGAGTTTTGACAAATATATACAGCCAAGTAATGCATTATAAGTAAGAGCAGTCCCATCCCCTTAACAAGTCTCCATCCGTTGCCGGGCGCGGTGGCTCACACCTGTAATCCCAGCACTTTGGGAGGCTGAGGCAGGTGGATCACTTGAGGTCTGGTGCTTGAGACCAGCCTGACCAACATGGTGAAATCCTGTCTCTACTAAAAATACAAACATTAGCTGGGTGTGGTGGCAAGTGTCTGTAATCCCAGCTACTCGGGAGGCTGAGGTAGGAGAATCACTTGAACCTGGAGGCAGAGGTTGCAGTGAGCCAAGATCGCGCCATTGCACTCCAGCCAGGGTGACAAGAGCAAAACTCCAACTCAAAAAAAAAAAAAAAACAAGTCTCCAACCCTTTATACTCAATCACCACCCCACCCTCACTCCTAGGCAACCATGGATCTGCTTTCTTTCCTTTTAGATTCGTTTCGCTTGTTCTAGAATGTCATGCAGAATTGTACAGTATGTGTTTTGTATCCAGCTTCCTTCACTAAACCTAATGTCTGTGAGGTTCATCTATGTTATTATGTGTATCATCTTTCTTTTTTATTGTTGAGTAGTATTTCATTGTATGGATAAACCACAATTTACTTGTCCCTTCACTTGTTGGATATTTTCTAGTTTTGGATTATTATGAATAAATCTGCTTGGCTTCACTTCGTTTTGTTTCTTTATTTTCTGATGGCTTACTTTTTTAAAATACTTTATTTTTCAGAGCAGTTTTAGGTTCACAGCATAACTGATGAGAAAGTACAGAGTTCCCACATACGTCCCGCTGCCACATGTGCATAGCCTACCCCATGATCAACATTCCTCCTGCACCACAGTTGCATATTTGTTAAAATCTGTGAACCTTTAGTGACATGTCATTGTCAATTCAAAGTTCATAGTTTGCATTGGGGTTTAGTCTTGGTGTTGTACACTCTATGGATTTTGACAAATACATAATGACATGTATCCACCATTATAGATTCATAGAGAATAGTTTCACTGCCTTAAAAATCCTCTCTGCTCCAGTAAAACAAACTACCAACAGAGTAAATAGACAACCTACAGAACAGGAGAAAATATCTGCAAACCACGCATCCAACAAATTGGATCCAGCAAATCCAAAAGATTCTGCATCCAGAATCTATAAGGAACTTAAATCAACAAACAAAAAACAAATAATCTCACTAAAAAGTGAGCAAAGGGCATGAACACACTTCTGAAAAGAAGACATACAAGCTCCACCAAACATGTCAGAAAATGCTCAGCATTACTAATCATCAGAGAGATGCAAATCAAAACCACAATGAGACACCATCTCACAACAGTCAGAATGGCGACTATTAAAAAGTCAAAAAATAACAAATGTTGGCAAGGTTGCAGAGAAAAAGTAGTGCTTATACACTGTTGCTGAGAATGTAAACTAGTTGAGCAACTGTGGAAAGCAGTTTGGAGATTTCTTAAAGAACTTAAAACAGAACCACCTTTTGACCCAGCAATCCCACTACTGGGTCTATACTCAAGGAAAATAATTTATTCAATCAAAAAGACACATGCACTTGTATGTTCATTGCAGTATTATTTACAATAGCAAAGACATGGAATCAACCCAAGTGCCTATCAAGAGTGGACTAAAGAAAATGTGGTACATATACATCATGGCATAGCATGAGCCATAAAAAAGAACAAAATTATGTCTTTTGCGGCAACATGGATGCAGCTAGAAGCCATTATTCTAAATAAATTAATACAAAAACAAAACAAAATAACACATATTCTCACTTATAAATGGCAGCTAAACACTGGGGACACACTGAGACAAAGATGGGAACAATAGGCACTGGGGACTCCAAAAGGGGAGAGGGAGGGAGAAGAGCAGGGGTTGAAAAACTGCATGTTCACTATTTGGGTGACAGGATTAATAGAAGCCCAAACCTCAGCATCATGCGATATATTCGTGTAACAAATGTGTGCATGTACCCCCAAATCTAAAATTTAAAAGAAATCAAGTATCTAATAAACAACATATCTCATCCATATCTCATCCTCTGTTCTCTGCCTAGTCATCCTTTGCTCTCCCCAACTCCTAGCAACTACTGATCTTTTTACTGTCTTCATAGTTTTGCCTTTCCAAGAATGCCATATAGTTGGAATTATCTAAGATGTAGTACTTTCAGATTGGCTTCTTTCACTTAATGATATGCACTTAAGTCTCCTCCATGTCTTTTCATGGCTTGATAGTGGGTATCTTTTTACTGCTGAATAATATTCCACTGTATGGAAGTACCTCCATAGTTTATTTATCCATTCACATACAGAAGGGCATCTTGGTTGCTTCCAAGTTTGGACAATTATGAATAAAGCTATTATAAACATCCATGTGCAGGTTTTGTGTGGACATAATTTTGTAGTTCATTTGGATAAACAGGACATAGTAGAAGTAACTTTAGTTTGTAAGAAACTGTCCAACTATCTTCCAAAGTGGCTGTGCAATTTTGCATTCCCACTGGCAGTAAATGAGAGTTCCTATTGCTCCATGTCCTCACCAGCATTTTGTATTGTCAGTGTTTTCGATTTTGGCCATCCTAATGGGTGTGTAATGGTATCTCATTGCTGTTTTAATTTGCAATTCCCTAATGACATAAGATGTTGAACATCTTTTCACATGCTTATTTGGCATCTGTGTATCTTCTTTAGTGAGATGACCAGGTCTTTTGCCCATTTTTAAAATCAGATTGTTTATTTTCTTATTGTTGAGTTTTAAGAGTTCTTTGTATATTTTGGATAACAGTCTTTTTCAGATATGTTTTGCAAATATTTTGTCCTAGGCTGTGACTTGTCTTCTTACCTTCATGACTTGGCTTCACTTTTTTATTTAAATCTTTGATCCACCTGGAAATTATTTTGATCTAAAGAATGAGGTTAGGAATCCAGGTATTGTTTGGTTTTTATAGATATGCTAATTCAGTTATCTCAACATGACTTATTGAATAATTTATCTTCCCCCAGTGATTTGAAATGCCACTTTCATGCTAAATTTTCATATGTACTTAGATCTAAAAAACAGAATGCTTTTTAAAGTCTGTATTTTGTGGTTACTTAAAATAGAGGGCACCTATATATACCTAACATTATAAACCACTGTTGTGTAACTGCATTGGGCTGGGATTTCCCCAAGGACTTATTGGGGACTCCATGAGAACAGAGGCCATTAGCCTGGGAGCTCCTTGAACTTGTCTACTCTCTCAAACTGACCATTCCCTAAGGGCAGGAATCCAACTGTACCTATAAAGAGGCCTTCCCACAAAAAGACATTCCTTCCCCCATTAGATAAAAGGGCCCTTTTGCTTCTGTGAAGATGAGAATGCCAAAGGCAGAGGCTGTGGCCTCTGTATCATCTCCACAAATCACTGGATACCTGCCTGGAATACTGGCCATTCTCTCCTCTTTATTGATTGTCTCTCCACTTCTTAAAACTGTGTTCCTGGCCTCAGGGCCTTCTGAAGAGAGGGTGGCAATGTGTGTTGTGGACCAAGTAAAAGTGATGACCACCTCTGTTTGGTGTCCAGAGCTGACATTCCTCCTGGACAGCAGAAAAACACTTGGGGATAGAGGGTTGCCTTCCCTTCAAAGTCAGGCCTCTCAGGAAGTCAGGTTCCTTACTTCTTGGCCAGCTCAGTGGTCTGGGCAGGAAGAAAAGGTCTTCAGCTTCGTGACCTCTGCATGTCCCATTCCTCACCTCCTCCAGAACTGTTTTGCTTTCCTCTGCATTGCCAGCTGCTGCCCTCCCCACCCTGGGCTTCTCCTTCCTTTTGAATGTTTTATTTTCCTTTTCATAAAAGATAAGTTTGCAGCTTTCCTTAAGAGATCAGGATGGAGTTGAGCAGAGAGTCCTCTAGGTGGAGTAGTTATCTATGGAGACACAAAGAAGGGGATGTTGATGAAACCCTCAGTATCATCAGTGAGGGTTTCATCAATATCCCCTTCTTTGTCTCACCACAGATAACTACTCAGGAACCTGAATTGGGGGAGTTTTAGTATTTTCAAGAATTCCACATGTCAAAGTTACTCACTGCTGCCCAGACTTTGTGTTAGCAAAAATTCATTATTATTATTTCATAAGGAATAAATTAATAAAACATGCAATTAAATGTTCCCTTTTAGCAACTCTATATCATTAAGGCCTGCAGGCTCAGGTCTCCACTGATGAGCTTGCTCCGCAGGCAGATCTGAGACAGAGGCTCAGCTGCTCAGGTGAGATGGGGCAGCCAGCAGCCCTCCGCTGAGCCCCACAGTAAGCAGTGGAGGGAGAGACTAGCGCAGAGGACAGAAGGGCACTAAGGGATGTCAGGGAGGGGTTGGGAGGTTGGAGGGTGCATTTCCAGCTCTGATACTCACCACTGTTTTCACTAGAGTCTCTGTTTCTTCATATCTAAGATGATGGTGGCAATTCCCTCTCACATGATTGTCATGAGGATGAAATGAAGCTGCATATAAAGCAGGTATCTGGCATATAGGGACTTGAATGGCACTTACTATTCCAATCAAGTCATCCAAGACTCATTACAGTGGCCTTGTTGTAGTCATGGAAAGTGTTCATAGATTAGCACCTCATACTGCAATGATGAATTTGGGTTGATAATTATTTTACTTTATTTTATTTTATTTTTTTGAGAGGCAGAGTCTCACTCTGTCACCCAGGCTGGAGTGCAATGGCACAATCTCGGCTCACTGCAACCTGCGCCTCCCGGGTTCAAGTGATTCTCTGCCTCAGCCTCCCAAGTAGCTGGGATTACAGGCACATGCCACCACACCCAGATAATCTGTTGTATTTTTAGTAGAGACGGGGTTTCACCGTGTTAGCCAGGATGGTCTCGATCTCCTGACCTTGTGAACCTCCCACCTCGGCCTCCCAAAGTGATAATTATATTTTTATAAAAGATGCCATGCATTTTCTCTTTTTGTTTGTTCTTGATTGACTAAAACAGCAGAAGGTGCCATGTACTTTCTTCCTCATCCCCACCCACTTACTCTCCCCCTTATCTTTGGCCCTCCATCTAGCAGAAAATCTGTATTCCTCTATGAGTACTCTAAGCCACACCTACAATCGCCCTAATCTAACATGACTGATGTCCTTATAAGAAGAGGAGACTGGAACACAGATACACACTGACAGACAACCATGTGGCAGGGTCCCAATGAGAAGGCAGCCATCTGCAAGCTAAGGAGCAAGACCTTAGAAGAAACCAAGCCTCCCAAAATGTCCATCTTGGGCTTCTAGCCTCCAAAACTGTAAGCAAATTTCTGTTGGTGGAGCTACCTGATCTGTGGTACTTTTTGTTATGGCAGCTCCAGCAAACTCATACTACCCACCTCTTCACGTGGCTGGCTCCTTCTTATTCTCTGTTTTCAGCATGAATGTCATATCCTCAGAGAGTGTGCCCCTAACCACTCGGTCTAAACAACACCCTCCTCTCATTTGTTTTTCCATAAAATTGTTTACATTGTAAAATTATTTTACTTACTGACCAGTGTATTGTCTGTTTTACAATAGAATATAACTTCAGCGACAGCTGTCACCTTGTCTGTCTTACTGCTCTGCTAGGACAGTACTTGGCACAGGGTAGGCATGTGGAAAAATATTTCTTGGATGTCCATGTTGCCAAGTGCCAATGAAGCTACAGAGACAAATATGAGATGGCTCCCAGCCTGGGACAGCACAGTGCCTTTCGTATGCCAGGAATCTTGGCACTCAGGGAGTACATGAGCCCAAGGTGTGGACAGAACGGGGTCTGGTGAGGTCAGCCCAGAGCTGCGGAGGCCTAAAGTAGGGGAGAGAGATTTTCCAGAGGGAGGCATATCTGAAAGCCCAAAAGAATGAAACAACTGTGTGAGTATGAACAACAGCAGCAGCTCAGCAGGCCTAGAGTAACTTGTGCTTGTTCAAGGCAGGAGGGTGGGAGGGAGAGGTAGACACGGATTTCACCATGAAAGGCTTGAGTGCCAAGCTAAGGGATTTGAACTTTCTTTTATCTATTCCCACCCCTCCTCTCCCTTATAAGTAGAAAAATGAATAAATTCAACCTACAAGGTTTATCTCATATACTTATATGTGAGATAATATGTTATGTAAAAGCATCCACCAATAGGTCAGATACCTAGCTGATAAAAATCAGTTGAATAAAAGTTAGTTGCATAACTGTCAATAGACATTTTCTTTCTTAGACCCAAATGGATGGTGGACAATTTCTCACCCACAGTTACAATTGTACCAACTTATCACTTATTCAGTTATCTACCTATTACATACACACATTTAGCAATCACTTCATTCCATTTTCACATCCTCTCTTTGTCCTTATAAGGGTGGAGTTGTACACACACTTAATTTAAGGAATCAAATTACATGAGCAGTAGATGCACTCAAACCTGAAACGATGCTACAGTTCAGCTAAAATCATCATTTCTGATTTAATTCCATTGTTCAGAGAACATCATTTGTGTGACTTGGGCCCTTTTAAATTTTTTGAGATGTGTTCTGTGGTTCAGAATATGGTCTATCTGGTAAATGCTCCATGTACACCTGAAAGGAATGTGAATTCTGCTGCCGTTGAGAGAAGTGTTCTATAAATGTTAATTAGGAGACATTGGTGGATAGTATTGTTCAAAGCTAGTATATCTTTGCTGATATGGTCTGTCTACTTGTTCTATGACAGAAGGGTATTAAAATCTCTGACTATGGTTGCAGACAGAATTTACAGTTCTATCAGTATTCACTATGTGTATTTTGTAGCTCTGTTATTGTATAAATAAATATTTAGAATTATTCTATCCTCTTGATGAACTAATTCTTTATCATTATGAAATGACATTCTCTACTGCTGGTAATATTATTTGCTCTGAAATGTATTTCGTCTAACATTTATACAGCTACTCCTGCTCTCTTTTGACTACTGTTACCATGGCATATATTTTTCTGTCTTTTTACTTTTGACATGATTGTGTCTTTATATTTCAATGTGGTTTCTTACAGGCAGCATATAATTGGATCTTGCTTTTTGGTCCTATTTGAATATCTCCTCCTTTTGATTGAGATGTTTAGGTCATTTACTTTTAATATGATTATCTATATAGTTAGGTTTAATTCTGTCATCTTGATATTTGTTTTCTATTTGGCCCATTTGTTCTTTGTGGCCTTTCCGTCTTTTCTTGTCTTTTATTTGATTGTGTATTTTTTTATGATTCAATTTTACCTTCTTTGCTGGATGTTAGCTATAACTCTGTTATGTTACTGGGTACTTTAGGGTTTATAGTATACATCTTTAACTTATCACAGTTCACTTCAAGTGATACTATACTTCACACATAGCAAAGAAACATACAATAGTATTTTTGGGTCACATTTTCCTGCTTCTTTGAATGGATGCCAGACATTATAAATTTTATTTTGTTGGGTACTGGGATATTTTTGTATTCAATAAAATACAAAATACATCCCTTTGGTCTGGGATGCATTAAATTGCACACAGTTTAATTCTTTCACATTTCACTTTAAAGATTTATTAGGCAGGATTAGAGCAGTGTTTAATCTAGGGCTAATTCTTCCCTACCGGTGAGGCAAGACCCTTCTGAGTACTCTACTTAATGCCCCATGATTTTTGAGATTTTTCATTCTACCTGATGGGAATAGGCACTATTCCTGGCCCTGTGTGAATGCTACAAACTATCCCTCCTCATTCTTTGAAGAGGATCTTTTCCTCCCTCAGGTAGTTTCCTCACATGCATGCACTCATCAGTACTTAGCCAAAATGTCAAATAAAACTGTCAATACCTGGGGTTCTTGGTACTCTGACACACAAATCCTAACAGCCTGGTCTCCCTAGACTCTCAACTGCATGTCCTCAATCCAAGATGTCTGTTCCTGCCAGGCTCTGCCTGGTTCCCGTCTTCCTGTGCTGTGGCTTGGAAACTCTCTCCAGGTAATAAGCTGTTGCAATTTGACTTGCTTTGTTTCGCATCTCTCAGGAATCACTGTGTTTCATTACCCAGGTGTCTTAAAAACCATATATATACACGTGTCTATATATACATATATGTACTTATATATACGTATATATAAATATATGTATATGTATATATATCCTGGGTGTTTTTGTTGTTGTTTTGTTTGTTGTTTGGTTGGTTTGAGACCGGGTCTTGCTGTTGCCCAGGCTGGACTGCAGTGGCATGATCATGGCTCACTGCATCCTCAAACACCTGGGCTCAAGCCATCCTCCCACCTCAGCCTCCCAAGTAGCTGGGACTATAGGTGTGCATCACCATGCCTGGCTAATTTTTTATTTTTTGTAGAGATGAGGGCTTACTATGTTGCCCAGGCTGGTCTCAAACTGCTGGGCTCAAGTGATCCTCCTACCTTGGCCTCCCAAAGTGCTGGGACTGGTTTTTAATGTTATCTCTGATCTTATTACTCCATCCTGTTTGGAAACGAAAGCCTTACTCAGCCAAAATTATGAAAAAACTGTGAAAACAATTTTAAGTATTTCACAATCAATGACAGAATGAAAGACAAACTATTTAGCTGTGGCCAAGAAATTGAGTGGCAATGGTTTCATTGACATCTTGGAAGAAGATACTAGAAGATTCATTGAAGAGCAGAGATAAATATTAGTACAAAAAAAGAGTATCTCCTACTTCTGGGAGATTTCTAGGCTTTTCAGAGGTAATTCTGACTATAAGTTGTGGGGCTTTCCCTTCCAGCACTTATCTTTGACCCTGACCCAAGCACAATGAGACTCTTCTGCACTGTTCTCCATTTCCTACCTGTTCACCCAACTATTAAGCAGATTAAGAGGGGATGGCTTTTAAAAGTAGAGGCTGGAGAAGCCAAAAAGTTGCTGAACTGGTTCTCTTAACCCCAGGCTGTAAAATGAAGCTGTTATCACCCCCTTCGTTACTAAATATTTGTCAGATGCTGCCTCTAACAGCCGTGCTGCCAAACCAGAAGTCTATCCTTTCAACTAATGGCTCTTGACCCCAGATGCTGACCCAGTGCTAACATTGTGCCAGGTACTGTAGAGGAGAAAAAATATCAATCACTTTTTGACTTTGGGGAGGGCTCAGAGACCCAAGGTGGCACCTATGAAACCATTAAAGACAGTCCAAGGGCAAATTACAGATTTTCCTCTTCAGACTGCAAAGGCCAACTGGGTACCCAGCACAGTAAATGTAGAGACCCCACCAACATCATGATACCTTGTGTCAAAAATTTCCTAAAGCCAGAGATAAAAAAATATATATCCTAAAGGTTTTGGGGAAGATGGAACAAGAAAAATGGGGAATAAGAAAATGGAGTAAGAAAGCTAAATCTGCATTTATTATAACCAGAAATGTAATAAATAATATCTGAATTTAAGAAATTCAAAAAAACATCATACACTACTACTGTTGAGAACTACAGAACTAAAGAAAGAGGAAAAAGTTGAATGTGGTTACTTCTAGGTACAAAAATGTGGAGATAGAAAAAAAATGGGGTGGGGGTCTGATGTTTTTCCTTATAACTTCTCCAGTACTACACATTTACTTTTTTATAACCATGTGCATCACCTGTAATTTTTTTTATTGTGGTAAAATATATACATATAATATAACGTTTATCATTTTCATCATTTTTGAGTATATAATTCAGTGGCATTAAGTACATTCACATTGTACTGCAGCCATTATCAATATCCATTTCTGGAACTTTTTAATAATTCCAAATGGAAACCCAAACCCATTAAACAATAGCTCTCCATTTTCTCCTCCCCACAGCCCATAGAAACCACTATTTCTTTGTATGAATTTGACTATTCTAGGTACCTCACATAAGTGGAATCATTACAATATTTGTCCTTTTGTGTCTGATTTATTTCACTTGGCATAATGTTTTAGTTTCATCCATGTTGTAGCCGGGGTCAGAATTTCCTTTCTTTTTAAGGTTGAATAACATCCATTGTATGTATGTACAACATATTGTGTATCCATTCACCTGCTGATGGACATGTTGACAAGTTGTTTCCCTCTTTGAGCTATTGTAAATAATGTTGTTATGAACATTGATGTGCAAGTATCTGTTGGAATCTCTGTTTTCAATTCTTTTGGGTGTAGACCAAGAAGTGGAATTGCTAGGTCATACAGTAATTCTATGTTTAACTTTTTAAGAAACTGTGATACAGTTTTTCACAACAGCTGCACCATTTTACACTCCCAGCAGCAATATGCACGAGTTTCCAATTTCTCCACATCCTGGTCAATACTCTTGTATCTTCTGGGTTTTTTAAAATATGCACATTTGTTTATAGCCATCCTAATGAGTGTGAAGTAGTATCTCATTATGGTTTTGATATATGTTTCCCTAATGATTAGTAATGTTAAGCATCTTTTTATGGGCTTATTGCCATTTGTATCTCTTCTTTGGATAAATGTGAATTCAAGTCCTTTGCCCATTTTTGGATTGGTTGTTTGTTTTTATTATTTTTTCAATAAAAACAAGGAGTTAATGTTAAAAGCAAGATCTAAATGCCAACATGGAAGCTGAGTTTCAAAGCAGTGGCTCTTGATGAGGCCCCTAGATCGGTTCCTAAATGGGAAGCAGGGTACTACTCTATTACCACAGTGTTGAAGAACTAGGCATGTCCATGCAAAATAAAAAAAGTGTGTTACACCCTCTTCTCAATGAAATCTACATATTTCTTTGCAAGGCCTTCCCTGTCTTCTAATACCCTTCTCCTGAAATATAAGAAAAATCATGTTTGTTTGTTTGTTTGTTCATGGCTCCTGGGACACTGTCCTGAGAAATACAAGGAAAATGTTGATTCACTATGGGGAAAATCCCTTTTTACAAGTAAAGCTTCTTATCTAGCCCCAGTACTACTTCTGTATGCTTGCCACCATTGTATCTAAGAACCATTAAACATTATTGATTCAACCTCATTCTTGTTGGAAAAAAAAAAAGAAAAAGAAAAATTTTTGAATACACAGAGTGGCTGATAGGAGTGGCAGCTCCAAAAGGAGATTAAGTCCGCATTAGGGAACAATTGCCCTCATGACTTTTCATCTGGAGCTCAGATATAAGTGAACATTTTGTCTTCTTGGGCACCAGTTTCTCGTTGTTGGGGGTGGTGGCGGTGATTGCAGGAACTACAGCTTACATTTTCAATCAACAAAGAAAACTATTGAAATGGTGTAGAATAGAAGGCAAGAGTGTAGACTTTGGAGCCAAACTGCCCATGTTTCCATCCCAGCTCAGTGACATTCTAGCTAAGTCACCTTAACAAATTCCCTGACCTCTCAGTTTCCTCATCTGTAAAATGGCACCTCATTAGGTTGTAGAGAAGATTAAATACTGGCAAAGGGCTTGCAACAATGCCTCTAAGTGTTGTATAAATCTGAAGCACTTTGAGATAATCACCAGCTTGGCACGGAGAGTACCCAGAAAAACATTTACCCAACTGTTGGGATTCCCCTGAGGAGTGGGATTTAGGAAGAGAGGTTGATGGGAGGATTTTAATTTCTATCTCATGCACCTTTGTACTCTCTGAATTTACTAGTTTTTACTAAAAGTAAAATGAAGAAAAAAATTAAGATAGCATATGGCTAAGAGAATATGAACAAATCTCTTCCAATCTCCCACTAAAATAGTGAAGAAGACATAGAAATAAAATAAATAAGGATAAATAATAGAAATAAAATCAATAAAAATTTTAAAAAATAAGGAATTTTTTTTTGACCCTGGATGCTGACCCAGTGCTAACATTGTGCCAGGTACTGCAGGGAAGAAAAAATGTCAAGCACACTTTTTGGCTTTTCCGAAAAGCCACAGGAATTTTCTGAACCCACAAGACCAATAGAGGCCAAGGTGTAGGGGTTGGGGAGGATGACATCAGTGGTCCATCTAAGCTCTACTCCACCATAGGTATTAACAACTTTTCTTCGGCTTATTAGCAATTAAAAGTTGAGACCAGTACTAACCCGGAAATCTAGTCCCCTTTACTTCATAATGAGTTTGCTTGTTTGTTTTGAGGCTGGCATTGGGTTGAGAACACACTGATGGTGAAGATCCCTTTCTCTTTATTCAATAAGAAACTACAACTCCCAGAAGGCCCCTCAGCAGGAATAGGTGGTGGGAGGAGGTGAAGATGCATCTAATACCAAAGCGTGGTCTTAGTCCCACCCACCCTGCCCTAACGACTTTCTTCTGGAAGCATGTTTGTGCAAGGGCCACGGGCTCCAGAAACCTCACGTTTGTACTGATCTTGATGGAACCACTTGAAGAAGCATTCGAAGAAACACGAATGAGGGGGAAGGTTATAAAAGAGTGGGCAGATCACGCTTGCACCTCAGCAACTCAACCCTGGAATCCCAGCAAGGATGACGACTAAGGCAACCACACCCGAGGGGGCGGTCCCCAGGGATACCAGCCAGAATGTGCAGAGGGCAGAGTCGACTTCCACGGTGGCTTCTGAATGAGGTTCAAAAAGAACCCATCACATTAGGAACTGTCATTACACATAGAAATAACTCTTATTGCACATAAGAACTCTGGCTCCCTCCTTACCAGTTTCAGAAACTTCATTAAGTGTAATTACTATGGCATTCACTATATCAAAAACATGAGCTACAGCTATTGTCTTAAATGAAATACACCTAAAATGGTGCAGCCACTTTGGAAAAGATTGGCAGCACCCCAGAAGGTTAAACATAGGGTTATGTAACCCAGCAGTTCCACTCCTAGGTATATGCCCAAGAGAATTGAAAACATATGCCCATAATAAAGCTTGTACAAGAATGTTCATAGCAGCATTATTCATATAAACGGATAACAAACAAGCAGAAACAATCCAAAGAGCCATCAATTGAGAATGGATAAACAAAATTGATATATACATAAAATGGAATGTTATCAGTCATAAAAGGGAGTGAAGTACTGAAAAACACTGCAACATGAATGAACCTCAAAAACACTATGTTTAGTGAAAGAAATTGGATACAAAAATGCCTCATATTGTATGATTCATTTGTATGAAATGTCCAGAATAGGCAAAACCAAAGAGTTAGAAAGTAGATTAGCCAGGAGATAAAAGAGGGAAATGGAAGTGACTGCTAAAAGGTACAGGGTCAGTTTTTGGGTAAGAAAAATATTCTGGAATTAGGTAGTGGTGATGATTGCATAACCTTGAAATATACTAAAAACCACTAAATCATACACTTTAAGTTGATGAATTTTATGGTATGTGAATTGTATTTTGATAAAGCTGGTATAAGAGAGAAATAGCCCTCAAATGTTAACGCAGTGTGTTTTTGGAAAGTATGGCTAGGAGTGCCCCAATTTTTATTTCTACTTTTCTGTTTTTGACAAATTTTGTCAAGTTTTCCCCTTCTGATGGCAGCTTGTTTACCAACTGAAGCTATGGAGTCAGACAGACTGGTGGATTCAAATCCAAGCTCCCCTTGGATGAACTGGGTAATCATGACCAAGTCACTTACTTATTCTAAACACAGTTTTCTCATGTGAAATTAAGGGGATTATATCACTTATCTCATAGGGTAGTTGTGAGAGTTTAATGATAAAATGTTATAGCTGGGCATGGTGTTGTGTGGCTGTTGTCCTAGCTACTCAGGAGACTGAGGCAGGAGGGTTTTTGCATCCAGGAGTTTGAGGCCAGCCTGCACAACATAGCAATGTAGCAACTCTGGGCAGCAAAGAGAGATGCCATCTCTAAAATAACAAAGAGAGTGTTATAAAGTGCTTAAAGCCTGGTACATTAGTAAGTCCCCAAGAAATATCAGCTACCATTTTTAAATTTTTGTTTATGAGACAGGGTCTCACTCTGTTGCCCAGGCTGGAGTGGACTAATGCTATCATAGCTTACTGCAGACTCTAACTCAGCCTCCTGTTTTATTTTTTGTAAAGACAGGGGCCTCACTGTATTGCCCAGGGTGGTCTCCAACTCCTTGCCTAAAGCAATCCTTCTGCCTTGGCCTCCCAAAGTGCTAGAATTATAAGCATAAGCCACAGCACCTGGCCCATTTTTGTTATTAGAAATATGAAGGATCTTGAAAAGGTTCACGGAAAATGCATATTATAAAAAAAACTATGTATCCCGGGCAAAATGGCCAAATAGGAACAGCTCTGGTCTGCAGCTCCCAGCAAGACCAAAGCAGAAGGCGGGTGATTTCTGCATTTCCAACTGAGGTATCCAGTTCATGTCGTTGGGACTGGTTAGACAGTGAGTGCAGCCCACGGAGGGCGAGTGGAAGCAGGGTGGGGCATCGTCTCACCCAGGAAGCACAAGGGGTTGGGGTACTCCCTCCCCTAGCCAAGGGAAGCCATGAGGGACCGTGCTGTAAGGGACAGTGCACTCTGGACCAGATACTACACTTTTCCCACAGTCTTCACAACCCACAGACCAGAGATTCCCTCGGGTGCTTACAGCACAAAGGACCTGGGTTTCAAGCACAAAACTGGGCAGCAACTGGGGGAGACACTGAGCTAGCTGCAGGAGTTTTTTTTCATACCCCAGTGGCACCTGGAACGCCAGCAAGATAGAACTGTTCACTCCCCTGGAAAGGGGGCTGAAGCCAGGGAGCCAAGTGATCTAGCTCAGCAAATCTCACCCCCATGGGGCCCAAAAAGCTAAGATCCACTGGCTTGAAATTCTCGCTGCCAGTACAGGAGTCAGAAGTCAACATGGGACGCTTGAGCTTGGCGCGGGGAGGGGCGTCTGCCATTACTGAGGCTTGAGTAGGCGGTTGGTTTTCCCCTCACAGTGTAAACAAAGCTGCTCCAAGTTCGGACTAGGCAGAGCCCCACCACAGCGCTGGAAAGCCACTGTAGCCCAACTGCCTCTCCAGATTCCTGCTCTTTGGGCAGAGCATCTCTGAAAGAAAGGCAGCAGCCCCAGTCAGGGGCTTACAGAGAAAACTCCCATCTCCCTGGGACAGAGCACCTGGGGGAAGGGGCAGCTGTGGGTACAGCTTCAGCAGACTTAAACGTTCCTGCTTGCCGGCTCTGAAGAGAGCGGCAGACTCTGCTAAGGGACAGATTGGCTCCTCAAGTGGGTCCCTGACCCCTGAGCGTCTTGACAGGAGGACAACTCCCAGCAGAGGTCAACAGACTCATCACACAGGAGAGCTCCAGCTGGTATCTGGCGGGTGCCCCTCTGGGATGAAGCTTCCAGAGGAAGGAGCAGGCAGCAATCTTTGCTGTTCTGCAGCCTCCACTGGTGATACCCAGGCAAACAGGGTCAGGAGTGGACCCCCAGCAAACTCCAGCAGACCTGCAGAAGAGGGTCCTGACTGTTAGAAGGAAAACTAACAAACAGAAAACAATAGCATCAACATCAAAAAAAAAAGGATGACCAAAAAAAGCTCCATCCGAAGGTCACCAACGGCAAAGGCCAAAGGTAGATAAATCCATGAAGATGAGGAAAAACCAGTGCAAAAAGGCTGAAAATGCCAAAAACTAGAACGTCTCTTCTCCAAAGGATCAAGGGAACAAAATTGGATGGAGAATGAATTTGACGAATTGACAGAAGTAGGCTTCAGAAGGTGGGTAATAACAAACTCCTCCAAGCTAAAGGAGCATGTTCTAACCCAATGCAAGGAAGCTAAGAACCTTGATAAAAGGTTAGAGGAATGGCTAACTAGAATAACCAGCTTAGAGAAAAACATAAATGACCTGATAGAGCTGAAAAACACAACATGAGAACTTTGTGAAGCATACAGAAAGAAGTATCAATAGCCAAATCAATCAAGTGGAAGAAAGGATGTCAGAGATTGAAGATCAACTTAATGAAATAAAGCATGAAGACAAGATTAGAGAAAAAAGAATGAAAAGGAACAAACAAAGCCTCCAAGAAATATGGCACTATGTGAAAAGACCAAACCTAAATTTGATTGGTATACCTGAAAGTGACAGGGAGAATGGAACCAAGATGGAAAACACTCTTCAGGATATTATTCAGGAGAACTTCCCCAACCTAGCAAGAAAGGCCAACATTCAAATTCAGGAAATACAGAGACCACCACAAAGATACTCCTCGAGAAAACAAGCCCCAAGACATATAATCGTCAGATTCACCAAGGTTAAAATGAAGGAAAAAATCTTAAGGGCAGTCAGAGAGAAAGGCTGGGTTACCCACAAAGGGAAGCCCATCAGACTAACAGCAAATATCTCTGCAGAAACTCTACAAGCCAGAGGAGAGTGGGAGCCGATATTCAACGTTCTCAAAGAAAAGAATTTTCAACCCAGAATTTCATATCCAGAAAAACTAAGCTTCATAAGTGAAGGAGAAATAAAATCCTTTACAGACTAGCAAATGCTGTGGGATTTTGTCACCACCAGGCCTGCCTTACAAGAGCTCCTGAAGGAAGCACTAAATATGGAAAGGAAAAACTGGTACCAGCCACTGCAAAAACAAACCAAAATGTAAAGACAATCAACACTACGAAGAAACTGCATCAACTAATGTGCAAAATAACCAGGTAGCATCTTAGTGACAAAATCAAATTCACACATAACAGTATTAACCTTAAATGTAAACAGGCTAAATGCACCAATTAAAAGGCACAGACTGGCAAATTGGATAAAGAGTCAAGAGCCATCAGTGTGCTGTATTCAGGGGACCCATGTCACGTGCAAAGACACACATAGGCTCAAAATAAAGGGATGGAGGAAGATTTACAAAGCAAATGGAAAGCAAAAAAAAAGCAGGGGTTGTAATCCTAGTCTCTGATAAAACAGACTTTAAACTAACAAAGATCAAAAAAGACACAGAAGGGCATTATGTAATGGTAAAGGGATCAGTGCAAGAAAAAGAGCTAACTATCCTAAATATGTATGCACCCAATACAGGAGCACCCAGATTCATAAAGCAAGTTCTTAGAGACCTAAAAAGAGACTTAGACTCCCACACAATAATAATGGGAGACTTTAAAACCCCACTGTCAATATTAGATCAATGAGACAGAAAATTAACCAGGATATTCAGGACTTAAACTCAGCTCTGGACCAAGTGGACCTAACAGACATCTACAGAACTCTCCACCCCAAATCAACAGAATACACATTCTTCTCAAGACCACATAGCACTTATTCTAAAATTGACCACATAAAACACTCTTCAGCAAATGCAAAAGAATGGACATAATAACAGTCTCTCAGACCACAGAACAATCAAATTAGAACTCAGGATTAAGAAACTCACTCAAAACCACACAACTACATGGAAACCGAACAACCTGCTCCTGAATGACTACTAGGTAAATAACGAAATTAAGGCAGAAATAAGTAAGTTCTTTGAAACCAATGAGAACAAAGACACAATATACCAGAATCTCTGGGACACAGCTAAAGCAGTGTTCAGAGGGAAATTTATAGCACTAAATGCCCACAGGAGGAAGCAGGAAAGATCTAAAATTGACACCCTAACATCACAATTAAAAGAACTAGAGAAGCAAGAGCAAAAAAAATTCAAAAGCTAGCAGAAGACAAGAAATAACTAAGATCAGAGCAGAGCTGAAGGAGATATAGACACAAAAAACCCTGAAAAAAATCAATGGATCCAGGAGCTGTTCTGAAAAGATCAACAAAATAGATAGACCACTAGCCAGACTTATAAAGAAGCAAAGAGAGAAGAATCAAATAGACACAATTAAAAACGATAAAGGGGATATTACCACTGATCCCACACAAATACAAACTACCATCAGAGAATACTATAAACATCTCTATGCAAATAAACTAGAAAATCTAGAAGAAATGGATAAATTCCTAGACCATACACCCCCACCAAGACTAAACCAGGAAGAAGTCAAATCCCTGAATAGACCAATAACAAGGTCTGAAATTAAGGCAGTAAGTAATAGCCTACCAACCAAAAAAAGCCCAGGACCAGATGGATTCACAGCCGAATTCTACCAGAGGTATAAAGAGGAGCTGGTATCATTCCTTCTGAAACTATTCCAAACAATAGAAAAAGGGAGACTCCTCCCTAACTCATTTTATGATTTTATGAGGCCGCCATCATCCTGATACCAAAACCTGGCAGAGACACAACAAAAAAAGAAAATTTCAGGCCAATATCCCTGATGAACATCGATGCAAAAATCCTCAATAAAACAGAGGCAAACTGAATCCAGCAGCACATTAAAAAGCTTATCCACCACAATCAAGTTGGCTTCATCCCTTGGATGCAAGGCTGGTTCAATATATGCAAATCAATAAACATAATCCATCACATAAACAGAACCAATGACAAAAACCACATGATTATCTCAATAGATGCAGAAAAGGCCTTTGATAACATTCAACACCCCTTCATGCTAAAAACACTCAATAAACTAGGTATTGATGGAACATACCTCAAAATAATAAGAGCTATTTATGACAAACTCATAGCCAGTATCATACTGAATGGGCAAAAGCTGGGAGCATCACCTTTGAAAACCAGTACAAGACAAGGATGCTCTCTCTCAACACTCCTATTCAACATAGTATTAGACGCTCTGGCCAGGGCAATCAGGCAAGAGAAAGAAATAAAGGGTATTCAAATAGGAAGATAGGGAGTCAAATTACCTCTGTTTGCAGATGACATGATTGAATATTTAGAAAACCCCATCATCTCAGCCCAAAAACTCCTTAAGCTGATAAGCAACTTCAGCAAAGTCTCAGGATACAAAATCAATGTGCAAAAATCACAAGCATTCCTGTACACCAATAATAGACAAACAGAGAGCCAAATCATGGGCAAATTCCAATTCACAATTGCTACAAAGAGAATCAAATACCTAGGAATATAACTTACAAGGGATGTGAAGGACCTCTTCAAGGAGAACTACAAACCACTGCTCAAGGAAATAAGAGAGAACACAAACAAAGGGAAAAACATTCCATGCTCATGGATAGAAAGAATCAATATCGTGAAAATGGCCATACTGCCCAAGGTAATTAATAGATTCAATGCTATTCCCATCAAGCTACCATGGACTTTCTTCACAGAATTAGAAAAAACTTCTTTAAATTTCATATGCAACCAAAAAAGAGCCCATATAGCCAAGACAATCCTAAGAAAAAAGAACAAAGCTGGAGGCATCATGCTACCTGACTTCAAACTATACTACAAGGCTACAGTAACCAAAACAGCATGGTACTGGTACCAAAACAGATATATAGACCACTGGAACAGAACAGAGGCCTCAGAAATAACACCACACATCTACAACCATCTGATCTTTGACAAACCTGAGAAAAACAAGCAATGGGCAAAGGAGTCCCTATTTAATAAACTGCTAGCCATATGCAGAAAACTGGAACTGGACTCCTTCCTTACACCTTATACAAAAATTAACTCAAGATGGATTAAAGATTTAAATACAAGACCTAAAATCATAAAAACCCTAGAAGAAAACCTAGGCAATATCATTCAGGCATAGGCATGGGCAAAGACTTCATGAATAAAACACCAAAAGCAATGGCAACAAAAGCCAAAATTGACAAATGGGATCTCATTAAACTAAACAGCTTCTGCACAGCAGAAGAAACTATCCAGAGTGAACAGGCAACCTACAGAATGGGAGAAAATTTTTGCAATCTATCCATCTGACAAAGGGCTAATATCCAGAATCTCCAAGGAACTTAAACAAATTTATAAAAAAAAAAAAAAAAAAACCAGCTGGGCACAGTGGCTCATGCCTGTAATCCCAGTACTTTGGGAGGCTGAGGCGGGTGGATTGCCTGAGGTCAGGAGTTCAAGACCAGCCTGGCCAACACAGTGAAACCCCGTCTCTATTAAAAATACCAAAAAAAAAAAAAAATTAGCTGCGCATGGTGGCAGGCACCTCTAATCCCAGTTACTACGGAGGCTGAGGCAGGAGAACCACTTGAACCCAGGAGGTGGAGGTTGCAGTGAGCTGAGATTGCACCATTGCACTCCAGCCTGGGTAACAAGAGCAAGACTCTGTTTCAAAAAAAACAAGCAAAAACAAAAACAAAACAACAACAAAAACAATCCCATCAAAAAATGAATGAAGGATATGAACAGACACTTCTCAAAACAAGACGTTTATGTGGCCAACAAACATATGAAAAAAAGCTCATCACCACTAGTCATTAGAGAAATGCAAATGCAAACCACAATGAGATACCATCTCACGCCAGTTAGAATGGCGATCATTGAAAAGTCAGGAAACAACAGACGCTGGAGAGAAGGTGGGGAAATAGGAATGCTTTCACACTGGGTAACAGTGTGGGAGTGTAAATAAGTTCAACGATTGTGGAAGATGGTGTGGCGATTCCTCAAGGATCTAGAAATACCATTTGACCCAGCAATCCTATTACTGGGTATATACCCAGAGGTCTATAAATCATTCTACTATAAAGACACATGCACACGTATGTTTCTGGCAGCACTATTCACAATAGCAAAGACTTGGAACCAACCCAAATGCCCATCAATGTTAGACTGGATAAAGAAAATGTGGCACATACACACCATGGAATACTATGCGGCCATAAAAAAGATGAGATCATGTCCTTTGGAGGGACATGGATGACGCTGCAAACCATCATTCTCAGCAAACTAACACAAGAACAGAAAACCAAACACCCCATGTTCTCACTCATAAGTGGGAGTTGAAAAATGAGAACATATGGGTACAGGGAGGGGAACATCCACTCTGGGGCCTGTCGGGGGTTGGGGGGCAAGGGGATGGATAGCATTAGGAGAAATACCTAATGTAGACAACGAGTTAATGGGTGCAGCAAACTACCATGGCACATGTATACCTACATAACAAACCTCCACATTCTCCACATGTATCCCAGAACTTAAAGTATATTAAAAAAAAAAAAAAAAAAGGAACTGGTAACAAAGAAAATCTCAGAAAGTTTCTTACTCTTTTCAGTTAAGAGAAGGATGGAATATATGTAAATTTAAATTTATATAAACATTTTTCCTAACTAAAAAAAAAACTATGTATGAATTTCAAACTTTTTTGCACCAAAAATTCGTACTCACTTGTTATAATGTATCTGAACAAGATCTAGTTTGAGGCACTAAAAAGGATAAGACATCAGCTTGAAAACAGCCCCTATCAGAGCAGCATGAATTGAAGCAAGAAAAAACATCAAATTTATGGTCAAGATTGGGTGGAAGAATGGTGAAATCAAGGATGCTTTACAAAAGTTTGATGGGGAAAATTCCCCCAAAGAAATCTGAAGTTTACAAATGGATAACTTGTTTGCAGAAGGGATGAGACAATGTTGAAGAGGAAGCCTGCAGTGGCAGACAATCCACATCGATTTTTGAGGAAAAGATTATTCTTCGGTGTGCCCTAATTGAAGAGGACCCACAATTAACAGCACAAATAATATACAACACCATAGACATTTCAACTGGTTCTACTTACACATTTCTCACTGAAAAACTGAAGTTGAGCAAACTTTTCACCCGATGGGTGCAAAACTGTTGCACCCAGATGAGCTGCAGACAAGAGCAGGGCTTTCAATGGAAATTGTAAACAAGTGGGATCATATATTGAAACATTTCTTTGAAGAATTGTAACAGGAGATCAAACATAGCTTTCTCAGTATGATTCTGGATCAAAGCAATAGTTACCAAGAGGTGCAAGTGGTCCAGTCAAATCAAAAGTAGACTGGTCAAGAGCCGAAGTCATAGCAGCAGCTTTTTGGGATGCTCAAGGTATTTTGCCTGTTGACTTTCTGGAGGGTGGAAGAGCAATAACATCCGCTTACTATAGGAGAAAGTGAAGCAAAGCTTTAGCATAAAAACACCTACGAAATCTTCACCAGAGAGTCCTTCTCCATCAGGACAATGTTCCTGCTCATTCCTCTCTTTAAATAAGGGCATTTTTCCAGGGATTTCGATGGGAAACTATCAGGTATCCATCTTACATTCCTGACCTGGCTCCTTCTGACATATTTTTGTTTTCTAATCGTGAAAAATCTGTAAATGGCACCCATTTTTCTTCAGTTAATAACGTAAAAAAGCCTGCATTTTCATGATTAAATTCCCAGAACCCTCAATTCTTTACAGATGGACTAAAGAGCCGGTATCATCACTTACCAAACTGTCTTTAACTTGATGGAGCTTACGTTGAAAAACAAAGTTTATATTTTTAAATTTTATCTTTTAATTCCATTTCCCATGAACTTTTATTCTTTTAAAAACAAACCCAAGTATTTTAATTCTACTTGCCTTTTTTACTTATTACACACTTCGGGAGATTTTTTGCCATATGGAATCACCTCATCCCTTGTCACGATTGCATAATATTCCATAGTAGGAATGTTTCATGATTTATTTCTTCATTCCCCCACTGATTTCAATTTTCTGCAACTGCAAGCATTGTTCATAATTCTGTACTGTTTGTGAGCCTATATAGGAGTATCCGTGCACAAACCTTTTTATGCATTGTGCGAGGGTTACTCTGAGATAGACACCAAGGGAACTGCTGGGTCATAAATCCAATTTTTTCAAAGTAAATCCGCTTGCGAACCCGGAACCAAGTCGATTTTTCCCGCCCCGCCAGTTCCCTGTTCAGGAGAGTGCAGCCGTGATTGGCGCGTTCACTCAGGCCAGGGGCGCCCCAGGTCTCAGGTGCTAGGAGCGCGGTGACCTACCACCCTCCGGGCACGCGTTCTGGCCACGCCTCGCGGCCCCTTTCATTGAAAGAGCCCGTAGGGATCACGTGAAAGAACACTGCAGAGTGCGTGACGTCACGACGCTCACACCAATGGGAGCCTCTGTTTATGTCGGGAGCCATCAAATAGTCATCTTCCCCCTACCATCCCCCGCCCACTCTCCGTCGCGCTGCGCTGCGTCGCTTTCAGCCTCTGGTGAAGGGCGGCGCGCTTAGGCAGGCGGTGGCGCGGCTGGAGTGCCGCGGGGAGGGCTGTGCCGGTTGCTTTCTGCAGCCGCATCTCGGCCAGCTCTCCTCGCCGTCCCCGGGGCGCTGTGCGTCTCCAGTCCGGGACCGAAGCCGCCTGCCGTAGCGGGCGGCCAGATCCGCGTCCCGCCTCAGCGGCCGGAGGACATGCGGGAGAGAGAATGAGCCAGAGGGACACGCTGGTGCATCTGTTTGCCGGAGGGTAAGGTCCTGGCGGGGCGTGCGCACTGGGGCTGAGGGTGCTGGGGCCGAAGACGCAGGCGAGGGGGGCGAGGGGGGCCGAGGGGGGTGGGGGGGTGGGGGGGCGGGAGTGAGGCCTGGGCGGGGAGCTGCCACGGGCCTGCGGGTGAGGGGAGCGACCCAGCCCGTGGGTGGTGAGGGGGGCTCCGGTTCGGGGAAGCAAGGGGGTGAGGCCCGGGCCCGAGGGCGAGAGAGTGAGGCCCGGGCAAAGAGGGTTGAGGCATGAAACCCGGGCCGGGAGTGAGGTTTTGGGCCCGCGGGGCCGGGGTGAGGCGGAGGCCGAATCCATGCGTCTGAGGAGACGCGGGCAAGAGCTGGGGTCGGCGCTTGATTACCCGGACGCCGCTGGACCTGGCCGCACGCCGCAATCTAGCAGGCGTCGGGGATCCAGGGCCGCTTTGAGGAGCCTGGCTTCGGATTTCGCGTAGGTTGCATGGCCCAAGGGGACGGGGCGGAAAGTGCGGAGGCTGAGGACAAAATGGGCGCCGGAGACTCCTTTAGCCCTCGCTCCTTGCAGCGCTCGCTTGGGCCTCTGCACGTCACTCACGCCCCACCTCGGACCTCGGGCCGCTCATTTCCGGGCTCGGCTTTGCAAGGTGGGTGGTAAGGGGGCTACGGGATCGAGCGGGGAAGGCTTTGGTATTCTCCCGTGGTTGCTGTAGGGTGTTTCTAGCCCTTGGAAAATTTCTTGCCCGAGGTTTTCCAGGTGGTGAATGGGGTGCAAAGCTTTCCAGTACCTTTGGGGTCAGATTCCTTTCGAGAAAACCACCCCTCTTGAACACCGCTTGCTTTTCTGCTGCTTAGGAGAAAGTAGGAGTGGAGAGAGGTCAGATTTTTTGAAGATAGTGTTAATAGTTACTATGTGTGTGCAAGATTAGGACTAAGCCTAAAGTCTTAGTTCCCTGATTGCCAAAATGAGTGTTAGAGCTTCCAGTTTAGCCTCCTGTTTAGATTTGCTCCTTCTAAATCATTTGGAGAATCATAGCAATTTTAAGAGTTACTTATTTGGAGGATTATAAAGAGTTTTCTTATCAAAAATGCCTTCGGTGAATTATGCTGAGACTCTTACCGGCATCTTCTTAAATCCTGCAGTTTTTAGATCGACTTTTAAGAATATGAAAGAAATACACACGCAGTTCTATTCACGGTGCCTTGCTTTGAGTTGGACATATGGACTCTATTGAGCCAGTGATGGCAATACTTTCTTTAGGTTGGCACACTTTCATCAACAAATATTTGTTGTACACCAATTATGGGCCGGCCACTGTTCTGGCATAAAAACAATATTTTTCTATTGATCTGTGAGACCCAGTTTAGGCAGTTTGCTTTCCATATTTCTGAAATGTTTACTGCCAATAATCAGGCAAATTAAATCTTTTTAAAAAAATTCTGTAGCTATGTAGATGCTCTTGAAAAGATCTCATGCAAATAATTGAGCTCCCTCTTGTAATTAGATCTATAACCCTGAAGTGAGGAGACCGCAGATGTAGTCTAGCACTATTTTAATTTGGGTGAAAAATGGACACTTTTATTTCAATTGCTTCATCTATAAAATTAGGAGGTTGTATTATATGATCTCTAAAGCCCTTCTCTAGCTCCTAACATTTCTATTATTCTGCGTTCAGGATTCATGTATCAAGTTTAGTTAAAAATGGGGCATACTTATATTTGAAATAAATGTTAGCTTGATTGCACTAATTTCCCACTTTGGATTAGGATCATCATTTTGTTATAAAAACATGTAAATATAGGTTTTCTGGTTTAAGAACAGGAATGGGAGGTGTTTGTAGCATCTAAACACACAGATTAGGAGCTCCATCCCCTCCCCCCCAGTCTAGCATATGTAGTTAGAGTATTAAATGAGATATGGTATGTAGGATTTGATACAAGATAGGTGCTCAGCCGTATAATTTCTCTTCCTTTGCATCTCATCTTGATTTTATTTTTATATGTGGTTACATAAGTGAGTTCAGTAAAACACACCTTATCTTTTTAAAGGAAGCCCAGTATATTTTAAAAGAACCAAGAGTAACCTTTCACAGAGTATTTAATCTTAGGCAAGGGTTTTCCGAATATGGAGCCTTTAAGTTGTTTTTCTGATAAGTAGAATTGTAATATTCAAATATGTTTATCGGAATCCCACATTTCTAATAGCCTAGTAGCTGTATTGTTAAACACCAGCACTGGACCTTGGTTCTGGGTGAAATACTCACATGCATAACTCGTGCTTTCTTTAAGACACCCTTTGATCCCATTATGCTTTTGCCAGAGTTAATATTCAGAGTTTGTAAGGTCAGTAGTTAGGTTAATTGAGTTAAGGAACGATATCATGACAGCCTGTAAAAAAGGTGTAAATGTGATTTAATTTTAGCTGTACCTCTAATGTATGTATATAGAGATGAAAGCACTATTAAATGTATTTTTAAAGACTGATAGAATTGTACATTGTCTAGTTATTGTATCAGCTGCATATATCTACAGAGGCAGCTCATTTTTTTTCTATTTGAGGGAGATATTGTCTCAAATAGGAGCTATATACCTTAAGATTTTAAGTGGATGAAGTATTTTCTTTGCAGCTCTTATGACAGATAATTTAATATATGTAGTGAGTAAAATCAAAGATGATCTAAGAACTGTCTATTTTTATATCCTGGAGCTCATTCATTTGCTCAATCATTATTATTTATTCAGTAGGAAATTCCCATTTGGGTATAATGAACGATATTTGTTAAATTATTTCACCTGTTTGCTTGAAGATCAGGGCAGAAGTAGAATACTTAAAAGTATAATTAATGTGATTTATTTCCGCTTCACTCTGACCATATTTTTATTAGTCTCATTTCCTTAATTTTTACTACCTCTCCTTTTCCTCTGTCTTGCTCTGTTTAAGCTGCTATTACAAAATACCAAAAACTGGTGGCTTATAAATAACAAATATTTCTAACAGTCCTGAAGGCTGGGAAGTTCAAAATTAAAGCAGTAACAGGTTTTTTGATGATGGTCTACTTCCTCATAGAAGATACTCTCTTGCTGTATCCTCACGTAGTAGGAGAGGCTAGCCAAGATCTCTGGTGTCTTATAAAGGTACTAATCCCAAATGTCAGGGCTACAATCTCATGACCTAATCACCTTGAAAGCGTCTACCTCCTAATACTATCACCTTGGGATGTGAGTAGGATTTCATCTTACTAGTTTTGGGGGAGACAAACATTCAGACATCCTCCTTCCCTTTTTTTCCTTCTAAAAATGCATTCCGTTCTTCTTACTAATAGACTGCAAAACTAAGGGAAGTTTCTTATCCTGTTGGAGAATATTCTCAAATCATTTTTCTATAAATGAATTACTGTAGCACAGCAGCTACCATTTTTCTGCAAATGGATTAGTGTAGCACAACATTGTGGGTCAGGGATTCTCCTTCTTGAGACCCTTGTTGTGGTCTGAGAGTTTAAAACTATTTTCATAAAAATACATTATTGGCACAAATTTGTTGACATTTGTCCTGATGGTGCAAAAGCAATGATGGGTAAAACTGCTGATGCCTTAGCATGCATGAAGGCAGTGGCACCAGACTGTAGTCATCGTATTCACCTCCAGGTACTTGCAATTAAAAAAAAAAAAAAAAGCCAGTTTAACCTAAGAATGCTCATGAAGGAGTAAAAATACTAATTTTATTAAATCACAACCTTTGAATACCTCTATATTTAATATTTTGTGTGACAAAATGGGAAATAGACATGAAGTAACTGTATGCCGAAGTGTGGTTCTGCGTTGTTTCAATTGCAGGCTACACTAGCTTCTTTTTTTCATGGAGTCAGCCATGGGTAAAAAAGTCATTCAGATTTTAAAATAGACCAGTGGATTTTAATATAACAGTATGAAAAGTTTACTGGTATAGTTCAGATTCTACATTTCAGCTAACCTTTAAGAACCTACCACTTGTCTGGTTGTAATATAGTATTGAAGAATATCGACAACCGGACAGCAAGACAAGGGACTGTCTTGTCTAGTAATTGTTATCATTAACTAGAAGGCATTAAGTGCTGTGGGAAAAAAAATGGTGCACCTTAAAGGACTGTGGTAGGAGTGCACTCTAGTACTAAATCGAATGATGATGAATCTTACTGAGATGACATTTGAGTAAAGACTTGGAAGGGAGAGAATTAGCTATACAAAAGGAACTAGCCCCAGTAAGACCCTAGCCCTGGTAAGAGTGAGATAATGAAGCAGGTATGGCCAGAATGATAGAGCCTTCTTAAGCCTTTAAAGGACTTTGACCTTTTCTATTGAAATGGGAGGAGTCATAGAATTTTTAAAGGCTAATTGGTCTCTGCTAGACTATGCGTGGGACAGGGGCAGAAGTAGGGAGTTGATCAGGCTATTTCAATAATCCACTTGACTGATAATGGTGATTCAGACTAGGTTGGAAGCAATGGACATTGTGAGAAGTGGTTGAATTCTAGTTAGACTTCGAAGGTAAAGATAATAAGATTTTTGACATATTGAATGCAGAGTGTAGAAGAAGAGCGAAGAATAACTCCAGGGTTTTTAGTTTGGGCACCTGGAAGGGTGGAATTGCTGTCAACTGAGATGGGCAAGATTGCAGATGGAACAGAGTTGGGGTGAGGGGAGATCAGAAGCTCCATTTTAGACATGGTAAGTTTGAGAAGTAGAGAGGTCAAGAAGCTGATTGTTTAAGTGATTGGATTACTAGCCTGGAGTCCAGGAAAGAGGATTGGACTAGGGATATATATTTAGTAGTCATTGGAACATAAGTGGTGCCATGAGCCTAGTTGAGATCACTAAGGGAGTGAATATAGAGAAGAAGGGACCACGAGCTACCTACCCTCTGGGGACTTCAATAAAAGAGATCAAGAGAAGAGGAATGAGGAGAAGAGGAGGAACCAGCCAAGTACACTTCATAGTGACCAAAAAAATACGGTATCCTGAAATCCAAATGGAGCAAATATACAAGATCTAGAAAGGAGTAAGTGATCAACTATCAAATGTTACTGTCATTTAAGATGTCTGAAAGCTGTTAACCACTGAATTTAATTGAGGAACTTTGGTGACTTTTAGTAATTTCCAGGGCAGGGGAGTAAAAGTCTGGTTGGAGTAGGAGAGAAATTAGAGACAACAAATAGACAGTTTTAAGGTTTGCTGTAAAGGGTAGCAACGAAAGGGGGAAATTTACTTTTACTAAACCTGCCACATTCCCTCAGCCTATTTTGTTCCTATAATGGATTTTTTTTATTTCTCAGTCTCGTATCTTACTATTTTTCCTTAAAATAGTAAGCACTTTGAAGCTCCCAACAAAGGCCTTTTTCTTTCTTACAAGACCTATTTGCACAGAGATTTTAGTTTTTGTTTGTTTAAACCAGTCTTGGTTACACTGTGCCTAGCTTTACGAAAACCAAAAAACACTCTAAATAGTAAAGACTCTACAACTGCATCTTGGGCTGTATGATACGGCTTGCTTCCATGTTTATCTAAGTTGGCTAAAATTTTCTGTATTACTAGTCTTGATTTTGCTTTATCATCCACAATAAGAATAACGTGTTAATTTTTTCCTGCATCAGAAACACTTCCTATACTTAAAAAAATGCTGTGTTATTCTCAAGCACGCATTGCTGACTTTTCCTAAGTTGGTCTATCAGGTATATAGATGTCCATCACCATTTCAAAAACTTGTATTGCTTCTTGTCTAAACACTAAAGCTTCAGAGAAAATAGTTATACAAGTGTACTACCAGAGAAACAATTTTTGGTAAGACTTCCTTAATGATTTGTATAGAATTTCAGGGAGAGTCTACGTGGTTTTTTTAATTATTATTATTTTTTGAGATGGAGTTTCACTCTTGTTGCCCAGGCTGGAGTGCAGTGGCACGATCTCGGCTCACTGCAACCTCCACCTCCTAGGTTCAAGCAATTCTCTTGCCTCAGCCTCCCAAGTAGCTGGGATTACAGGTGCCTGCCACCACACCCAGGTAATTTTTTGTACTTTTAGTAGAGACAGGATTTCACCATGTTGGTCAGGCTGGTCTTGAGCTCCTGACCTCAGGCGATCCACCCACCTTGGCCTCCCAAAGTGCTGGAATTACAGGCCTGAGCTACCACGCCCAGCCCAGTCTACATGTTTTAAGATTGAAAAACTCTTTAAGTTTGGCTAGCATTTTAAAGAAACTTCATCTTTAGTGATTGATATTTCTTTTTTTTTTCTTTTTTACAATTTTTAGTAGAGATGGGATTTCACTGCGTTAGCCAGGTTGGTCTCCATCTCCTGACCTCATGATCTGCCCACCTCGGCCTCCCAAAGTGCTGGGATTACAAGCGTGAGCCACCGTGCCCGGCCAGTGATTGATATTTCTTAATGTAACTAATGCCCTAAGTAGAGTATCACTGTAGGCAGAAAAATAAAATATTTTATCCTTTTCATCTTGCTTTATAAAGCTAAACACTGCTTAAAGTTAATAAAATGAATTCTGAAGTACCTTTTTAAATAATATGCACATACAAATATTGTTGACCTCATCAGAAAATATTTTGTTCATCTATCTGTTACCTTGCCTGTTAAAAACAAGTTTCCTGATCCATACACGCTCAAGAGGTTAATATTGAGGACATATATCTAACAGTGCCTTGGATTTTTTCCAGTCCTTTTAAAGCTGGGGGAGCCAGATCTAGTGGTTCAGCAGCTTAGGACTATCCAGTCAATGGGGTTTTATGTCTATGTACCTGTCTTAGGGATTCATGACTGGGTATGATGGCTGAAATTCATCTGCTATTCATATTCACTTAGTGAACAATTTCTCTTTCTCCTTTCTCTCCCATCTCCCCACCCTCAACTTTTGATTCCCGTGCTTCAATAACTAGTGTGGGAGAGCACTTTGAGGCTCCCAACAGAGGCCTTGCTCTTTCTTACAAAACTTGTTTGCACAGGGTTGTTTTATTTGTTTTGTTTTTTAAACCAGTTTTGGTTACACTGTGCCTAGCTTCAAAAACAAAAAAACACTATCTTTTTGCCACTTCTTTACTCAAGAGGTCCATAAAGGCCCTTAAGGTAGCTAGACCCCCTGGCATGCTAGAATTTTTATCTTCATTATATGCACTAAGTAGAAGCAACATTTGAAAGTTCTTAGACAGTTAAACTCTAAAAAGTTTGGCTTTATTAGCATCTGCAGTATTACCATAGGCTAGAGATGTGTCCACATTCCAGTAAATTACCGAGATGACTTGATAAACTTACTGTACAATTTGGCAAACATCATTAAAATAGTTTTAAATGTCTTATAAAATGCTTTAGTGATACCATATTAAACAATTTTAAATATTCTATAAGATCAATACATAGCTATGTGATTATTTGACTCACCAAGCGATCTTGGCCTTCTCGTATCTTTTAAGATATAGGACATTTGCCTATAAAACTTTAAATGAGTGTCAATCTAGGTGGTTTCACTACGAACATAAAGAACATGTAGTTATTTCTAATCTGGGTATACCAGGGGTATAGTGACATTTAACAGTGTTGTTAGATTCGTAACCAAGAAACTCTCCTTTCTGAATTTTTGATGTTACAAAGTAATGAACTTACACCCTTCTGTTACAGACTTGGCTATTCTGTCTTTGGAATTCTTTGCCAATCAAGAAAGCACACAGAACAAACCAGTGACTGTTTTATAGAAATAACTTTGAATTGTAACTTTTTAAAAATAGTAAAGCATCCAACCTTGAACTATGTTATTTAATAGCAAATTACATTAGCCACACCTTGCAACTGATGTCATCCACATCACTGGATCAGAGGGAAGTAAGACCAGTAATGAGTGCCTGCTTCTACTCCACCATTTTTTTCTCTTGCTTTTTCTTGGTTTTCAAATTAATATATTATACATCATCTTTCTGTTCTGGTAGATGAGGATTTAGTTATATTGTACCACTCTCTTGTTTCCTTTTTCTTTACATCCTCTCAATATATAATTTGATAACAGTTTTTGTTAAAAATCAAAAGTCAGTGCTTACCTTATTGTGACAATACAAATATTGTTCACTGCAGAGCTAAGTTTAAGTTGTCTATTATGTTGACCTTTCCTTTCTTGAATAACTTCATTCCTCCCCGCCCCCACCCCCCACTGCCCCTGAAGTTAATAATTGCCTCCATTAAAAAACTTTTGCTTAGTTATGTGAGTACTCATACTTGAACATTTGTTTTCATATGGTCAGCTGTGTTCATCTGTCAGTCTTTTTTCCTGGAGACTTTTGTCCCACTGAATTCTGTCATCCTAATCCTATCTTGATTGGTTTTTTTTCAGGTCTGCCATTTCACTATCATCTTGGGACTTCTGTCTTGGGTTATTCTGTTCCTGCATTTGGTTCCCTCCCTACCACCATCTTCTTTTAGTTTACTTTCTTAATTTGTGGAATACATTTTTTAGTTAGCTATGTAAGAAAAGGGTATACAGTAGGCAATTTCTTGAATACTTCTTTGTCCCAGATGTATAGTTTGGTTTGGTATAGAATTTTAGGATAAGTAATCTGCAGTTGTCGAGAAGTATGATGCTAATCTGGTCACTTTTCCTCTATTATGTGACCTTTTTTCTTTCTGGAAGTTGAAGTCCTTGAAAGATTGCAGTAGCGCATCTTGGTGTGGATTGTTTTTGCATCCTTTGTTCCTGCTAAACCTAAGTTCAGAAATGTTGAGTTTGTATTCTTCAGAGAATTAACCTTCTGCCTAGGAATGTAGTTTTATCCAGCGTGTGTGTGTGTGTCTCTGTGTGTGTCTGTGTGTCTGTGTGTGTGTGTGTGTGTGTGTAAGGCATAGAGCAACACTGGGCATCCTACCTTTGTCATACAGACTGTGACAGCAGCCAGTCCTGTTTTCAGTTCTTTGCCTTAATTCCCTCTTGAATACTTGGTGCCCTAATCATTAGGCCTCCTAGGGATTCTGCAGGGAAAAACTGCTGCTTTTTGGTATTTCCCTCTGCAAGCCTTTCTTCCTCTTTACTAAGTTGTCTTTCCCATTTGCCTCATTGGTTGAAAACTTGCAGCTGCCGATTTCTCTGGGCCTCTCTGTTCTTCTGGCATATTCCTTTAGACAGTGAGATTTTTGACATGGAGAAAAGATAAATCTAATGTAGTTCATCCCAACTTTATTGAAGCAATAGTTTTGTTCTCTACATCAATTCTGATTTCAGTGTGCATAATAATTATTTTTAAATTGCAGCAAGAGAAATACCAGAGTGTCACCCCTATACTACACATCTGTTGCATTCTATAATGTAAAACTGCTTCAGGACAACCTAAGTGCTTGTGCATATACCCACTTATGCCACCCCCACCTCTGTACGATTTACTTATTTATTTATTTTTTGAGATGGAGTCTCGCTCTGTCACCCAGGCTGGAGTGTGCACTGGCACAATCTCGGCTCACTGCAACCTCCGCCTCCCAGGTTCAAACAGTCCTCCCACCTCAGACTCCCGAGTAGCTAAGATTACAGGCGTGCACCACCACGCCTGGCTAATTTTGTGTGTGTGTGTGTATTTTCAGTAGAGGTGGTGTTTCACCATGTTGGCCAGGCTGGTCTTGAACTCCCGAACTCAAATGATCCGGCTTCCTCGGTCTCCCAAAGTCCTAGGTTTACAGGTGTGAGCCACCACGCCTGGCCTTATTTTTTTGTTGTTTTTTAATTTTGTTTTGTTGTTGTTGTTGTTGTCATTGTTTTGAGACAGGGTCTCACTCTTTGGCCTAGGCTGGAGTGTGATAGTGCAATCACAGCTCACTAAAGCCTTGACCTCCCAGGTTTAAGTGATCCTCTTACCTTGACCTCCCAAGTAGCTGGGATTACAGGCATGTGCCACTGCACCTGGCTGTTTTTTCCTTTCTTTCTCTCTTTTTTTTTTTTTTGCGATGGAGTTTCACTCTTGTTGCCCAGGCTGGAGTGCAGTGGCACAATCTCGGCTCACTGCAACCTCTGCCTCCTGGGTTGAAGCGATTCTACTGCCTCAGCCTCCGGAGTAGCTGGGATTACAGGCATGCACCACCAGGCCCAGCTAATTTTTTGTATTATCAGTAGAGACGGGGTTTTATCATGTTTGCCAGGCTGGGCTCGAATTCCTGATCTCAGGTGATCCACCTGCCTTAGCCTCCCAAAGTGCTAGGATTACAGAAGTGAGCCACAACGCCCGGCCTCTTTCTTTCTTTTTTTCAGAGACAGAGTCACTGTGTTGCTTAGGCTGGTTTCAAACTCCTGGACTCAAGTGATGTTACCACCTCAGCCTCTGAAAGGGATTACAGGCATCAGCCACCATGCCTGGCCAGTTTAGATTCTCATGTGTTTTACTTGCTGAAGTGTTTTTTAAATATCATAGTATTTACCTTGTCTGTTGGTCTGGCCACAAAATATTCATAAGACTTCTATTACAAAATTTCATAGTTACCATTATCAGTAATGGAGACACATAACTACATAGCTAATATTTATTGAGCACTTTTTATGTGCCACTTTACAAAATGCTTTATGTGGATTATATTATATCATCTTTACAACAAGCGTGTGAGGCATAGGTATTGTTTTTACCATTGTTGTTTTGTTTTCGTTGTATAATATTTATTTTCTTGGAACCAGGAATGACTGGGTAGGAATCATGGCTTTATGTGCTCATGTTGCTTTTTGTTTGTTTTCGTTTTAATTATAGAAGTAATTCATGTTCATTGAATACATTTTTTAGAAGTTATTCATATTCAAGAATACTCTTTCTTAGGTTTTACAGAATATAAAATCAAAACATGTACATGTTTATTATAGATTTTGGGCCTGTTTGTGGGTTTTATGTTCAATAAATTTACAAAGTAAATACACTAAACTGCTAAAAAGAAATCAGGCAAAGACAAATTGAATTATGGTTTGCCATAAATAGATCACTGTTATAGTGTGAATATGGTATGGACTAACCCACAGGTTCTTCTGAGTCCTACATTGCATATACTCCAAGTATACTGTGTGATGATGACTCATGTCTTTTACCACTTAGCTCTCAACTCTTATCTAAGTAAATTTATGGCTTCTATTTAAGATTCCTCTTGTGGCCTCATATATAATGAGGTTTTAAGACTATTTCATGGCTGTTTGAAAATATCTTTTCCTTGTTTATTGAGTATTGAGGTTTCTAAGTTCTACTTAATTTTGTTTCAGATTTGCTATAATCCTACTACTTTTTGTCTAATTTTGTTGAAATCTGACCGTATAATTGTGGTTTCGACATTTTTTGGGGGGGGGGTTAAATTTTTTCAACTGCCTATTTAAAGCTATGAGTGGAATTTTTTTGAAGTGTTAAGCTTATTTATGATTGAATGTTTCACATAATATATTCAGCCCCAAGTAGTTCATATATTAAGAATTCTTACTGGTTTTCACATATTTTTCAAATCAGATTTGTCAAGGTATCGTTTACATACAGTAAAATCTACCCTTTGTTAAATGTATGCTGTTTATTGACTTTTGGCAGATGTATAAAGTCATTTAAACACTACCATAGTCAGGATATTGGCTGGGCCTAGTGGTTCATGCTTATAATCCCCGTACTTTGGAAGCCTGAAGTGGGAGGATTCCTTGAGGCTAGGAGTTCAAGACCAGTTTGTGCAACATAGCAAGACCCTGTCTCAACAAAAAAATTTTAAAAAATTTAAAAAATTTAGCTGTGCATGGTGGCATGTGCCTGTAGTCCCAGCTGCTAGGGAGGCTGAAGCAGGAGGACTGTTTGAACCCAGGAGTTCAAGGCTACAGTGAGCTATGATCGTGCCACTGCACTCCAGCCTTGGTGACAGAGCAAGACACTATCTCAAAAGAAAAAAAGAAAAGGGATATTGAACAGTTTTTGTTATTCCAAGAATTCCCCCACACCCCTTGAAGTCACTTTCTTCCCTCTCCTCTACCCCTTGGAAACCACTGATCTCATTTCTGTTCCTCTCATTTTGCCTTTTCTAGAATATCATAAAAGTGTTTGCTTAACGAGGGGGATAATTTTTTTAACGTCAAAAATAAAAGCCTTTTGTGCTTAGCTTTTTCAATTAGCATAATGCTTTTGAGATTTACCCAGGTGGTGGCTTTTTACTGCAGAATAGTATTCTATTATATAGTTGTACCACAGTTTGCTTCCACTAGTTGATGGACATTTGGGTTGTTCCCAGTTTTTAGCTATGAATAAGTATAGCTATTATAAACATTCATGAACAAGTCTTTCTGTGGACATGTCTGTTCATTTCTCTTGGGTCAGTACCTACAAGTGAGATAGGGCTGTGTGGCAGTGTTATGTTTAACTCTGTAAGAAACTGACAAACTGCTTTCTAAAATGCCTGTACCATTTTTAATTCCCACCAGCAGTGTAAGAGATTTCCAGTTCAGCGGTTGGCTGTTTGTTGGTCAGTCTTTTTAATTCTAGCCATTTAATAGATGGGCAGTAGTATCTTATAATGGATCTACTTTGCATTTCCCTGATGACAAATGATTTGCAGAATTCTGTGTGTTTATTTGCGTCTATGTATCACTATCTGTTAAATCTCTTACTGAATTACTTGATTTTATTCCTGACTGTAAGCACTTTTGCAGGTAATGATTTGTAAATATTTGTTCTCAGTCTATGGCTTTCATTTTCTTCTCAGTTTCTTTCATTGTGTTAGCAGTTTCTTTCAGAGTAGAAGTTTTTAGTTTTGATAAGGTCCAGTTTTTCAGTTTTTTTCTTTAATGATTTGTGCTTCTTTTGATGTCCATATAAGAAGTCTGTGCCTAACGCAAAGTTAAAAGATTTTTTTCCAGATGTTTTTTTCCTAGATGTTTTATAGTTTCATCATTTTAAACTTAGGTCTGTGATCCATTTCGAGTTAATTTTAAAATGTACTGTGAGGTAAGGGGCATGTTTTTTATTTTACATATAATGTTCTTTATTTTTTAATAGTTTTGTTGCATAAGTTTTTCACTCTAGTTGCATACAGTTTGGTTTTATCTTATTTTCTTTGTGGCATATACTAATACACCAATATGACATATTTTTATCTTTTAAAATTTCTTTTACATTCTATTCGGAGTGATATTAACATTGCCATGCCTGCTTTCCTTTATATATATGTGTGTGTGTTTTTTTTATTGTGGAGGTAGAATTGTTTAGTGTATTATTGCATGGGTTGCTTTTCTTTTTCTTCTTTTAATGCCCATTTTGAAGGTCCACGTTAACCTGACTCAACTAGCTTTTCTCTTTCACCGCACTAAGAGCTTTTCTGAGTGATTTTCCCTTTTGGTTAGAAAGCAGTTCTAAAGGCTTCACTTGGTAGTTATTAATGTTTTAAGAGGAAATTATTTTCTACTCTTGTATTTTAAAATAAGAAAATAATAATTACTCAGCCTATATCTTACATACCTTTTAAACAGTTCAATGTCATTAAGAGCTTTTGTTATTATTGTTCTGGTGATCAGTCCTTTTATTTAAGTTGGATTCTTCTAACAAGCCTACCTACATTGTACAGTTTTCCACGTGTAGGCCTGACAGGTATTAATTGTGAGACTCAAATGCCAATTTTTTTTCTTTTTTGAGACAGGGTCTCACTCTGTTGCCCAGGCTAGAGTGCAGTGGCCTGATCATATTCACTGTAGCCCTGAACTCCTATGCTCACACAGTTTTCCCACCTCAGCCTCCCGAGTAGCCAGGACTACATGCATGCCCCACCACACCTGGCTAATTTTTTAAACAAATTTTTTGTAAAGTGGTGTCTGGCTATGTTGCCCAGGCTGATGTCAAACTGGCCTCAAACCATCCTCTTGTCTCCTCCCAAAGCTCTGGGATTACATGTGTGAGCCATGCGCCCAGCCCTCAAATGCTGTATTTTTTTGTAGGTGAAATACTTCTGAATATTTGGGGATTTAAAATAAGAGAACTATGTATGGTTAACTATCAGTGAGTTCTTCCTTATTGTTCAGAAGACCATTTCTTCAGTTTGAAAGGACAGGAGTTTGAAAGATAGGATATACTTCAAAGAATGGCCTAGATTTTAACAGAGCCACAAGTTATATATATACATGAGTACTAAATCAAACCTTAGGACAGTATTTAAAGCCATTATGTGACTTACCAGTACAATTTTAGTAACAGCACCTATCAGTTGAAGTGTTTAGCAGTTATTCTTGCCAGATAGTTACTAAGCTGTGTTCATTTTAGTTACTGAAGAAGTTTGTATGAAATCAAATAATGGAATCTCTTAAAAATCAGTTTAGTCATCTAACATTAAAAATTATAAATTTTAGTATGTTGGCAAAGCTCCAGGTACCCATGTGGATTACAGCTCTGGGCATATATACTAACTTATGAATTAAGTAGATAAGCTGTGTTCTTTTTTTTTTTTTTTTTTAGATGTGGTGGTACAGTGGGAGCTATTCTGACATGTCCACTGGAAGTTGTAAAAACACGACTGCAGTCATCTTCTGTGACGCTTTATATTTCTGAAGTTCAGCTGAACACCATGGCTGGAGCCAGTGTCAACCGAGTAGTGTCTCCCGGACCTCTTCATTGCCTAAAGTGAGAGCATAGTATTCAGGAGTGTTTTTTAGTTTGTTTGCGTTAGTGAGTTCCAGATGTTTGTTTACTTATATTCTGCCACATTGAAAATGATTTTTTATAAACCTATTTACAGAAGTTACTCTGAATTGTACTCATAAGGAATGATAATCCCTAATGGAGAAGAACAGTTAGACAGATAAGATAAAGTGTAATTTTACTTCCAAATCATGTGTATTTAGAATATTTCTACATTTATCCAGTGGAGTTTTTTCTAAAGCTATTATAAGTATTTTATTTTGGATTATTCATTTACTTTTGAAATGTGATAATGTTTAATGCTAACTCCTTTCGTGTATATTTTTAATGTTCCAAGTAAGTACATCCAATTAATGATAATCTGTGATTTTTATGTAACCTAAGTACAACTGAGACAGCAGAGTTCTAATGCTGTTCAGTATTTGTTTAACATTTCCTGATGGTTTGGAAAAGATTTGTTTTTACAGTTTGCCATACTTCATTATGTTGCAATTGGATTTGAAATTTCAAAACTATTAAAATTAGGTTTCGTATGTTTATACTTGTAAATAATGGAATGCCTTCGTGTCTGCCTTATCAGCTCAGTGTTTGAACTTAGTTCAGTAGTGTTTATTTTGTAATAGCAAATAAACTCATTCTGTGTATTTACCTTTGTTACTAAAAGGTTTCATCAGCCTTTTCTTTTTTCAAACTTGTTTACATAAGTACATGAATAGGTAGAATAAAATTGATAACAGTTTTGAATTAAAATGCCATAAGTGGTGGCTCACGCCCATAATCCCAGCACTTTGGGAGGCTGAGGTGGGTGGATCATCTGAGGTCAGGAGTTCGAGACCAGCCTGGCCAACATGGTGAAACCCCGTCTGTACTAAAAATACAAAATTAGCCAGGTGTGGTGGTGCGCACCTGTAATCCCAGCTACTCAGGAGGCTGAGGCAGGAGAATCACTTGAACCTGGGAGGCAGAGGTTGCAGTGAGCCGAGATTGCGCCACTGTATTCCAGTCTGGGTGATACAGTGAGACTCTGTCTCAGAAAAAAAATGCTATAGTTATACATAAATACTTCTATCTGATTTGTAATAGGAAAAGTATTTTAATATCATGATTTTGATATTTATTACCACAGATTGCCCCTCCTTAAAATTCTTCTTTTGACCTCTGTGATAATACTTTTTAATTCTCTTTTTCAGTAGTTTTGCCTTCCCTTCACAGGAGCTTTAGTAATCCTTCTGGGCTGTGTTTTAGTTCCGAAGTTTTTCAGGCGCTCTTTTAAGCTCTTTATATATTAATTTACTTAGTCCTCACAGTAACCAGTAAAGGGGTACTGGTTTTTTTTATTTACTGCTGATGAAACTGAGTATGAGAGTAAAGTTATTTCAGGGTCGTAGGGTTATCCATTACCAACGTTGGGCTTCATATCTGAGAAGTCTGGCTACTCAGTTCAGGCCTTAAATTAACCATTAGACCCAACTACCTTTAAAAAGATCCCTCTTAAGCAGATAGATGTTTGAGAACTACTTGGCCTAGTCTGTTAACTCTGAATTAAAATACCTACTCTTCAGTTTCTATTCCTTCTCACTGCCAAAACTTCATTTCATAACTTACTCCAGGAAAGTCTTCTGTGACTTACACATGGCTCTGTTCCTTTCTCTGCTGGGCATATATGTATCTAGGTTGTATAGTATTTGCTTGTTAATATGGTCTGTTAATTTATTTGTTTTGTTACAATTCTTTTTACCAAAACAAAACAGCAAATTTCCCAATGTCAGGGGCCTCGCCTTCTTTTTTCTATCTACTTACTTTTTCTAGTTATAAACAGCTAATTATACAGTTAAATACTCAGTATAGCAACGGTTAACTGAGTGGCAGGAGAAATAACAGGCCAACCATTCTGGTACCTTAAAGGACATTAGGGTGATAGATTCTGCTACAGCATTTCAATGGAATGGGGATGAGATAATACTGTAGTAGTAAGAAGTATTGTCCAATGTTGAGTAAAAGACCTGAAAACTAGGAAGGAACTACATTTCTAATTGGCGGGTAGTTATTAAGCTTTCAATTTGCTGGTAAAGATAGTAAAATTAAGGAAATCGAAGATAAGAGTAGCATGATCATATGAAAATAATGTAGAACTCTTTATCATTGTGTCTTAATCTTTCAGGAAAGAATCTGAACAGATTTTTTAATCATTACTAGTAAATCTATTATCAGTCTTCAACAATTTATGCTATGTCATGAAAAAACAATGTTTTGTGTGTGTGTGTGTGTGTGTGTGTGTGTGTGTGTGTGTGTGTGTGTGTTTTCTTTTTCTTTTTTTTTTTTTTGGAGACAGAGTTTCGCTCTGTCTCCAGGCTGGAGTGCAGTGGCGCAATCTTGGCTCACTGCAATCTCCGCCTTCCAAATTCAAGCGATTCTCCTACCTCAGCCTCCTGAGTAGCTGTGATTACAGGCATGCACCACCATGCCCAGCTAATTTCTTTATTTTTATTAGCAACGAGGTTTTACCAGGTTGGCCAGGCTGGTCTTGAACTTCTGACCTCAAGGAATCTGCCTGCCTCAGTGTCCAAAGTGCTGAAATTACAGGCATGAGCCACCATGCCTGGCCACAAATTTTTAATAAGTAAGGAAAACTCACCAGAGAAGCACAACATAATACAAATGTACTGGATTTAGACTCTAACTTTATATACAAAGTAAATAAAGTACCAGACTTTGAAAGATATTTCTGATAGAATTTTTTTTCTCTCTTTCAGGGTGATCTTGGAAAAAGAAGGGCCTCGTTCCTTGTTTAGAGGACTAGGCCCCAATTTAGTGGGGGTAGCCCCTTCCAGGTAAAAAAAAAAAAAAATTGTTTAAAGCAAGTTATGGCAATCTCTTTTGTTTCAGCACACCTGGATTTAATCATTTATAGATACAGTTAAATTTATAAATGTAGTATTCAATGTTTATGGGAAGTTAAAATACTTAATTTTCTTTTTAAGAATTTCAGATTCTAGCCAGAACAAATTTATATAATAAAGTAATGTTTGGTGGTAGGAAATGATACTGGATATTTTGAAGACTTAACAGTATTTCATTGCTGTTAGAAATTAACAGTAGTAATATGAATACAAAGGCTATGTTTCATAATGTGAGGGAGAAGGTATAGTATTTGCATTAAATTATTGATAGTCTTATACTGGGGGAAAATAATAAAGTATCGCATATTATACCTAGAAGTTTAAGGAACAGTGTATTTATAGATAAGAGTTTTAAATGTTAAAATTCTATAAATGGACCTGAGATTTTTTTGGGGGAGATGTTGTAATCAAAGTTGAAAATAATGAATATATTATATATCTTTATATTGCATAGACTAGGAGATATAAAATTACTAATATTTGCAGGATAAATGGAAATACTCTCGTAGCTAGTGGCAGTGTATTGAGTCTTCTGGGGAGATGCTTATCCTCTCATCTGACCATAGGAGTTAGAAGAATTTGGGGGTGCAGAATTGAAAATCTACACAGGGCTAAGGCTGCAAAATACTCCTGATATTTTGAGATAAGTGTTTGCTAGATTTGTGAGTTTAACTAAACCAGCTCTTGCATCTTGAAAAATTTTGACTCTAAGAAAGGTAAGCATTCTTTTAAACAAAATATTTTCCTTGGGCCAAAAGGCATTTAGGATATCTCGACTTTTTCTGCTTTTCATAGCTGTCCTGCTGTGCGCTCCACCTGAAGTTAGTGTTCCTTTCTCACTTTCCACATAGAAATTAAACTTCAAAGAAACAAGATAGAAAATAGAACCAAAGGACTAGGAAGGATGTCAGGGCTTAGAACAGGGTTGAAGAAAGGGACAAAAAGTCTAAAAACCTGAGAATTTGTGTATCGTTGAAGGGCAGTAAGTGATGTACATGGCCTTTACCATAATAAAAAGGAAGCTATTCAAGGAAGATGCTGAAGAGGTGTCAAGGTGATAAGGATAAAGAACTATGGTGTGACAAACAGGTATCAGTAACCATCTAAAAGGATGGGCATGGCACCATGTGTAGGTGCAAAGGACCACATAGTAAGACCATTGTGAAGTAGTTTTTAAAAAAGTCAAAAGACAGAGAACAAGCAAAGGAACTAATAACTAAAGGAACAACCAAAGGAACTAGCAGTTAGAAAGGGGAAGATCTGGAACTCTTAAAACTAAGTCATTGTTTGGCTTATGGGACAAACCAAACAGATAGAATGGTTGCAGTCCCTATTAAGCCAAAAGGACATGAAAACATAACTTCGTCATTTTTCTCTGACACCATTGCATCTTAGATTGTTAACCTCTTCCATGATAGAACACTGTATAAAGTTCATATTTAGAGTGAAAATGCTTTCTGTATCCAAACCATGTACCAGATCCATGTCTTGTTATTTATTACGTTTCAACTTTTTATGGGTTCTTTTCTCTCTTTAAGAAAATATCCAAAATTGCATCCTAATTATAAAACAAGTTAAAAGAAAAAAAACACCATTAATAGACAGTTCATGTATATTCTTCCAGTAATTTTTCTCGGTTATCATATACATAAAAACATGTATACTTTATTGTGCTTTACATAAACTGAATAATACTAAATGTTTAACCTAATCTAACTGAAGTTTTTCCATGATAATATGTGGGGTGATTTTTTTAAAATTGTATAGCATTCTAGCACTAATAAACATTTCCTTATTATACATTTAGATTATTTTTAGATTTTCATTGTATAAACAATGGTTCAGTAAACATACCTCAACCTTTATCTTTGAATACTTTAGGAAGTATATTTTTTTAGGATGGTCACCTAAAATTAGAATTTCTGGATAAAAGGGCATATGCATATTTAAGACTAGTGAATATTGACCGGGCAGAGTGGCTCACACCTGTAATCCCAGCACTTTGGGAGGCCAAGGCGGGTGGATCACAAGGTCAGGAGATCGAGACCATCCTGGCTAACACAGTGAAACCCCATCTCTACTAAAAATATAAAAAAATTAGCCGGGTGTGGTGGCGGTCGCCTGTAGTCCCAGCTGCTCAGGAGGCTGAGGCAGGAGAATGGCGTGAACCCGGGAGGCGGAGCTTGCAGTGAGCCAATATAGGGCCACTGCACTCCGGCCTGGGCAAAAGAGCGAGGCTCCGTCTCAAAAAAAAAAAAAAAAAAAAAAAAAAAAAAGGCATACTGGATTTTTATCCCTTATCCATAGCCTTACCAATGCTGGCTACTGTCCATCTTTTTTAAATACTTACCAAATGGACTAAGAGGGATTTTTCACTGTTTTAATATGATTTATTTAATTTTTGGTGCAGTCATACTTTCTTGTAATTTGTCATTTGTATATCTCTCCTGTGAATTGCCTATATATATTTCATGGCCATTTTCTCATTAGGATTTCTTTTTTTCTTACCAGTTTCTAGAAATGCATTGTTTATTCCTCTTCCCAACTTGGCATCAAGTGTATCTTATGTTTTTCTTTCTCATAAATTAGAATGTTTCATTTTCAGTTATATTAATTTTCCTTTTTTCTTAAGTACATTAAAAAAGGTACAACAGTGAAATTCTCATTTGTATTTGTCACTCTGTTTCTTATTGGATGAGTAATCAGGATTTTTGGGGAAATAACTGGATATTTCATACAGCAAGCAAATAATTCAAAGCATGGGAAGTTAACATAGAGGTGGTAGTGGGGATGCATAAAATCGTAGTCAGTAAGTTAACAATGAGGGAAATAATTAAATTTCACTCAGTGTTTACAAACATTGGAAAACATTCTGACCTGATGGGTCTGATTTCTTTTGTTGGAATTGTTTTGTCTGTTTAAGGATAATGTGAATTACTGTGTGTGTAGTATAATTAGAATATACCACAGTATCTTAAAATTGTTTAGCATATACTTTAATCAGTTGGATCTGCTTCACCCTCTTCTCCCCATGAAGAAAATTATATGTTAAGTGCTCATACCATATCTACTTATCTTCAGTAACTATATTTAGCCTTAGCATTACACCAGCCTTACAGCCTTATTCATTCATTTAGTTTCTAAACATTAAAATCTTAAATACTTTTTGTTTAAATTAGTTATTATTTTGTTTTTATTTTTTTTTAATTTCATTTTTTCTTTTTATCTTCTTGGTTACCAAGTTTTAGTGAGTTAAGTGGCTGTCAGAGTATTGGAAGGGGGTCTGTTTGAGGATGAATGGTAGGAATTTTACATTTGATGTTGTCTTATTTTAATGAGTCAATACAGAAAGTACTTCAGAGTATTTATGAAAAGTGTAAATCTAATGTTACATGAGAATGTGGCTAGGACTTTATGGTTTTTAAATTTCTCCATTCTAAAATTATGAAGATCAATTTATATGTAAATCTTACGCATTAAGAACATGCTTATTGATAAATCTAAATCTCTATTTTAGAGCAATATACTTTGCTGCTTATTCAAACTGCAAGGAAAAGTTGAATGATGTATTTGATCCTGATTCTACCCAAGTACATATGATTTCAGCTGCAATGGCAGGTATGAATGTATAATATTAAAAAAAAAAAAAACTTTCTGAAACCTAGAGGCTTAATATTGAATTATAAGTTTGTAGTGAAAAGTTGATGATTAATGTGCTTTTCATTGATTAGATGATTTTTACGTTTATCGATATAAACCAAATTAGGTATATGTAAAATCTGTCATCAGTTGACATTTTTGTAGTCAGGAGTTTACATGCTAGGGTACAAGTAATATATTTATATTGCCTTGTGTAGTCCACTGAATGTTTAGTGATCATTGTTAACAGTTTTAAGAATCCAACCATAATTACACTATAAATAAGTTATGGAGCTGTAATTTACTCTTCTCTCCTCAATTTCTGTTAGTGCCTTTTCCCTTTTTGCTGCATGTTTTGGCTTCTGTCTGAAATGTGTCGGCAATTCTTGGTAAAGTATTCATTTTGTCCTGTGCTCAAATGCTGAAATTTTTGTGAGTGATGTATTATTATTGACAATTCAGTTACTATGTGTATTTTTTAAAATTGTTTATTATTCTACATAATTCACACTAGACAGCACCTGAAATTTAGACACTGGCTATGTGTACATGCTTACTATAGAAATGTTTCCAGGAACTCTCTGTTTCTGTCATCACTGATAAGTATATATGATTCTGAATTAAAATAACTAGTTTTAGGTCTTTACCCTGCCATAAAGATAAACAGTTGGTTTGACCAATCTGGTTCTGGAATCATTTGCTGCTATGCATGTTAGACAAAGCCACGAACTTTGATTTTCCATTGAAAATTCTCCCTAATATCTGAGATTTATTGTATATTTACTCATATCTCACATTTTCAAATTATGCTGTAACTTTATAAACTGTAGCTGCTTTCATCAGCTATTGATCAATAAATTGAATGTCAATTATGTGCTTAATAATGAGTGCCTTAAACTGTTAAACACTTTTGGTTTAGAAATAAAGTGAATCAATTTGACCTATATACTTCATGAAGTAAGTAAGTTTGAAATACAAATTTCTGAAAGGTCAATAGCCCTTATCGTATTACAAATTGTTTTTAAGGCTTTTTGTATTTATTAATTGTCAGTTGATTCACTGAAGCTTTAAAACTGGAAGGGACAATCCAAAGGTCAAAAGAGTGAAATACAATCATTTACCAATAAGGAAACCTTGGGCAAATTATGTAATTTATGTGAACCTCTCTTAGCTTACCCATGGAATGAGTCAAGTGGTCTACATAGATTTGGATTTTGAGAATTAGTTCTTTCATTTAGTGTTATAGAGATTATCTTGTTACAACTAGAATTATTTTTAATGTAATTTTTACAGATGTTGAATATTAGTAGATAGGATTTTTCCCCTACGAATTTGGATGTAAGGTAAAGGTTGGTGGCCAGTGACAAACCTTATAACCACTTTATCAGGTTCTTTAAAAATATATTTCTGAATTACCAGTGATTATGTTTTTGGCTTATAACCTCAGATAATTATAAAGAAATGTTAATCTTATTTGAAAGAATTGGAATCTAGAAAGTTAGATGAGCAGTCATTTTATATTGATATTTGTTATATCAGTATAGCAAATGCAGAGGTTCAGAATATCTTTATTTCCACTGGAACATCTTATTTCATTGGAGTATCTCATCAGAATTTATTACTGTATTTGTATCACATTGCAAAGAATTTCAGTAGAATTGTCAGTTTGCACTTTTTTCTCAAATGTGTACAAATGTTAACATATAGTTCATTTTTATCTGTACATTGATGCCATTTCCCAACTTGAATTCCTCAAGTTTTGGTAAACTTACAATCTCATACTTGTTCAGAGGTTATTGCACTGTACACTTACTGTGTAGAAAATACTGTTTGAATTTGTTTGCAGTTACATTGTTCTGAGAACTGTGCTCTCAGAGCTTCTGTGCACTATTCATGAGCATTAACACTTAGCTTTGCAGTTTTATACATAACTATATGGTTAGTAAAACTGAATGGTCCAATGCAGACTCATTAAAGTAGGCTTTTGCCCCCTTTGTTCTTGAAATAATCTAGACCAGATTACTCGGGGTTTTTTTTAGGATTATTTTTATAGGTCTAAATATGAATGATTTGGGGGTATGAAGTACTTAAAGATAGTTCTGTGAAAAATCATTTTCAGCTGTCTATTCAAGGGAAAAAATGCTAACCTTGTCACTTTACTACACAAAACCACACTAAAATAAACCATTAATGATACTGCCTGCAAGATTTTAACACACCAGATAGCACACACATTAAGGATTTATAAGGCACTGTACGTAATTTTTATTCCAAGTGACCTCTCAATTCATTTTCATTTTGCATTTTATCCATATGAACTCATGTTTAATTTAGATAATAAAAATTTATTTTATTAAAAGGACAGTTTATTTAAAGTGGGTCTTTTTATTTGTTGTAGTGCATACTATAAGAATTTGTAAGCCTCTAAAGTTGAGCTATAAATTTTCATGCATTAAAAATTTGTTTCAGTTGTGAGGATATTTAATCAGATTAAATAATGTTGACTCTTAATATTTTGCCTGCCTTTTTTTTCTCCTACACATGACCTTTGACAGACTAAGTATATCTCAGCTATTGAGGGTATCTGTTTTGTTGCCTGTATATTTTGTTTAAATTAACTTGTATATTCCTTTGTATACACCTAGGCACAGATGTATGCAAAAAAAATTTGTTAAATTACTTCTTTCTTTATACTAATTCTCAATTTTTAAAAGATTTTATCTGGCATGTATATACTTTTATATAGAACATTATAAATGTAAAGGAAATGAATTCTAATTTTAATTGGATTATGTATTCATACAGTTATTCTCAATTTTTAAAATACTAATAATGTAATCATTGAATGTTTCCTACATACGTAGTGGGTTTTATTTGCTCACAGCATACAGTTATTTTTCAATTTATGTTTTTCTATTAGACTTAAATTTCATTATAATAAAGGCTTTTACTCATTAAATACAGGTATTGTCTTGCATTTATGAAATATTTTTTAAAAATATTTTATTTGTCCATGGCAGTTAATTCAGCCAGATGGATGGTTGGACAGATGTTTTGTGTGTTTGTGTGTAAACATTCTTCCTGTTTTTTGTTTTGTAGAACACAAGAAATTAAATACAAAATAATGCAAAATATTTCATAAGTATGGATGTGCAATATTACTGGCCATAGTGCAAAAGGTGAAAGGTACTATTGTAGCAACGTATTCTTTATTTTATTAAAAATTTATATAAATAGCTCCAAAATGAAGTTACTTGAATATTCTGTTGGTTTTTTTTTTTTTAAGATTTATTAAGTAGGCTGATTGTTAAAGGATAGAAATTGTGTTTTCATCTCCTTAATTATAATAGATAATAGTGGTAGGAAAATGGGAGATGATGATCCCCTCTAAATATTCCCTTTTGACAAGGTTAGCATTTTTTCTTTAAGGCAGAATTGATCTTCTTTTAGGTAAGTATTTAGATTCTGAAACTGCTGCAGATGGCAGGATTTTCAGTACTCGGTACATTTTTTTAAATGGCCCATTTTGATATTCCTTTCTTTTTTTTAACTTAAAATTTTCAAAAAAGTTAGATCTCACAGTAAATATTTCTCAAATCCTTCCAATAGGATTCAATTTGTACACATGTTTCTGATGAGGTCACTGCTTGTTGTTATGATACAGAAAAGCCTGTGTCTATTTTAGGCATTTACTGTACATTTCTCCCGAGAAAAGAGTGAGATCGTGTCATCTCATGCTCCCCATCCGCAGGTCACTTCCTGTAGAAATATGGACTAACTTAAACCTCGTGAGTACTGATCTGAGCATCTCTTGCAGCCTGTAGTATAAGAAACCCACCCTGGGATTTTATGATAGCTGTGGAATTAGAAGGCGGGAAATTAACTTTTATTTCCTGAATTTGTGTGTGCATTGCTAAGTCTGATTCCTTTATAATATTCCTTCTAGAAGGAAGAATGAGGTATTTTTCAGTCATCATGTAATAAAAGCCTGGGGTCTTCAGCTTGGCCATAACAGCCTTGACCTCCAAAGAATGTAATAACAATATATATATAGCTGTAAATGGTATTATACTATCTTAAAAGTTTTAGATAAAATCATAGTTCTCTTTGCTTAGCATAACATATTTAAAAGCCTAATACAATGCTTTCCATTCTTTTTTGTCTGTTGATACTTGGCTTTCTTAGAACTCTTTTGCAAAAAAAACAAAAATTAATTACTTTGCAAATAAATGCAGGATAAGAATATATGGGATCTTAGCTGTTTTAGTTTTAATTACTTTTAAAAGTGGTGTTAATACATTTAGGAGGTTAGGTGGGCTTTGTTCTTACAGAAGTTGAAATAAAAAGTACTGAAAATGCAACACTACAGGTATCACTCACTTAATGAAATCAACATTTTCAGCAAGTTTAAGCAGAATTTTTCTGTTAATCTGGTTTTTAATTGCTCGACACTATCAAATGGAATCTTACTTAGATAAAGCAAAACTTTTAAAGTAGCATTTTTAAAAATTTTTTAAGCTTTCTAACATACTAACCATCCTACTAAGAGTATGGCCAATATATTGGCACTTTGCTTTAACTGACTGTGGAGCAATATTAGTTCTTCTTAACTTACAAATGGATCCCTCATGTCGTCTTAAGTTCATTTTCATGTTTCACTAGGTGCTCAGAATCTTAATATAAATTGGCAAATTATGAAAATGTCACAAAATTAAAATGCAAAATAAAAAGTAATAGGCAATTTCTAAATTTCAGGGGCACCATTCCCAGTATCTTTGTGTGTGTTTGTCATATAAGTAGTGGGAAGATATGTTTAGCTTGGGCTAACCTCAAATTGCCTTACCATATATAATGCTAAGTTACGATAAATTTTTGTTTTTTTCCATTGGCTTCATTTCTTAGATTATTAGATTATATTTATTAGATGTAATTAGCCTAGTAATGTCTATTTAGTTTGTTAAAGTGTCTTTGGTTAGGAGAAAGTAATAGCATAAAACTCAAGGACCTGAGTTTTTAGCGGTAAAGGGCTAATAGCTAAAACTGTGGATTGTGTCTAGATTCTTTACCTAACCCAATGGTTTGCTGGCATTTAGGTTAGTGTCTTTATAAAGAGCTAGCTCTCATTGGGAGAGTTGAGCCAGAGCAACCATAGTAAACATAGCTTACTGATAATAGCAATTACGTAGGGATAAGATAACATTCTCTCACTTACCTAAATTTTAATGTGTCCTGTTACATAGGTTAATTTGTGCTTGGAAATGAATTTTAGTTAAGTGAGAAATACCTGTTGTTTGCTTTCTGACATTATAGTAATATGTACAGAGAATAATTTAAAATTATAATTTATGGGTCTTTAAAAGGTTTTGTTCCTAACAACATTTATAAAAATTTATTGTACTATTGTAAAGTTTTTTATATATGGGTTTTTTTCCAGCCTCAAATTCTTTTGTGACTTGGAAGAGTATTATGGACAGAAGCTTGGGTACTGCTTAAAATTTATGTTTTTAGAAGTAGAACTTTTATTTAAAAAAAAAAAAACTTAGGTGCTCATCTTCTTTTCAAATAAGTATAATAAGATGAATGAGAATTTTTACCTAGATTGGCTGTTTTTTAAAAAGTTTGATGTAAAGATTCCCAGTTTTAAGCTTTTAAAATTCAATAAAAAGCAAATAGTTTTTCTTAAGATTTCTATAAAATGATTAATAAAAATCATTATAGTGATGCAGAATATTTTGTTGGTTTATGCTGCTTAGCAGCTTTTTACTCATAAACCCTTAATTTTGCTGTACAGACATATTTAGCTATTACAAATATTTAAGTTTACAAAACAAGAATCATTAAATTGGAGTTTGACCAGAATATTGATGTCTGATTGCTTTAAAATATAATTTGAATATCCTAGCCTTTTCATGTAGAAAAATGAGGTTCAAAAGAAGAGAAAAATAATACTCTATAACTTTATTCTCAGTTAAGCTAGAACCATGCAAGAAAATATTTAAACTGGTCTGATAGTTTCATGTTTTTCTTTTCTTTTCTTTTACCAAGAATATATGCATGAAAAGAACCTTTTATTTAAAAAGATGTTCCTGGCAGCCTGCTCAACACTTTAAATTTTATCAGTTTAGTACCTGCTGATGCGTCTAAAACTGTTGGTCCCATTCTAGTTTTATACTTACATATGTAGTATTAAAAGCACTTAAGAGAAATGTAGAATATATAATCTTTATAAAAGTATTAAAGGAATTATTTAAATTGAATTTGTATCCCATTTATCTTGCTTGCTAAATAGATTTAATTGGAGCATCCATTTGTATAACGTCTGGCTATTTCTACAATGTTAAAACAGTGGGTTGAGGAAGTAAAATTTGAGTTACTCAGTTACTGACATAGAAAAGAACCCTGTGAGACCAAATTCAGCTTTGGAAACAATTTAGTGTAATTATTTTGCATATGTAGATACACCTTTGAAAGCCAAGAAAGGTTTATGATTGGATCTGTACTATATTAATTTAAAAACAAATTATTCTTAAGTATATTGTAGCATTTCTGTTCCTGTAAGTACTTTACTCATCTTAAATGTACTGATCATTAGCCACCTTTATAAAAAGAATGTGCCTGACCCACTAGTATTTGATAGAAATATTAAAACAGTTAAGATCCTTAAACATTTCTGCATATAATTTTTTATTGAGTAAATGTAACTTAACGTAAGTAGTTCTATGAAGTCTGTGTAAATTAAAACCCTGTTTTGTGTAGATGAAGCAATCTTTATAAGTTTCTGTCATCAAGACTGTATTTTGTGTGCTATTTTTCCATAGCTAGGAAGGTGGCAAGTAAAACATATGCACTATCCTAGAAACATACTGTTCCAGGTAGATCTTAATTTACTACCTGGAATGAGCCATCTTAGGTGACCACCATTCTGCACCAATACCTAGTACATAATACTTTAGTTTTAAAGTAAACTAGAGCTGTCTTCTACCCTGAGTTTATTCCATGTCTATAAAAGAGGGAACTTCCAATTTGTGACTTTTTGAACTTTTGAGTTTTTGTATGTGTTTAAGTAAATGACGATAGGCCTGTCCTATTAACCCTAACAAAAACCTTACTGTGATACGGTTATTTTAACAGTATTAGTATGTATATATGTAGAAAGTATTCATGGGGCCAAACAACAGTCTTTTCCACTATATAATCAACTAAAGATCAAACTATTGGTAAAATTTGACATTTGTGTAGAATTCATTTTGAATGTAGTGATTTGGGATGCTAATCAAACCCCAGGTAACTGTTTTTTTTAGCTGGTTTTAAGGATCCCAAGTGCATGCTTTTTAGCCGTAGAATACACAAAATGTCTATGTGTTTGTAGAGATGGATTTCTGAATTCAGCTTAGACAGTAGAGAGCACCCTAAAGGATATTCTAAGTAGGTTGGGAAAGCAATTTATATTCATTTTGCTTTTAAAAGAATCTGTTAGTTAAGGACAGAATTTGAGAATTCATATAGATTGGAAGTGAAGACAAATGTTTGTCGTATGTGAAAAGTGTAATATATACATAAATTAGTAGTTTATTTATATACATTTTCTTGAATGTAGATTTATCTAATTTTTAAAACCTTAAAGTTAATAGTGAATTCTTCATTTTTACCAGAGTTCATTTTAAACATGTTTGTTTAGGTTTTACTGCAATCACAGCAACCAACCCCATTTGGCTTATAAAGACTCGGTTACAGCTTGATGCAAGGTATGTTAATTCCTTAAAATAAAATTGGTTAAAGTGGATTTAACTAATTTTTTTTCTACAAAGTTTTTCTTTCCTTTGCTGCTGAATTTGTTTGTTGTTGTAGTTTAATTTTGAAACTTGGGTCTGCCATCAGAAAAAAGATAATGTAAGAGTTGACAATATGAACTTTTCCAGGTGAAAAAAGTATATTATTAATATGTGTTGTTTTGTTTTGTTTTGTTTTAAAAAGAGTGGCTAGAAAGATACCATAGAGAAACAGAAAGGAAAGAAAGAGATAGATTAACCCAGCCCAAAAGGTAATACTTTCCTTACATGGGTACTTATAATTGGCCTCGCAGAAGCTAAGTAAGCCACAAGGTCAGCTAGTCTAGACTGAATCTTTGAGGATCATTGCTCAAATTTAGTGACCTTGTGAATAGAGAACCCTAGGCTGACAGACAGTTCTCATATATCGTCTGTTACCACTGACCACTTTATAATAGCAAGATTCATTCATTCAACAAATCTATATTAGCAGATACTGCTACGTCTTAGAGATGCACCAGGAAACAGTGGGGACTTATTTTAAATGGAATAATCAAGGAAAGGTTTTTTGAACCCATTTTAAGCTGAGGAACCAATCGGTGCAAACCTCAGAGGTTCTAAAGTGTAGGGCCTTTGGTGTTCTGGGAACTGAGAGTAGGCCAAAAGCAGTGCTGCGTAGGGTCTTGCCATCTCAACTCTCCTACTGGCTTTAGAATAGAGACTCTTAAGTAACGAGATGGTCCTATCTTATATGTTACAATAATAATGTTAATGGTTTTAAACTATTTTAGACTTTCAGTCTGGAGTAGGTTCTGTGTATAACATGTTTCTACTGTTTTTATATTTTGGTGTTTGGGAAATAGTGTTATGTCCTATAGGCTTTAGGTAAAACTGATCTAATAAATCATTAACAATTATGCCTGCTTAAATATCTGTTTTCCATCTTCTGTTATGTTGAACTATATACTATTTGGAAACTTGAAAAGAAATATCTAATTGTTTCATCTGAAATAGATCTTTTAATGAAATCTTAAGTGTTGTAGCAAAACTCCAAGTTTATTTCTTAAAGCCACATATCTGAAAAGTAGTGGTAGCTAAGACTTATTCCAAAGATTAGAAAGTACAAGATGCTAGTCCACATTATTCTATTGTAAACTACCAGAGTTAGGTTTCACTATGTTTAGCGTTGCTCTATGAGGAATCCAGGAAAAGCATGACTTAAAACTCTTTAATATTATTTTTTTCCACTTATAATTGTAACACAAGCTGGCACAATTCTTAGGCTTGTGGGGTTGGGGAATTGGATAGGGGTGGGGTAATAATGAAAGGTTGACTTGAGGATTCTGGTTTATAAGGCTGAGGGCTGAGCGCAGTGGATCATGCCTGTAATCCCAGAGCTTTGAGAGGCCAGGGCAGGAGGATTGCTTGAGGCCAGGAGTTTAAGAACAGCCTGGGCAACATTGCAAGACTTAATCTCTATAAAAAATGCATGCCTATAATCCTAGCTACCTGGGAGGCTGAGGTGGGAGGATTGCTTGAGCCCAGGAGTTTGAGGCTGCAGTGAGCCATGATTGCACCATGGAGACTCCATCTGTTAAAAAAGAAAAAAAAGAAAAAGAAAAAAATTAATAAAAAAATAAAAATAGGGCTGATATGTCACCTTTCAGGATTTGTATCTCTTTTAACTTTCTTGTGAGGAAGGATCTTTAATGAAACTAGTTACAGTTGGTTTGTGGATCATTTATCTAATAGGTATTCAATATCTAAAGACAATCCATTCATAAAACTGGTGGAATCTGTAGGTAATTAAGTGGGTGTTGTAGTTGTGATTTTATTTTATGTCAGAAACAAGTTAGGTATAATTTATAAATAGGTAAATTTTCTGTTTTTTTAGTAGGTAGCATTTAAACCTGTCTCTTATAGATAAGGACCTGTTGGGGGAATCAGTGTAAGGTAACAAATATTGTTAAAACTCAAAATTACATGTGTAGGAGATGTTGTATTCTATAAGAGTAGGTGCTGCCCCCTTAAGTAGAACTAAGGAAATTGTATTAGGAAGAGTACTGAATAAATATAACACTACAGTTTCTCATTTACTAGTCACCAGGGAGACTGATATGACCATTGCCTTTAAATGATCATAGGGAATTTGACTTACATTCACCCTATCACTTCTTGGGAGAATATGAGTGGGGTTGAAAGAGAATCCCTCAGGTGCACAGAATTTTAGTTAATCATACTGCCTGGTTTATGATATTCTATCATCATTGGTGTCTCAGTCATTCTATTTATGTTACTAAATGCAAAGGAAATTCAGCTTACTTAGAACTGGAATTAATACAGTGTGAGGATTTTTGTTTACTTTGTTTTGTTTTTGTCTTGAGCTGCAGTCAGGGTGTATAGTTCCTAAAGGATTTTGTTGCTTATCCCTGCCATGTGAACCCCAATGAGGACATGAGACCGAAGATTCAGTGTAGTGCATTTTGCATTCAGTAAAATAAACTATTTACATATCACCCATTTAATATGACAAATTTGGGACAAAAGAATAGGAAATCTAAAATATGAATATTGTTTTAAAATTCTAATTCTTCATGAGTTAAAGAAGGCCATTCTTTTATTATTAGAATGACATATTTTATTATATTTTACTTACTTTAAAAAACCTATCAGTAAGATGTTTCTTTTTGCTTTTCAGGAACCGCGGGGAAAGGCGAATGGGTGCTTTTGAATGTGTTCGTAAAGTGTATCAGACAGATGGACTAAAAGGATTTTATAGGGGCATGTCTGCTTCATATGCTGGTATATCAGAGACTGTTATCCATTTTGTTATTTATGAAAGTATAAAACAAAAACTACTGGAATATAAGACTGCTTCTACAATGGAAAATGATGAAGAGTCTGTGAAAGAAGCATCAGATTTTGTGGGAATGATGCTAGCTGCTGCCACCTCAAAAACTTGTGCCACAACTATAGCATATCCACATGGTAAGAAGAGTTATCTATTAAATCAGAAATATTTTCCCACCCCAGCCAACAGCTCACTTATTAAAGCATTTATAATTTTACTGCATTCTGGTATAACAAAATACAATTATTGGGAGTTCATAATGAGATTAAATCTGGTTAAGTAATGTAGGCTGTATTAATAGGTCAGTATTATGCTATCAAATAGCATGGTGGTGATTGAGCATGAGCTCTGAAGTCAGTCAAATTCCAGCCTTACTCACTTCAGCTTGGTGACTTTTGGGCAAGTTTCTAAGTTTTGAAAAAAGTATGTATGTAGGTGCTATACTAGATAGTTTACATACATTACTAATCTACATAAAAATTCTCTAAAGTACTTATTTTCCCTGTTATGCTAGAACATAACCAGAATTGTTCTCCTTTTCAAATTGAATACTGAAAAGAAATGTAAACATGAAATAACTTGCCCAAGGTCACATACCTACTTAATGGTGAAGCCCAAATTTGAATTAAAGTCTGTAATCCCAAAGACCAAGCTATTTTACATTATTTCATGTTGGCAAATAAGTATGTGTTAATAATTCCTTTTATTTCTGTATTTAAATTTTATAATAGCCTATTTCATTAATAGCTAGGTAAATCACTTAAGAATTTATCTGCTACATGCTGAGGTTTTTTGGTAGCTTTTTTGGTTGTTTTAAGTGTCGCTTTTGATTTTTGCATGTTTAAGATTTGTTTTTTAATGTAAGCGCTTCATTTTTGTTCACTTACACTGATTAATATTTACCGTCTCCATTGTATATTATATCAGGAAAAATGAGCCAGGCCTAGAAAATGTGTATTTGCTCTAATAGTAATTTATGAAACCAACTCTTTAACCAGGTTGGACTATGAACTTATCTCAGTTTCCTGAAGGAAGTTCCTGACTTTTCTAAAAGAAGTCAAAATAGGACAGTATCAGCAATATTGTTTAGATACTGACCTATGGGGTAGGTTAGGATGGTGGCCTGCTAAGGTGTAAGGAACAGAGTTTTGGGGTTTAAACAGTCTTTTCCCTTGAAGTGAGATGATGTCATTACAGGAAGAGGTACAGTTGATAAACAAGATACATTCTTTTTTTTTTTTTTTTTTTTTTTTTTTTTTGATAGGATCTCACTGTGTCACCCAGGCTTGAGTGCAGTCACATGATCATAGCTCCCTGCAACCTTGAACTCCAAGGCTCAATTAATCCTCCTGCCCCAGCCTCCCAAGTAGCTGGGACTATGAGCTCAGGCCACTATGCCCAGCTAATTTTTTAATTTTTAGTAGAGACATAGTCTTGCTGGGTTCCCCAGGCTGGTCTCAAACTCTGGGCTCAAGCGATTCTCCCACCTCGGCCTCCCAGAATGCTAGTCAGGCTCAGGCATGAGCCACCACACCTGTCCAAACAGGACATTTTGGAGTTAAATGGCACGAATCTTTAAGACAGAACAGATTTCAAGTAAATAGTTACAATTGCTGTGGGTTGCTTTAGACTATTTCCCTAGGCCCATCTGGAATACTGTGCTGAAAAAATTTGAGGAATAGTGGATGTAAAAAAAAGTAGTTACATAGGAAGCTGTGAGTTCTTGTCCCAGCTTCTACCCACAACTGGCCAAAATTTCTCAGTAGCTCCAATTTCTCACCTTTTAAAATGAGGAAAAATTGGACTGACTAATCTTTAAGGTTCATTCAGCTCTTAAAAATTTATTATTTTTGCTTACCTGATTCCCAGACTGGGTTTTATAGCTGGCAGCTAGTGTTTGGAACATTGTCAACTTCTTTGTCCACATGATGTTTCACATTCATATATGTGGACTGTTTTGAATAGATTAATAATGCTATTGTTTCTTTGTAGTACTCACTTTAAACAAATCTTTTCTGCTTGTTTCTCACTGTATCCTTTTTATATTCATCCTGGATGCCACCTCTTTACTGCCTCTTCACCTTTTCCTCCTTCTCATTTCTATTCTTCCTTTTATCTGTTTATCTAGCATACAACTGATACTTCTCTCTTGTTATATTGTGTCTTTTTACATTCAAAGACTATAAAGTCTATAATTAATGTACATGATTTTGGCCATATTAGAAGTTTGATGTTACTATAATGTGACTGGTTTCAATAAGCTACACATTAGAAGCCATCCTTTTTTATCCTGAGCTTACACTTACAGACTGATAAATGGGATGTGCTCAGTTATAATTAGAAGAGTGTAAAGATATCAGTAATGTTTAATTTTATTTCTTTCCTACACAGAAGTTGTAAGAACAAGACTACGTGAAGAGGGAACAAAATACAGATCTTTTTTTCAGACTCTATCTTTGCTTGTTCAAGAAGAAGGTTATGGGTCTCTTTATCGTGGTCTGACAACTCATCTAGTGAGACAGATTCCAAACACAGCCATTATGATGGCCACCTATGAATTGGTGGTTTACCTACTCAATGGATAGCAGCACGAGGACTGCTGTACTGCAAAAAAAGAAGACCAAAAGATTACAGTGGACCATGGGATACAGAAGCCAGCATGGCAGACAGAAGAAAAATAGTTTGGGAACATGTAACTATTCTAAGTGGAAGTTTTGTTGTAGGAATTATAGTAATCACACCACATTACTTGGCCTTTCGGTAATGTGAAAAAAAAAAAAAACCTCAGAGCCTCCAAGGAAATGCCTTTAGAAGCACTCCTCTCTCAAAATTGCCATTTTCTCTACCATGTCCCCCAGACACAGTTGGGTTTTGTTGATTTATGGCAGTCTTCTAAACAAAGCCATCCTTAATTTTACATACTGTATTGTAACTATCCAAAGATAGTATTGGCAGTCATAAATTTATAACTTCTGGCCTTTGTTTAATTCCAGTAAAATAACAGCAATGACAATGAGATCGTCAGTATTATTTTCACATTTCCCTGAGAGGACCTGGCACAATATTTTAAATTTAATTATTTGGCAGTAGTCACTGTTTTTGACAACCAATGAAATAGCGTCTAAATATCTTGTATATTTTTTAGCATCAAAATGTTTTGGTTTCCACTGCTGACAGGTGCTTGTTGTTTAGCCTAATGTGGATATTTAAATTGTTAACATACCAAACACACATGGTAATAGTTTGGGACAAAATAACTAGTAAAATGTTGATTTCTCGGCTTTTTCACTGACTGCGGCATGTCCTCGTGTCTTCTCTGATTTTGTGGTACATGAATGAATGCATTTATCTTTTTAGTGACTTACTAGTTACGAACTTGAATTATCACCTCTTTGTCATACTTAAGTATCATTTACATAAAGTGTAAAAGATTTTTTCACTTTTGAATCTTTACCTACTTGCTTTCACATTAAGAATTTGAACTTTTGAGTTTTTTCCAGGTCTATATATAATAGATTACATTTATTTTGTAAAGAAAATAGTAATTTAAAGTTTTGCCATTTTAAGGTGACAATATTTGGGACAGTATAAATATTATAGACAAGGGCCCCCTTGCTGTCTGCTTTAGCAGGTAGTGACATTAATTGACTTATAGTTTTGTGTAAATGAACAAACTGCTTTTGACAAGAAATTTATTCTGTCCTAGTTTCCTGCGTGGTAAATCATAGAAAGATTCAAGTTCATTTGGGTTAAATGTGCTAATAGGATGTAGCTTTTAAATTCTGCTATTGAGTCAGCTGTACCTTTTAATACTTTAAATGTGTTATTTGTATGGCCCTTATAAAGGTGTTTGCTGTAATTCTGTTAAAAGACTTCGCCTATGCCATACTGGTGTATAAAAACTGCCGCAATTGGACGCCGGTGTGGTACTCATTTCAGTATACCTGAACTGTACATTTTGTGCAATGGCTTTATCTAAAAGAATGACGCTTCGTGAAAGCACTTTGTGGCCTTTTTTGGGGGGGAGGGTGAGAGAGTAGGAGAGAATACCATGTTAAGATTAAAAAAAAAAACAAAAACATTGGTCACGTATTAGGCAGAAACAGTGTTCATAACATTTTTCTGGGTTTTAAATATGTTGTTTCGGATATCCTTAATATAAATGTTTTAGGTATTCTGTGTACCCTGTCGTACCCCCAACATTATAGAATATTGCAGCGTGTCATTGCAAGCTTTCTCTGCTGTCACCAGTGAAACATAGTGCCCTGTTAAATTCCCCCACTTTAACTTCCTTGTGATCAACAGTAACTGGATGTTTTTGAGGTGCTCAATTGGAATAAAAATATTCCAATCTATTTGGAGACCAAAGGCAAAATCAGTTTTCTTACCTTTGGAATTATTCGTACCTTTTATGGTAAATTTCAGCTTTGACA